>NC_000007.14:156831453-157144518 GCF_000001405.40 Homo sapiens | reverse complement strand
TTCTCCCCTCTCGGGTATTCTCGAAGACTCTGAAAGTTATGCCACTCCTGTCTTCCCCACATTTTTAACCCCCGTCCTTCCCAGTCTATAAACTTAAGTTTCCCCCGTCTCCCAAAACAGACAAAACTATTTCCGAGACACCGAATTTCCCTCTATCATCCAATCTTCCGGTGCTTTTCAAAAAAGGTCTACACTGTTGCCTTGCCCCTGCCTTATTTTTTAAGAGATGGGGTCATGCTGTGTCGCCTAGGCTGGAGTGCTATGGCATGATCACAGCTCACTGCAGCCTTGAACTCCCGGGATCCAGCGATCCTCCCGCCTCAGTCTTCGGTGTGGCAGATTGTAGGCGTGCGCCACAGCATCCGGCCTGTGTTCGGCCCTGTTTGTGACTTCCCATTCACTCTCCAATGTGCTATGCTCTTGACTTCCAACTCTGACTACCCTACAGAATATGCTCAAATCACCCAATTCTTCCCAGCTCCGCAGTCAGTGGACTCACTGTGTCTGTGCAGCACTTGGCATTGCCTGTCACTCCTCCCTCCCTGAGATTCACTCCCTGGACACCACTCTCCTCCACTCCCGGAGGTGTGACTCTTTTGTAAGTATCCCCAACTCCCACACATATTAAATGTTGCAGTACCTCACGAGTCCCACCCTGTCCCAAACTCCAAGTCCTCTTAAGGACCTGTGTTCGAAGCCACCATTCTGTTGATAACCCCCAAATCTGCATCTCTAGCCTAGACTCCTTCCTGTGCCTGTCCCACAGGAACTCAGGCATTCAGTCAACGACCACTCCCCGCTTCTTGAAGAATCTACCCCAGCCCTCAGGTGCACCTAGACTGTTCCATCTGAACCAAGCCTCCAAGCCCTCCTCAGACTGAGGTTATCAGGTGGAAACATGACCCAGGCCAATCAGACTTTCCTCTCCTGAAAACTGGTAATTATGATCAAACTTTCTTGACGCTTAAGCTAGGAAACCATGTGTGAGAAATGGAGAAAGCCAGTCTGCAGAGCCAGGAATGAAGGAGACAGGAAGAAGGGAGTGCACCCAGCTCCTGGAGAAAGACAAGCAACTCCTGTGGTGGTGATACCTGCTATCTGGGTGTTTCTGACCTTTCTATTCTGTCAGACACGCCTATCCTTTCATAAACTTGTTTTTGTTTCTTTTTGTTTTGCCTACTAAGCTAGTTTTAGTCCATTTCTGTACTTGAAATCAGATGACCCCGTGATATTCTTCTATACACTACCAAGAAAAACATACCCCCAATTAAACTGCATCATGCTATCAGTGTGTATCCCGATGTCAGAAATATTTAAAGATAGAAATCAGTGTGACTTAAAAAAAAATTTCAGGCTGAGCGCAGTGGCTCATACCTGTAATCCCAGCACTTTGGGAGGCTGAGGCAGGCGGATCACCTGAGGTCGGGAGTTCGAGACCCGCCCGACCGACATGGAGAAACCCCATCTCTACTAAAAATACAAAATTAGCCAGACGTGGTGGTGCAGGCCTGTAATCCCAGCTACCCGGGAAGCTGAGGCAGGAGAATCGCTTGAACCCGGGAGGTGGAGGTTTGTGGTGAGCTGAGATCGCACCATTGCACTCCAGCCTGGGCAACACTGCGCTCCAGCGTGAGCGAAACTCCATCTCAAAAAAAAAAAAAAAATTCAACTTTTATTTTAGAGTTAGGGGGTACCTATGCACGTTTGTTACAAGAATATACTGCAGGACGCGGAGGTTTGGGGTGTGAATGATCCCATTACCCGGGGAGTGAGCACAGTTACCAACAGGTAGCTTCCCAGCCCTTGTCCCCGTCCCTCTCTTTCCCCCTCTAGTAGTCCCTGGTGTCTATCATCCCATCTTTATGTCCATGTGTAATCAATGTTTAGCTCCCCAAAGTGACTTTGAATCAATGTAATCCAATCTACATGTACTCCACACACCCCGCTCCACGAACCTGGAATGCCTTCTCGTCTTCCACCCATCCTAATTACACCCATCCTTCAGGACTAAGCTCCAAACAATTCTACTTTTTCTGAATCAGGACCAAGGGAAATTTAGAATGTAGCAATTACTCTATTGTTATTTAATTTTTAATTGCTTAAGTCTTATCTGCCCAACAAGATTATCAACTTCTTCAAGTCAGACTTGTCGTACACAGATCTATACAAATAATAAATACTAAAAGTATTTAATTTGAAAAAAGAAAAAGCTTATTCAAAGGTGGTAACCACTCCATTTTCCACTAAGCTCCAGAAAGGGAAGATTTCAAATAATAATTTAAGACATGAGAAAAGGGTCACTATAACTTCATTTTTCCAACAAGGGAAGGGACTTATGCGGCAGTCAAAGAGAATTCAGGAAAACAAGCATATGTAGGTGCTCAACATAATTAGTTGTCAGGAAACAAAATTAAAACCACAAAGAAACTACATCCTCACTAAAATTAAAGGACTTGCAATATCAAGTGTTGGCAAGGATGTGGAAACCTGGATACCTTCAGATGCTGTGGGCGTGCGACACGGGGAAACTGTGGCAGCGGTGTGCACAACAGCTGAACATGCGTATCATCTAGGACCCAGCACAAGAGTATTATGTGCACCAAAAGGCACACACAGCAAAGGTCTGTAAGAAAACAGAATCAGCCACGGTGCGTTCACACAAAGGGCAATGCCGTGCACCGAGGCGGATGGAGTCCACCTCTCAGACAGAAGCCAAGCCAAAGCAGCCGGGCACAAACGACAAGTGGTGAGTGGCTCCATGCCCCTGAAGTTCAACAGGTAACGCTCATCTACAGTAATGGAGGTCAGAAGGACAGTCACCTTTGTGGGGCTACAGACATACATGGCATAATGACCTCTCAGTCTGTCGACAACAGACCACATATACACCGTGGTCCCATAAGATTATAATTTGTATTTTTACTGTATCTACGTTTGGATGCACAGACACTCACCATTGCATGAAGAGCTGCCTACAGTATTCAGCACAGAAACACGCTGTCCAGGTGTGTAGCATAGGGGCAACGGGCTGTACCAAGCAGCTAGGTGTGCAGTGGGCAACACTGGCTATAGGTTTCTGTTAAGTGCACTCTAGGACGGTCCCACAACAACCAACTGGACTAGTGACAGCGTCCCCCTCTTTAAGTCACATATGACTGTAATGAATGGGTGAGAGTGCAGGGGAGCCTCTGGAATGCTGGGGATGGTCTTCCTTTGATGTGAGTGGTGTTCCATCTACAGGAGAGTGTCCATATGCAAAAATCCTTCAAGCTGTACATACAGCTGGCTCCCCACCCAGATTCCTTAACCAGGCCAGGGCACCCATGCCCCAGCTGCTGCCAGTTCCTACTAAGGGCTCTTTACTGCCACTCTCTCCCAGAAGAATGGCCCTCGGCTCAGGGTTAGCAGTGCCACACTCCCACCCTCATCCCGGAGGGGCAGCAGCCTGCAGCCACCAACCCCTCTGCCGCAATTAGGGCCAATTGTAGCATGCTCCTGGTGAGATGGGGTTAACGCTAGCCTCCAGCTGAGACGCCTTTTCCTTCCCTACCCAGCTTCCCTCTCGCCCTTCCTCCTCAATTTCACTTGCACAAGGATCTCTTTAGTGTTTGTGAACCTGACTGTATCTTAAGTTATACCTCAATAAAAAGAGTTTTGTTTTTAAAGGGGTGATTCTTTTACACAGCTCGTGCTATCTTCCCTTGAGATTCTGATCAACAGTTAAGAAATCTCACTCCCTCAGAGCAGAGATGCACTCCTTGGTGAAAAGGGACCAACATCCGTGGCCCGTGGGGTGTTCCTGCCTGCAACAGAGGCCGCGCGGCGCTGTGTAAATGGCATGGAGTCTCAGATGGTCTGCCACTAGCTTGCTGTGTGAATGGGCACTCCTTCAAATGTTCTGCAGCTCACCTTCCGAACTTGTAAGCAAGGCGATTTGGCCCTGAGATTCTCTGAAGTCTCTCCTAACTGTAGAAATCCTTTGATCTCATAAAACATTTTCATTAACGTGGAAGACCCTAAGTGCTACCACGACCACCCTTAACTGCACAGTACTTAGTTCTGGAGCACAAGTGACTTCCAAGCAATCACCATCACACGAACCTCAAAGCTGAAAAATTATCAGCACACTTCTCTCCCAACTCTTTACCCAGGTTCCCTTCTAACCTCAGAAACCACCAAACACAGCCCCACAGCACAATCTTAATAACAGCAGTTCCTCCTTGGCCTGCCAGCACCCACTCTGCGTTATGTGCCTACCTGGTGGTTGTGATATACAGAATATACTGATAGACAAGAAAAACTAGGTGAAGCATTTTAAAGAACATTTCAGAAATGATGGGAAGGGGTGGGAAGGGAGGGGCGGGAACAAGACCACACAGTGTTCAACGACTTAGCGGTTCCAGTGAACCAACTGATGCCCGTCTTCAGGGACAGACAGCTAGAAATTCTAGACTAGAACAGAGGCGTCATGGTTTGCCTACCCTTATCCTAAACAATTACCATGCGAACAACTTAATGTCGATCACAACAGATGTAAGTCCGGAGTCTCTCCACAGTTTCCAGGAGGCTGGTGGCAAATAATTGCCCTCGTCTTGGATTCAAACACGTGGCTATTCATGAGACGTTCTGCCTCTACTTTAGAGATTATCGACATCAGCAAATGCGTGCCGTTCACCTTCTACAACCGAAAACGCCCTTCAGGTGGCATTCGAAAAGCAGCCACTCCCTGATGCCATGCGGGAGCGAGCATGGAAAGCGCATTTCTGAAAGGAAACACCCAGAAAGGGTAAGTTCACCTTGGGTGGCACAAAGCGTGCCAGGGTTCACCGGCCTCCTGCATGGAAGGGAGCCACGGCCAGCGCGCCCGGGTCCCGAAGCGCAGTGGACAGGCAAGGCCCCCACGGGCGCGGCCTCGAGTTCCAGCCAGGGAGGCCCCGAGTCCAGTCCTAAGCCCCAGCCAGAGTCCTGGCCCCAAGTCTCGGCTCCGAGTCCAACCCCGAGTCCCGGCCGGAGCGGCCCCGAGATCCGGCGAGGAAGCCCCGAGTCCCCGCCAGGGAGGCCCCGAATCCAGCCCCAAGTCTCGGCCCCGAGTCCAGCCCCGAGTCCAGCCCCGAGTCCCAGCCCCGAGCCCCGGCCGCGCAGGCCCCGAGCCGAGGGCGCCCCGCCAGCCCGGCCCTCACCTTCCTGCTCGCGCCGCCAAGGGACACCTTGGGCCGCGTCTTGAAGTCGCCTTCGAAGCTGAACATCCTGGCAGCCTAGCCCATGTGCGGGCAGCGCCGCCGCGGAAGCAGCCGGGCGGGCGGGGCACGGGGCGGGCTGGGAGGCTCTCGGCGCCCGCCCGCCCGGCCCGGGGCAGCGAGGACGCGGCGGCCGGGAGGCGACCCGAGCCCGCCCCCGGGCTGTACCCTCCCAGCCCTGCCCTGGGGCGGGAGGGGCGGCAATACTGGAGGGGCGGCCCTGCCTCGCCTGCCCCTCATCCACGCCGGCCACAGCTCGGGCCGCTGCAGGGGCGCCCAGCGGGCAGCAAACCCGGCGCTTGCACCTGGAACTGCCGCCTCGGGAGGGAAGATGGCGGTCAGCCGTCAGTGCGTGCGCGGCCCTGCAGACGTGCGCGGCCCTGCAGACGTGCGCGGCCCTGCAGACGTGCGCGGCCCTGCAGACGTGCGCGGCCCTGCAGACGTGCGCGGCCCTGCAGACGTGCGCGGCCCTGCAGACGTGCGCGCCTCCGCCATTGACGGCACGGCGCTCTTCCCGGCGGTTCCGCTAGCGTGCGCGGCCCCGCAAGGCGCGCTGGAGCCTGGGGAGGACGGCGGTGACGCGGGCTGGGCACGCGGCGGAGTGGGCGGGGCCTGGTGCGTGCTGGGGGAGCGCGGCGAGGGGCGCGGGAGGTGTTGGGTGCGGGGCAGGGTGCGGGAAAGGTGGAGTGCGAGGCACGGGCCGGGATGGGGTGCAGGGCAGGGTGCGGGGTGCAGGGTGGGGTGCAGGGGCCGGCACCCGGAGCGGGCTGGGAGCGGCCAATCTGGTGCCAGACTCGAGTGAGGCGGGAAAGGAGCAGCTAGGCCCAGCCCGTCTGTTTACATCCCACCTGTTCTATGTCTATGACACGCACAGACGGACGTAAATATTTACCATGTACACAGACATGCGCAGATTTGCCTCATACATAGCACACATATGCATCTATAGATACAGCATCAATACATATAAATATGTATCATGTACACATACCTGTGTATGCAAAAATATTTGCTCCTGGACTTACCATGGGGCTTTGTCCTGATAAACCCATCGTAAGATGAAAATATTGTAAGTTGAAAATGTATTTAATGCTACAATAAACCCATCACAAAGTCAAAAAATTGTAAGTTGAGCCATTTTAAGTTGGGGACCACCTATACATAAACATGTGTCTTATATCCACACATACGTATACATAATATCTCATATACATGTGCATATACATATATATCATACACGATTGAAACCAATTTCTAAAAATTGATTTTTGGTTGTATACAAGGTGTGCAACATGATGATTTCATAGAGACATTGTGAAATGACTACCCTCTTTGTGTGTGTGTGGTAAGAGTACATAAAATCTACTCTCTTAGCAAAATTTCAACACACAATACGATATCATCTACAGTCGTCCTGCGGCCGAGCACGGTCGCTCACGCCGGTAATCCCAGCACTCTGGGAGGCCAAGGCGGGCGGATCACCTGAAGTGAAAAGTTCGAGACCAGCCTGGCCAACATGGTGAAACCCCATCTCTAATAAAATACAAAACTTAGGCCGGTGTGGTGGTGCACGCCTGTAGTCCAAGCTACTCTGGAGGCTAAGGCAGGAGAATTGCTTGAACCCAGGAGGCAGAGGTTGCAGTGAGCTGAGATCGTGTTATTGCACTCCGGCCTGGGCGACACAGAGACTCCGTCTCAAAAAAAAAAAAAAAAAAAGAAATACAGTCCTGGCGCCGCCTGTAATCCCAGCACTTTGGGAGGCTAAGGTGGGTGGATCACCTCAGGTCAGGAGTTTGAGACCAGCCTCGCCAACATGGGGAAACCCCGTCTCTACTAAAAGTACAAAAATTAGCTGAGCATGGTGGCATGTTTATGTATAGGTGGTCCCCCACTTAAAGTTCTTAAACTTCTAGCTGCTTGGGAGGCTGAGACAAGAGACTCGCTTGTGTCTGCGAGGCGGAGGTTGCAATGAGCTGAGATCGTGCCACTGTACTCCAGCCTGGGTGACAGAGTGAGACTCTGTCTCAAAAAATAAAAATAAACAGGCCGGGCGCGGTGGCTCACGCCTGTAATCCCAGCACTTTGGGAGGCCGAGGCGGGCAGATCACGAGGTCAGGAGATCGAGACCATCCTGGCTAACACAGTGAAACCCCGTCTCTACTAAAAATACCAAAAAAATTAGCCAGGCATAGTGGCAGGCGCCTGTAGTCCCAGCTACTTGGGAGGCTGAGGCAGGAGAATGGCGTGAACCCGGGAGGCGGAGCTTGCAGTGAGCCGAGATCGCGCCACTCGCGCCACTGCACTCCAGCCTGGGGAACAGAGGGAGACTCCGTCTCAAAATAAATAAATAAAAATAAAAATTAATAACAATAATAATAAACAGTCCTCCTGTGAACATTAGATCTGTGGGCATATTTATGCTACATAACTGCGAGTGTGTTTCCTTTTACATATCTCTCCCCATTTTTCCCAGCCCCAGGAAGCACCACTCTACTCTCTGTTTCTAGATAGGATTTGACTGTTGGATTCCACGTATAAGTGAGCTCATCAGTATCTTTCTCTCTGTCTCGCTTATTTAACTTGGCATCATGTCCTCCAGGTTCACACATGTAGCCAATGACAGGAATTCCTTCTGTATCTTGCTGTTATGAATAATGTTGCAATGAACTGAGAGGAGCTCCAGAAGAAACAATTTCATTTCCTGTAGATATATAACCAGCAGAGGGATCGCTGAGTCATGTGGTAGTTCCAGTTTTGTTTTTTTTGAGGAAACTCCATACTGTTTGCCATAATGGCTGTACCTCCAACGATGGGCAAAGGCTTCTATTTCCCCACACCCTCACCAACACTTGTCTTTTGGATAATAGCCATGCTAATACTGTGAGGTGATATTTCATTGTGGTTTTGTTTTGCATTTCCTTGACGGTTATTGACGATGAGCACCTTTTCATTACCTCTTGGCCGTTTTTATGTCTATTTGGAAAAATTCAGGCCCTTTGCTCGTTTTTTAATTGGGAAAAGCCAAATTTTAAAACTAATATTTGTCATTACTATGTGGAATGCACTGTTTTTTTTAAAAAAAATTCTGTCTTTTTATTTTATTTTATTATTATTTTTTTGAGACAGGGTCTCACTGTATTGCCCAGGCTGGAGTGCTGTGGTACGATCACAGCTAACTGCAGCCTCAACCTCCTGTGCTCAGGCAATTCTCCCAGTTCAGCGTCCCAAATGGCTGGACCAGGTGTGTGCCAGTAGCCTGGCTTTCCCCCCAACCCCCCAGCTTTCCCCCCCCCCCCACTTCTTGTAGAGGTGGGTCTCATTATGTTGCCCAGGCTGGTCTCAGATTCCTGGGCTCAAGAGATCCTCCTGCCTCGGCCTCCCAAAGTGCTGGGATTACAGGCATGAGCCACTGCACCCACTGTCGTCGTCTTCTTTTTAATGCTAGACGCAAAGCACTAAATACGTTTCACAATCCACTAATGGGTCTCAGCTCACAGTTTGAAAAAATCTGCCATATAAATTAAATATAGACAGATAGATGGTTAGAAAGATATACAAACACTCTACTGTTGTCTGAATGTTGGTGTCTCCCCAAAATCATAGTTTGAAACTTAGTCCCCAATGTGATCGTATTAAGAGGAGGGGCCATTAGGAAGTCTTATAGCATGAGGCTCCACCCCCATGAAGGAAATCAGTGCCCAAGGCAGCCTGTTTGTCCCTCCTGCCATGGGGAGACACAGCAAGAAGGCACCATCTATGAAGCAGAGTCCTCAGACGCAGAATGTGGGGTGCCTTGATCTTGGACTTCCCAGATTCCAGAGCTGTGAGAGATATATTTCTGTTGTCCAAAAATTACCCAGGCCAAGGCATTTTGTTATAGCAACCCAAATAGACTAAGGCACCCACACCCAGACACAAATGTGTGTGTGTATATATATGTGAACAAGGTCACAGTTCGTATATATGTATGAACTATCATAGTTCATACATATATTTGAACTGCAACAGTATAGAATGTATTTTTAATCATAAAATGTCCCAATTTTACCATTTTGAAAGCTTACAAATTTTGTCAATTAAAAAAGATATAACCTTTTGTTTTTACCTGTCAGGTTAGCAAAGATTTAAAATTGGTAATATCAATATTTGTGACCTCTGTAAGTCTGCTCTGAAGTCTCAGATTCTTTTTTTTTTTTTTTTTTTTTTGAGACAGAGTCTTGCTCTTGTTGCCCGGGTTGGAGTGCAATGGCGTGATCTTGGCTCACTGCAGCTTCCACCTCTCCACCTCCTGGGTTCAAGCGATTCTCCTGTCTCAGCATCCCGAGTAGCTGGGATTATAGGTGCGCTACCATGCCCGGCTAATTTTTGTGTTTTTAGTAGAGATGGGGTTTCACCACGTTGATCAGGCTGATCTTGGACTCCTGACCTCAGATGATCCGCCCGCCTTGGCCTCCCAAAGTGCTGGGATTACAGGCGTGAGCCACCGCGCCCAGCCTGAAGTCTGAGATTCTGCTTCGAATGAACCCTTCCAATGTCTGGACTAGGAGGAGGAGCAAGAATGCCCATGTGAATCTCACACCAACCTCAGTGTTGCTGGTAACTGGGGGGTGCTGTCCCACATCTGCTGGGCCTCTTTCAAATGTTCTGACCGGCCCACATGGGTAGGGAAGAAGTGCTCCTGACTGCACCTCTGCCCATCTCAACACCGCTGCCTGGCATCTGGTCTGTTTCCACAGTCAGCCCAGGGTGGGTGCTCCTCTGTGCTGAGGTCGGTGCGTCTGCTGGGTGGCCCTGCTCCATGAGCCACTTCTTCCCCTGGTGTCCACTGGAGAACCAGTGATGCCACAGGAAAATCTGTCTTATCAGGATCATTTCAGCATCTTTAACATGATTCCTAATGAAGGATTTTCAAGGATTTTAAAAGTACCTTTTTATAGAAAATTTCAAACTCAACAAGCCAGGGAGACTCATATAATCAATCAGTCTCCTTCAGCTATCGCCCAGCGTCAGTGAGTGCCCACCCCAGGGCCAATCTTATGTGATTAGACTCCCCTCCATCCCTTTGAAGCAAATTCCAGACGTCATTTTGTCAGTAACCCTTAAAAAGTGGAATTTTTGTACAAGATTATGATCTCATTATCACTCTACAAAGATTAATAATTTTCAAGAGTAATTTTCACTATAAAAGATTTTCAGGCTGGGCATGGTGGCTCACACCTGTAATCCCAGCACTTTGGGAGGCCAAGGTGGGTGGATTGCTTCCGCTCAGGAATTCAAGACCAGCCTGGGCCACATAGCAAGACCCCATTCTTAAAAAATAAATACAAAAATTAGCCAGGCATGGTGGCTATAGTCCCAGCTACTCGGAGGCTAAGGTGGGAACATCCCTTGAGCCTGGGAGGCAGAGATTGCAGTAAGCAGAGATTGCACCACTCCACACCAGCCTGGGGGACAGAGACAGACCCTGTCTCAAAAAAAAAAAAAAGAATTCCCAACCATAGGTGCTGACCTAGAACCTAATGCCTGTACACTCCGACTCCAGTGAACAGCACTGTTTACTTGGCCTACTTCCTCTTGTAGACAGCAAACTCCTAAAGGGTGAGGAGCTGTCTACCTCACTTTTGTACCAACTGCAGGCCCTCAAATATGTGTTGGATTAAACAGATGATTACGGAAAGGCAGTGGAAAGAGTAGGTCAAAATCCTACAGCCACTACACACCTATCAGAGCAGCTAAAATAAATACTGACAACATCAAATGCTAGCAAGGAGGTGAGGAAACTGGACCTCTCATATGTCACTGTGGGAAAGTAAAATGGTGCAACCAGTCTGGAAAATAGTTTGGCAGTAACTTTAATAAAAAAAACTTTTAGCTGGGCATGGTGGCTGGTGCCTGTAGTCCCAGCTACTCAGGGGGCTGAGGTGGGAGGATTGTTTGAGCGCCCAGGAGGTTGAGGCTGCAGTAAGATGTGACTGTGCCCCTGCACTCCAGCCTGGGAAGAGAATGAGACCCTGCCTCAAAGAAAATGTAATTAATTTAACTTATAAACTAAACATACACTTACCACAGCACCCAGCAATTGCATCCCTGTGCATTTACCTCCGACTAATGAAAACTGATGTCTATACAGCATTTTACACAGATGTCCACAGCAGCTTTATTTGGAATAGCCCAAATCT
Organism: Homo sapiens; assembly: GCF_000001405.40. Classification (NCBI taxonomy): domain Eukaryota; kingdom Metazoa; phylum Chordata; class Mammalia; order Primates; family Hominidae; genus Homo; species Homo sapiens. The sequence continues at coordinate 157,133,102 of NC_000007.14, read as the reverse complement.
GGAAACACCAAAATGCCCTTCAAAGGATGATATTAAACAAACCTCAGCAGGTGCATGCCATGGACACTACTCAGCAATTTTTACAAACAGCAAACTACTGATGCCCACAGAAAGCCCTCAAGGGCATCCTCCTGACTGGAAAAGCCAGTCTCAGAAGGTCACATACGTACTGTATGACTCCATTCACGTGAGAAGGACGGGGAGGAAGAGGAGGAGGGTGGCTTCGAAGGGAGGCCATTGTGGTGATGGAGCAATTTTGTAGCTTGACTGTGACCATGACATGAAAACACACATGTGATAAAATGGCACAGCACTACCTTGGGAGGTCTCAGGTGTGTCTATGACCTTGATGGTGGTGATGGTATCACAGATGTTTGCATCAGTTATACCTCAATAAAACTGTTTTCTAGAATGACCTAGAACTATGAACACATGTTGTACCAATGTCAAGGCCCTGGTTTGGATATTGTGCTATCATTCCATAAGATATAACCATAGGTGGAAAACTGGATGAAGGGTCCATCTCTGTACTAGTCTCACAACTTCCTGTGAATTTCTATCTATCTCAAAATAAAGAATTTTTAAAAATAGCTTCTTGTTGTTGTTGTTGTTTAGAGACCAGATCTCACTCTGTCACTCAGCCTGGAGTGTAGTGGTATGATCATAGCTCACTGTAGCCTTGAACTCCTGGACTCGAGTAATCCTCCCACCTCAGCCTCCTGAGTAGCTGGGACTACAAGGGCTCAAAATAAGAATTTTAAAATGCAGCCTAAAACAACAATAATAACAGAAACATTAAATGCCAAATATAATTATACATATGTATGGGCCAGGCACAGTGGCTCACGCCTATAATCCCAGCACTTTGGGAGGCCAAGGTGGGTGGATCACAAGGTCAGGAGATCGAGACCATCCTGGCTAACACAGTGAAACCCCGTCTCTACTAAAAATACAAAAAAATAGCCGGGCGTAGTGGCGGGCGCCTGTAGTCCCAGCTACTCGGGAGACTGAGGCAAGAGAATGGCGTGAACCCGGGAGGTGGAGCTTGCAGTGAGCCGAGATCACGCCACTGCACGCCAGCCTGGGGGACAGAGCGAAACTCCGTCTCAAAAAAAAAAAAAGTTATACATATGTATGTAACAGGATATTGTGATGGTTACTTTTTTTTTCTGAGATAGGGTCTGGCTCTGCCACCTAGTCTGGACCGTGCAGTGGTGTGACCTGATCTCACTGCACCCTCTGCCTCCTGGGCCCAAGCCATCCTCCCACCTCAGCCTCCTGATTAGCTGGGACTACAGGCACATGCCACCATGCCAGGCTAATTTTTGTATTTTTTGTGGAAATGGGGTTTTGCCATGTTACCCAGGCTGATTGCCTGCCTCAGCCTCTCAAAGTGCTGGAATTACAGGCATGAGCCATCACATCCAGCTGTGATGGTTAATTTTTGTGTCAACTTGAGGGCCCCAAGGGATCCCAGATAGCTGGTAAAACATGATTCTGTGTGCTGCCTTCACCAACGTGAACAGGCAACCTCCAACTCATTCAGAGCCTGAATAGAACAAAAAGGTGTTTAGGAGGGGCAAGATTATATGGAGGAAAAAAAAATGTGGAGGGAGGGAACCTGAGGGAACCTTCTCCCTCTTTGTTCTTGAGCTGGGACGTTCATCTTCTGTCTGCGGGCATCAGAGCTCCGGGCTATTGCTTCAGACTCTGGGACTTCACTGGTTCTTCACCCCGTCCCATGCCACCAGCTCTCCTGAGCCTCAGGATTGCAGATGGCAGATGGTAGGAGTTCCCGGCCGCCACAACCGCCTAAGCCAATTCCTCATTATAAATCTCTCTCAAATGCAGATATAGGTATAGCTATAGATACATACATCATATTGGTTCTGTTTCTCTGGAGACCCTAATACATATATATACATATATATATATATATAGAGAGAGAGAGAGAGACAGAGAGAGAGAGAGAGACAGAGAGAGAGAGAGAGAGAGAGAGACAGAGAGAGAGAGAGAGAGAGAGACAGAGAGAGAGAGAGAGAGAGAGACAGAGAAAACATACATCTCCCCTATGGCTCAAATTTTCCGGTGTTTGAAAAAGCCCCGAATGTCTCATTGCACTCTATTAGGAAACATATATACTCCTCCTATCTCTCCTTCCTTCCTTCTATCCCTTTGCTCCAAAGGAATCTAATAGAAAATAGCAATATATTTTTAACTTATTGTTTATGGATGCTTGTAAGAGCTTCCCAGTGTATCTGAAGATTCTACCTGAAAACCACACATTGTCTCAGAAGTTCTTTTGCAAACTGCAGGAGAGAAAAGGAAGAGCTGCTTTCACCAAGAAAGTCATTTATCCAGTTTCTTCTGTCTTACACACCATCTTGTCTTAGTTACCTCACAATTCAAACATATGATAAAAATGGGCTATATTTTTATTTTAAAAATTCATTATTTAGAATAGTAATACATGCTAATTATTTTAAAAATCAATTCCAATGTACACAAATAAATGAAAAAAATCCTATCTGCTCTGCCTCCTCATCATATCTTTGAGATTATTGATCTATCAGCTCTCTCTCTCTCTTAGTTTCTTATCACTCCTGTAACAAATTACCAAAAGCTTAGAGGCTTAAAACAACACAAATGCATTGCCCTACAGCTCTGGAGGTCAGAAGTCCTCACGGGTCTCCCTGGGCTGAAACCAAGGCATCACAGGGCGGGGTCCTTCTGCAGACGCGGGAGGAGGCTCTGTTCTTGCCCTGTCCAGCATTCCCTGGCTCATGACCCATTCCAGCAATCACTTCATGCCAACCACCGCTCTGTCCTCAATTCCCTTCCCTGACTGACTCTCCTGCCTCCCCATCGTAGGCACCCTGGGATGACATGGGGTCCACCACGTAACCCAGGATCATCTCACCTGGCAAAATCCTTGACTTCATGACATCCGCAAGGTCCCTTTTGCTGTGTAAGATAACATCCGGCCGGGCGCGGTGACTCACGCCTGTAATCTCAGCACTTTGGGAGGCTGAGGCAGGTGGATCATGAGGTCAGGAGTTCGAGACCAGCCTGACCAATGTGGTGAAACCCCATCTCTACTAAAAATACAAAAAAAATGAGTCTGGCATGGTGGCGTGTTCCTGTAATCCCAGCTACTCAGGTGGGCTGAGGCAGGAGAATTGCTTCAACCCAGGAGGCAGAGGTTGCAGTGAGCTGAGATTGCACCACTGCATTCCAGCCTGGACGACACAGCAAGACTCTGTCACAAAAAAAAAAAAAAAAAAAAAGGATGACATTCACACGTTCACAGGATTAGGACATGGACATATTTAGGGAGCCATGATTCTGTGTGCCATACTATCCATCTACAATTTTTTTGTTTTTAAACAAGATCATTTTCCTCATCTCCCCCAAAACTTTCTTTCGTTGGGAACCAAAATATATCACAAGTCTTCCATAACGGCATTTAGAGATGTAGCACATTCATTTTAACATTAACTAACTCATTTTGCTGCATTAACTGGATGCTTAGAATCTTATTGTCTGAACGCTCCAGAATTTATTATTTTACCATTTCCCTATTGTTTCACACCCAGGCGGATGTCTCTTTTTTTTTCTTCCTATTTCAATTTATGCTGCAAGAACATTCTTGCACACAGGTGGGAGCTCTTTCTGCAGGATGGACACTCGAAAGGGCATAGCTCCATCGCTGCAGGGAAGGGCACTCACCATCACCCAGCATCAGGCGCGTGCACGTCAAGCCATGCTGAGCCAGCTCCTCACACCTGTTAGCACGGCTGCTATCCAAAAGACAGGAGGTAACAGGGGTTGGTGAGGATGAGGAGAAAAGCAAACCTTGTACACTGTGGGAAAGTGAATTGGTACAGCCAGTACGGAAAACGGCATGGCGGTTCCTCAGAAAATTATTATTATTATTATTAATTAATTAATTAATTAATTAATTTTTTTGAGATGGGGTCTCGCTCTGTCGCCCAGGCTGGAGTCCAGTGGCGCAATCTCGGCTCACTGCAAGCTCCACCTCCCAGGTTCACACCATCCTCCTGCCTCAGCCTCCCAAGTAGCTAGGACTATAGGTGCCTGCCACCACGCCCGGCTAATTTTTTTTTGTATTTTCAGTAGAGACGGGGTTTCACTCTGTTAGCCAGGATGGTCTCGATCTGCTGACCTCATGATCCGCCCGCCTCAGCCTCCCAAAGTGCTGGGATTACAGGCGTGAGCCACCGCGCCCGGCCCAGAAAATTAAAAGTAGAACTACCCTATGATCCAGCAATCTCACTCCAGGCTATATACCCAAAGGAAATGAAACCACGGTACGGCTGAGTTGAAGGGTATACATGCCTAAATTTCAATAGGTTCTGTTCATTGCTACCCCAAAGGACACACCACCTCTCCTTCAGGTATCATCCTGGGACCACCAGTGAGCAATGTAGATTTGGACCCCAGAGGCTCTGAAGTGGGTGCAAGGAAAACATTCATTAAGTGAACACCATGGCCACGGTACACCTGAGGCTGAACAGTCACTCCTTCCTCCATTTACTATACCAAACTGTGTCCAGCTACCCTGTCCAATAGAGCTCATCAGAAGTTATCAATGAGATTAAGTGGTCACATTAAGTTTCTCTGATAATTGGCTGGGCACAGTGACTCACCTCTGTAATCCCAGCACCTTGGGAGGCCGAGGCAGGCATATCACTTGAGGCCAGGAGTTTGAGACCAGCCTGGGCAACATGATGACATCCCTACTAAAAACACAAAGATTAGCCAGGTGTGGTGGTGGGCACCTGTAATCCCAGCTACTCAGGAGGCTGAGGCAGGAGAATCACTTGAACCCAGGAGGTGGAGGTTACAGTGAGCCAAGATCATGCCACTGCACTCCAGCCTGGACGACAGAGTGAGACTCTGTCTAAAAAAAAAAAAAAAAAAAAAAAAAATTCTCTGAAAATAAAATACAAAAAGACATTCCAATAAACACAATTGTAAAGAAATACAAAGAAAAGTTTTCCAGAAAAGTGGGGATGGTAGTTACTGAGCAGGAAAGACCACCGCGAGAGCGTCTCAGTTATTGCCGACGGAGTGTCTCAAGCTGGGTGGTCTTCCTTGAGATGTGTGCTTCGATCTTACTCTTCAAAATTTAAATATCTGTTTAATACACTTTCTGTAGGCATAATAACTTTAATAATAATTTTTTAGAAAAATAAACCTCATTAATAAAATGCCCACAATAAGATGTTCTGCATTTGAATATATTCTCTTCTTCATTATATTCCAGGGGAAGTTCAAGCATTAAAAAAATTGAATTGTTTTACAAGATGAAAGTCTCATTAAAGTCCAAAATAATTAAAATGGACAGAAATGAAGGGAGAATGGACAATTCAAAGTAGTAACTAGAGACTTCGCTACCTTAATTTTTTTTTTTTTTTTGAGTCTTGCTCTGTTGCCAGGCTAGAGTGCAGTGGCACCATCTCAGCTCATTGCAACCTCCGCCTCCCAGGTTCAAGCGATTCTCCTGTCTCAGCCTCCTGAGTAGCTGGGATTACAGGCGCCTGCCACCATGCCCAGCTAGTTTTTGTATTTTTAGTAGAGACGGGGTATTTCCATGTTGGCAGGATAGTCTCGATCTCTTGACATTGTGATCTGCCCACCTCGGCCTCCCAAAGTGCTGGGATTATAGGCATAAGCCACCACGCCCACTCCACTACCTCAATTTTAATAATGCATAGAAACCAGACAGAAGAAAGAAAGAAAGAAAGAAAGAAAGAAAGAAAGAAAGAAAGAAAGAAGAGAACATTTAAATAACAATACAATCCAACTAGACATAACACCTGTGGACACTCTGCCAGCACCAACAGAACACACATGCTTCTCCAGGGCGCACGGAGGATTCTCCAGGATGGACCACGTGCGAGGCCGTAAAGCAAGCTTCAGCACATCTGCAAAGGAGCAGGTAATTCAGAGCACGTGCTCCAAGCACGAGGGAGTGACATTAGAAATTGATGACAAGAGTCGGGCACAGCACTCACACCTATAATCCCAGCACTTTGGAAGGCCGACTTGGGAGGATCACTTGAGGCCAGGAGCTCGATGCCCGTCTGGGCTACATAGCAAGACCTCATCTCTATTAAAAAAAGTAATAAATTAGTTGGTGTAGGGGCACATGCCTGTAGTCCCAGCTACTTGGGAGGCTGAGATGGGAGGATCACTTGAGCCCAGGAGGTCAAGACTGCAGTGAGCCATGATCACGCCAGTGCACTCCAGCCTGGGCGACAGAGTAAGACTTTGTGGAGACAATTTGGGAAACTCACAAATATGTGGAAATTATACAACACACTCCTAAATAGCCAATGAGTCTAAGAAAAACAGAAACCAGAAAATACTTTGAGATGAATAAGAATCAAGACACAGTGTACCAGAGACCACAGCAGGGACCATGGCATTTAACAGGAGGGTAGATATGATTTTCCACTCACCAAAATGCAAACCCTCTGTACAGCTTAGCCAGAATCCATGCCAAAAATTCTCAGTTGCTAGTCAGGCGCAGTGGCTCACGCCTGTAATCCCAGCCCTTTGGGGGGCTGAGGTGGGTGGCTCATTTGAGGTCAGGAGTTCAAGACCTGCCTGGCCAACATGGTGAGACCCTGTCTCTACTAAAAATATGAAAATCAGCCAGATGTGGTAGCACATGCCTGTAGTCCCAGCTACTTGGGAGGCTGAGGCACAAGAATTGCTTGAGCCTGGGAGGCAGAGGTTGCAGTGAGCTGAGATCACGCCATTGTACTCCAGCCTGCAACTGTGGCCTGTGCGTCCTCTCCTGCACTCCAGAAGGTGGTATTCAAGACACAGGGGCAAGCTCAATCAGGCCTTGCTTCAGGTGCTTTTCCGGCCGATCCCAAGTTTTTGAAACCCTCCTTTCCTTTACCTGATGAGTCCCATGTCTCTGGCACTCAGAGCTCTGCCTGTGTGACCTCTCTGCCTAGGACACCAGCTCCAGTGGCTTCAGGACAGTTTCAAGTCAGTGCTGGGACATGCCTTGTCCTGCCTCACCCTGTAGAACCGCATCTGTCCGTGGATGGCGACTCCGGATGGTTCTCTCCTCACCTCACAGTGACTCCTGCCCCAGAGCCTCTGCGGGGTTTCCCGTGGGGTCACCGGGAGCCTCCCCCTGCCCACACCCCCCACCAGGCTCTCTGCCCTGACCTGACTTGTTCTGCACCTTGAGTTGAACTTCCCCAGGAGAGGTCGGGCCACGCGTCAGCAGCTGTCCCGAGGGGCCTCGGTGTGCAGCTGAGATGCCCCTCAGACTCCCCCGAGCCCGGCCCTTGCCTGCTCTGAGGTCCACGGCCCACACCCTTGCTCAGGCCTTGCCGCATAAGTCCCAGGGCACTGCAGACACAGGCAGCCTCTGCACCTGGGCCCCTCCCCTGTGAGCTGCAGTCACCCAATAAGGCCAACATGTTGTGTGGCCTCAACGTCCATCCTCGCCTCAAGCTGCGGCTGTGAACAGCCAGGTGCACTGCTGGGGATGCTCCTGCGGGGCTGGCTGTGAGACACAGGCCTCCCTGGGGCCGGCGCTCAGCTCTGAGGCCTGGGGCGGTGGCCAAAGCCCTGCCAGGGGCTCCTTCTCCAGGCATGAAATTATTCCCCAGAGGTCTGTGTCCCAGGCTCCCAGTTCTCAGCAATGAACCGATAATGCAAGTGTGGAGGGAGGGAGGGGCTGAGTCACAGGAGGAGTTTGGCAGAACAAGGGCCTGGAGGGGCAGGGGTGAGAGTGAAAGCAGGTGAAGGCCCCGCTTGGAACAGAAGAAAGACAGCGTGTCTGGGACAAGACGAGAAGGGCCAGAGCCCGACTGCCCGGAGGCACGGGGACCCAGAGGCTTCCTCCTTCCTCGGGAGGAAGGCAGGCAGCACCCCTCGTGAGTCTAGGCATTTCCATTTTCTTCTTTTTCTCATAAAGCTCTTGAAGGTTGAGGATTGTGGGGTTTTTTGCTAAAAACGGAACAGTGTCCACTATCCATCGGCCAACATGGCTGTGACTTCACAGCTACCCGGGCAGATCGCCGAGCTGTTCTTCCGTGAAACCTTGTTTACACTGTCAATTGCAGACTGAGCAATATTCAGATATTCATGCATGCCTTCAACTTCCTAACGCTTAAGACGTTTCCTAGTAGTAAAGCGTTGTTGAGACTTGGGTTCCAGCCCTTCCCTGACCCTTCCTAACTGCATGACTTTGGTGAGTCACTTAACGTCATCAACTTCATCTGCCACGTGGGCAGGATGCCCCACGAGGTGGAAGGCATAGGCCTGGCCGGGCTCCATTCTTGAGGGCTACATTTTAGTGATACAAACGCTGAATGAGCCCGGTCATTTCAGACCAGCGTTACTGACACTCAGCATCTGTACTCAAAGGGCATTTTGCTAAGTTCACAGGTTGAAAGAACTGCGATGATAAACAGTATGAAAACACCAAGTACTGATAACATGCTGCGGTTAACATTCTACTCTTCTCCGCATTATCATCACCATCATTTTAATCATTTAAAAAGGTTAGACAATTAAGCGTGTGTTTGGCAGCCCTTCAATGTGTGGGAAGTAGGAGGCCAAATTGCAAGTGCTCCTTGTCGCCTTGGACAGCTCGAAGCTGCCAGGACAGTCAAGGAGAGTTCCTCCTCGCCAAGCGCGGAGCACCCTGTGTTTTGGGAAGATACACTTACACTTCTGCTCAAGGTCATCTACGAATAATCAAGTGTCGGAACATATAAACACAGCAGTGGAAAATCAAAGCTCCTCTTTACTGAGGATTCATATTTTGTCAGGTATGACACGACATGCCATATAGACTTTTTTTTTTTTTTTTTTTTGAGATGGAGTCTCGCTCTGTCACCCAGGCTGGAGTGCAGTGGCATGATCTCCGCTCACTGCAACCTCCGCCTCCCAGGTTCAAGCGATTCTCCTGCCTCAGCCTCCCGAGTAGCTGAGATTACAGGCGCCCACCACAATGCCCAGCTAATTTTCATATTTTTAGTAGAGATGGGGGTCTCACTGTGTTGCCCAGGCTGGTCTCGAACTGCTGACCTCAAGTGATCCACCCACTTCAGCCTCCCAAAGTGCTGGGATTACAGGTGTGAGCCACTGTGCGCGGCCCCATACGGACTTTTAAACTTATGTGCGTAGAGCAGTCCTATGAGGGAAACGTTATTACCCACATTTTACAAACGTGGAAACCAAAGCTTAGAAAGAAGCACCAGGCCTGGTGTCTCCCCCAAGATGCACCACTTTGTAACCTATGGTGGCCAGGGTTTAATTTCTAGCAACACAGATGAGGCTTTGCCTCAAAGATACCCACAAAACTTATTTTGTTTACTCTGGGGAAAAAAATGCTGTAAAACAAGCTGATGTAAAGACAGTATTGCAAAGAGCACTTCACTTAAGCACTTTCTGATAGTTAAACACCTGAGCAGTGCAGGCTGCCAAAGAGTGAAGACATTTCATTTAAAATTACACTGGCGCAAGACCATCAAAGTATCCTTAACATTTTCATTAAATTGAGATACAGATCTAGTTAGAGTAGTAAATCTCTTCCGATACAAGTTCATTGAAGAGCCATGGCTAGAGGCAGCAGCGGGCCTGAAATAATCACCAGCTGCAAGGAATCCAGAAGCACCCAAGGCCTGGCGCAGAGCTCTCCATGTGCTGTTGTGAGATCTATGCAGGTGGTGCCTCCCTGTGCCCTCACCATGGTGCACACTGGAGCAGCAAGTGTCCAGGGGGCAGCAGGGAGGGGGCGGCGGGGAGGACCAGGCCAGGCATCTGTTTGTCTGTCTTCAACAGGCTTGCTTATGGTTCAGCATGGTGAGGGCAACAGATCCAGGATGGCTGCCATTGAAAAGATGGCTTGTTACTCACAGATCCTGAGAGGAGGGCAGGTCGCACCACAGGGGCCACACAGGGATGCGCCAGGGTTGGTCGGGATGCTGGGGGGTGGGGGAACCGAGCAGGAGCCTCTATTGTGGTTTCCACAATAAGGGAGGCCAAGGCAGGGTCAGCAGGCCCAGGACTGCCCAGCTTGAATAATTACAGCCCTCTGGGGCCAGGGGCTGCCCCGCGTCTGGTCCCTACCCAGGGTTGACAAGTGTGGGTGAACAGTGGCCTGGGGTGTGAGCCCACAGAGGAGGTGGCAGGTGTGGGCTCTGCATTGCAGGGTTTGCACATGGAAAGCCTGCGTGGGGTGGGCAAGTGTTCGCTATCCAGGAACTGGCTGTTTGTGGGAGAGGCAGCCTCCCAGGGTCAACAGGCCCCAGGTGTCAGAGCATCAGATACAGAAAATAAACAACATAGTTACTACAGCATCAAAGGACCAAGGTTCAAATCTCAGGTACTGCCTGTATGAGCAAGTCAGGCCACCTCTGAGGTCTGTCTGCTCGTGTGTAACTCAGAGATGATCACACCAACCATTTGATTAGACAATTTGTTTTTCTAAATGTAGCTTAGTACTTGGCACATTATAGTTATTGTTAAATATTAGCCAATTAAATCTTATGGCATTTAAAATACTAGTTACAATCTCTTATCCAACATAGTTTGGACTAGAAGTTTCAGATTTTTATTTTTTCGGATTTTGGAATATTTGTAATAATGAGATATCTTGAGGGTGGGACCCAAATCTAAACACAAAATTCATTTATGTTTCATATACACCTTACACACATAGCTGAAGATAACTCGATGCAATACATAAACATAATTTTGTGCAGAACACAAAGTTTGCATTTTGACTGTGACCCATCACGTGAGGGCATGCATGAGATTCTCCCCTTGTGGCATCACGTTGGTGCTCAAAACGTTCTGAATTTTGGAGCTTTTCAGATTTGGGATTTTTGGATTAGGGATGCTCAGCCTGTATATGCACAGCTTCTCTGGCACTCTCTTCAAACGATGGAGCCTGGGCTGGGCGCAGTGGCTCATGCCTGTAATCCCAGCACTTTGAGTGGCCGAGGTGGGTGGATCACCTGAGGTCAGGAGTTCAAGACCAGCCTGGCCGACATGGTGAAACCCTGTCTCTACTAAAAATACAAAAATTAGCCAGGCTTGGTGTCAGGCACCTGTAATCCCAGCTACTTAGGAGGCTGAGGCAGGAGAATCACTCGAACCTAGGAGGTGGAGGGTGCAGTGAGCCAAGATCATGGCACTGCACTCCAGCCTGGGCGACACAGTGAGACTCAGTCTCAAAAACAAAGAAACAAAAGATGGATCCTGAAGCCAGGTGCCATGGCTTATACCTGTAGACTCAGCTACGTGGGCTGAGATGGGAGGCATCCAAAAGTCCAAGATCGGCCTGGACAACATGGCCAGACCCCATCTCAAAAAAAAAAAAAAAAAAAAAAAAAGATGGCGCCTATGCCCCTCCCCTGGAGCACAGGTTGGATTTAGCTGCTCTTTTCTGCTGAGTAGAAGAAACCTGGACTCCGCAGTGTGGGCCTCGGAGACACATTCACGCGAGGCACTCAGCTTCCTGTGTGCTCCCTCTCTTGGGTCATGCACCCTGGAGAACGCAAACACCACACAGGGAGCATACTCAGGCAGTGCACAGAGGGCCCCACGCGGCACAGAGCCGAGGCCTCCAGCTCCAACCCCCACAACGGGGCCATCCTGAGGTGGGCCCACCTGCCTCCGTTGAGCCTTTGGCAAATGCAGCCACAGCCGGCCTCTTGACTGCAGCCTCGCCAGAGGCCCTGAGAGAGAAGCACCCAGCGAAGCCATCCCCAAGCCCCTGGCCCGCGGCAGCCCCTGGCCCGCAGCAGCTGGGCACCAAATGTGTTTTGCTTTTGGGCCACCAAGTGCTGGGTAGTTGGTTGTGCAGCAGGGCCAGCGGGTCTAACCTCAGGAAAATCTCCAAGCTGGGCTCTGCCAGTACCATTTGCAGTGCTTAGGCCTGCATAGACAATCTCTAGAGAAGTTTCCAGAACCACTTTCTAGTCAGTTCCAGAGATTTCCAGACAGAGGTGCAGGGGAGTTAGAATCCTGCCCATCTGTGCTGTGCTCACCTGGATTGAAATGGCCGGTGGCTAAGAAGCTGGTGGAGGTGGCCACAGAGCCCTCTCGACCGCTGGGTCTGGGCGAGACGCACTTTTGCCTCCACACCTTACCCTGTGTCCCGCTGAACTATCTTGGAAGCCACATCGGGTGCTCAATGACACACATTTAAAGAACTGTTTAGTTATGAAAATCTCTTTTATGTCACCATGGCTTTAGTCCTAGTCGGTAGACACCTTCACTAGGAAGGCCGGCACGGTCATTGTGAACATGCAGCTTCCTCAAACTGCCGTTACAGAAACAAGGACCATGGATTTTACTTTCAAATTATCACCAGATCTCAACCGTTTTTCACATAAAGATCTTCCATTTCACTTAAAGCCTCAACCGTTTGTTATTAAAATGTACCTTCCTCTTCCTCTCCCTTGCCTTGCCTGTGATGCTTTTCCTCCCGAGAACCGCTGTGTGTGGATGCAGGAGCTCACGCTTCTTGACAGGAGCATGAAATTGTCAGGGCAGGCTACGTCATGCTCAGGTACAAACAACCCCTAGGTTTACCTGGTGCTAATGCAAGGTCTGCTGGGAGTCTGGACGGCTCTCTAGGACAGTGTCCGCCGCGGCCACTCGGCAGGTCAGCCTGCCCAGCTCTCGTGCCTCCATCTCTACAGTGGGGACAAGAACACGATGGTCTCAGGGTGATGAGAAGTGGCACACGGCCCTCCCACACAGGCCCGTTGGCAATCTTATCCCACGGTCCCTAGAACCACCCAACTGCCAGGACATGAAGACGTGGGATCATCTAGGGGCCCAGAAGAACAGGAGAAACAGACAGGAGGAGAAGGCAAAGACCCCACTCCAGGGCTGCCCGCACTCAGCAGACACACGTGGGCTGTGCGCCAGGAGCTGGAGACACAGCAACAGAGACAAGGCCCCTCTCCGTGTGATGCTTATGGCCAAGTGGCCGTCCACTGCTCCTTCTAACCTCCCAGCAACTGGTCCTGTTGATCAGACGGGCTGATCAACAAAGCTAAAATCTTACCCAATGGAGCAGTCACCACAGAAACTTCCCAGCTGGTATGAAGGGACCCTATCCGACTTCTCCCAACCCAGTGCCTCACGTATTAATAGAAAAGCAAGGGAAGGGATTGATTTAAATTTATGATGAAATATTTTGGACATACAAAATGACTAAAAGGATAAAATACCAAGTTCCAAGGACCCATTGCCCAATTTACAAATAAAACATGACCTTCTTTGATGCATCAGCCGCCTTCCCTGGAGAGCAGCCTCAACCCCAGTTCTGTTCCTCATTGTCAGGCATTAGAAGCAAGAGGGAAGTAGTTACCTCCTGGACTTAAATGATCAGTTGTATCAATTTGGTTTTGAAGTTTAAAATACTAAATTAAAATAATCATTCACATTTGTATAGAGCTTTACAGCTTACAAAATAATTTTACTTATATTTTCTCATTAATCCCTGTAATAATCCATCAAGCAGGTATTATCAAACCTGTGTTATAGTAAGAAAAGTAATATATATTTTTCATTTTAAAATTTTATTTTGTAGAGATGGATCTGCCTGTATTGCCCAGGCTGGTCTCCAACTCCTGAGCTCAAGTGATCCTCCCACCTCGGCCTCCCAAAGTGCTGAGATTACAGGTGTGAGCCACCATGCTTGGCCAAGCAATATTTAATCCCAGCACTTTGGGAGGCCAGGGCAGGTGGATTGCTTGAGCCCAGGAGTTCAAAACAAGCCTGGGCAACATGATGAGACCCTGTCTCTACAAAAAATATAAAAATTAGCTGAGTGTGGTGGTGCACACCTGTGGTCCCAGTTACTCAGACGGCTGAGGCTGGAGGATTGCTTGAGCCCAGGAGGTAAGGCTAGAGTGAGCTGAGACCATGCCATGACACTCCTAGGCGATAGAGTAAGACTCTGTCTAAAAAAAAAAGACAGTCTATTTCCCTCCATTTGAAGCTGCTTCTGTGGACTCAGGGGAAGATGCAGGTCATTTCCAAGGTCATCCCAAGGTCAGGTCACAGGAGCAATATGGCTTCCACCTGGTTTGTGCGAGCACTCACCTTCTTGCTTTCTTTCTCTCCCTTCCTCTGTCCCTTGGAACCCAGTCGTGTGCAGTGAGGCAGCCCCAGCTGCAGGCACAGATTACTGCAGGTGTTTCAGCGAAGGTCCAGGACACCTGGCCTGTGGAGTGGATGGGCTCTAGGTGATCCCAGCCCTTTACTTTTCCGGAGCTCCAGCTGAAGCTGACAAAGCAGAGATAAGCTGGGCCTGACAAGCCCTGCCCAGATTACAGATTCATGGCAAAATAAACACTGTTGGATGGGTGCGGTGGCTCACACCTGTAATCCCAGCACTTTGGGAGGCTGAGGCAGGCAGATCACTTCAGCCCAGGAGTTTGAGACCAGCCTGGCCAACATGGCGAAACCCCGTCTCTACTAAAAATACAAAGATTAGCTGGTCCCAGCTACTTGGGAGGCTGAGGCACAAGAATCACTTGAGCCTGGGAGGCGGAGGTTGCAGTGAGCCGAGATTGCGCCACAGCACTCTGGCCTGGGTGACAGAGTGAGACCTCGCCTAAAATAAATAAATAAATAAATATAAATTAAAAATATTGTTGTAATTGTTCTATAGCATGAAATTGTGGGGCTATCTCTTATAGCAGAAAGACTTAAACTAAAAGGGGACTTATAAACTCACACTAGATTGTCCAAGAAATGAGTGGGCTTCAGGATGGGTATGATGACTCAGCTGCCCAGACAGGTAAGTATGTGCTTTCCTGTGCTACTGCCCTGCTTCCCTCTAGCACTGGTCTTCTACACATCTGCAAAACAGCAGCAGAAGCAGTTCCAGCTTTTATGGACATATACCAGAAAGGGAGAAAGTGGCAGCCCTCAGTAGCTCTTCAAAGAACAACTCCAGAAGAGAAGCTATCTTTTAGAGCGAGCCCCACACACCTCTACTGGCATGTCTGCCCTCCCATTGGGTCATGTGCCCATTTGGAGCCAATCCCATTGACTAGGGAAATGCCATGTGCTGATTGGCTAGAACTTAACCAATCAGTGGCAGAGAGGAAGAATTGAAGAAATCAGGGTGATTCTGGCAGTTGAGGATGGCTCAATCCCTTCTGCAGCTAGATGATTAGGAAGGGAGAGAAGGGATCTGGGGGGACACAATTGTACTATCCAGTAGATTACATGTAAAGGTAATATTTCTCATGTACCCTCCGCATTATTTTGAGTACAATTTTCCTTAAACGTGTAAATGTAAACTCATTATAAGCTTCTGATGCTTCATGTCATCGTGCAAACATAGAAGTAAAATAATTCACAAATTAAAAATAAACAAAACTGCCAAACCATTAACATTCAAACTAACAATACTGATGTGACACCGCGTGCTAGCTTGGCTGATGCAAGTAACCCTTGCACAGTGACTGTGTGCTCCCCACCCAGGGGCAGCTTCTCTGGAGTTAAGTGCTCAGAGGCTCACCTGCACCTCTGTGCCTTTGATGGTCGTTTCTGCCTCCTGTTTCAGTCTTTTCCTTAATTTTTAAATGGCTAAGTGCAGTCTTTCTTGGGAGACCCGAAGGGCCTAAAGTGCTGATTCCTCCATGAAGCTGTCCTTAATCAACCTAGCCCAAATGTTGGAGCTGGATAAGACCTTGAGAAAATTTGAGTCCAACATGAAAATGAGGCCTAATGAGGTTGAATGGACATCCAAGTGATTCTCCATTAAAAGCAAAAGATGATGTTTGCTTACAGTTTACAAACCAAGGCCAGGCACGGCGGCTCACGCCTGTAATCCCGGCACTTTGGGAGACAAGGTGGGAGGATCACTTGAGGCTAGGAGTGGGAGACCAGCCTGGGCAACACAGTGAGACCCCCGTCTTTAAAAAAAAAAAAGAAAGAAAAATTAGTTTACAAACCAGTGCATGCATTAGCTCATTGAGCCCTCCAGAAATCCCTGAGAGACAGGAAAAGTGAGGAAGTATCATCTTGGATGTCCTACAGATAATGAAACCAAAGCCAGCCCAGAAGGGTTGAGTGACTCACACAAGCTGTCATAGCTGGTGAAGTGACAAGGCCAGGGCTTGTGGCAGGTCTGCTGACCGACAGTCATTGATTATGCCCTGCTGCTTCTCTGAGTGTATCCTAGCTCAGAAATCCTTCGCTTGGGGTTCGATGACTATGAGTGGGAGGGGAGACATCACTGCTGGAAAATCAACTACAGTTGTGTGGTTGTTGTTTAAAATACTCATGCCGGCTGAGTGCAGTGGCTCACGCCTGTAATCCCAGCACTTTGGGAGGCCAAAGCGGGTGGATCACCTGAGGTCAGGGGTTCGAGACCAGCCTGGCCAACATGGTGAAACCCCGTCTCTATTAAAATTACCAAAAAATTAGCCAGGCGTGGTGGCAGGCACCTATAATCCAACCTACTTGGGAGACTGAGGCAGGAGACTGGCTTGAACCCAGGAGGTGGAGGTTTTAGTGAGCCGAGATCATGCCATTGCACTCCAGCCTGGGCAACAAGAGCGAAACTCAGTCTCAAAAAAAAATAAAAAATAAAATAAAATAAAATACTCATACCCACATTCCTTTGGAAATCATTGTTTTAGTTTCTCCTGGTGGGACCTCAAAGAAAGCTGGGAAATTCATTGTGCAGTGGCTCACTCTGTTCATCACTGCTGACAATCCACAATATAGAAGACTCTCACAGTCTTGGCGAGGATGGACTAGAGGGCGCGATCCACATAGTAAATTGTATAAAACCTGGGTCCCAGAAAGCCAAGCACTGTGTATAACCTGCAGAGATGTGAGACTCCACAATGCATAGCCATTGAATCAAAGCGAAGTACTAAGGAGTAGCTGCTGATTGAAGTGGGGCTGTACTTAGAATACTGTAGCATTCATGCATTGGTTCTTTGTGGCTTCTTTGCATTTGGTGTGTTCATTACCCACTGAACAGAAGATAGTTACCTGACTGCAGTTTTACCTTCCTATCAGATTCACCATTTTTTAACAAGAATGAGCTAAACCTAATTTTTTTTTTTTAGATGGAGTCTCGCTTTGTCACCCAGGCTGGAGTTCAGTAGCACGATCTCAGATCACTGCAACCTCTGCCTCCCCAGTTCAAGTGATTCCCCTGCCTCAGTCTCCTGAGAAGCTGGGACTACATGCAGTCACCACCACCCAGCTGATTTTTGTATTTTTAGTAGAGATGAGGTTTTGCCATGTTGACCAGGCTAGTCTCAAACTCCTGGGCTCAAGTGATCCACCCGACTCGGCCTCCCAAAGTGTAAACCTAAAATTTCTTATTCATGACTTTTTTATTGTGGTAAAATGTACATAACATAATATCAATCATTCAACCTTTTTGGGGTTTTTTTTTTTGTTTTTTTGTTTTTTTGTTTTTTTGAGACAGGGTCTCTCTCTCTGTTCTCCAGGCTGGAATGCAGTGACACGATCATAGCTCACTACAGCCTTGACCTCTCATGCTCAAATGATCCTCCTGCCTCAGCCTCCTGAGTAGCTGGGACTACAGGGGCATGCCACCACACTTGGCTAATTTTTAAATTTTTTGTAGAGATAGGGTCTCACTATGTTGCCAAGGCTGGTCTCGAACTCCTGGGCTCAAGCAATCCTCCTGCCTTGGCCTCCCAAAGTGCTGGAATTACAGGTTGAGCCACCATAACTGTGAGCCACCATAACTGGCCTCATTTAGCCATTTTTAAATATACAGTTCAGTGACATTAAATACATTCACATTGTTTTGCAATGATTACCACCATCCATCTCCAAACTTTCTCATCTTTCCAAACTAAGACTCTGTCCCTATTAAACACTAACTCCCCATTCCCCTTTGCCCCAACCCCTGGAGCTTCTGTCTCTATGAATTTGACTGTGAAGGTACCTTATGAAAGTGGAATCACGCAGCATTTGTTCTTTTGTGTCTGGCTTATTTCACTCAGCATAATGTTTCTGAGGTTCAACGGTATTGTAACCTGTGTCATAATTTCTTTCCTTTTTAAGACTCAATCATATTCGATTGTATGAATAGACCACAATTTGTTCATCCATTTATCTGTTGATGGACACTTGGGTTGCTTTACCTTCTGGCGACTGTGACTAACACTGCTATACAAATATTGATATCGTACAGGGGAGGTGGTTCACACCTATAATTCTAATGACTTGTGAGGCTGAGGCGGGAGGTTGGTTTCAGGCCAGCAGTTCATGATCAACCTGGGCAACAAGTGAGATCCTATCTCTAAAAAATAAAAAATAAAAATTAGTCAGGTATGGTGGGGCATGCCTATAGTCCCGGCTATTCAAGAGGCTGAGGTAAGAGGATCCCTTGAGCCCAGGAGTTTGAGGCTGCAGTGAGCTGTGATTGTGCCACTGACCTCCAGCCTGGACGACAAGCAAGTCCCTATCTCTTAAAAAAAAAAAAAAGTATTGGTATACAAATATCTGATTGAGTCCCTGCTTTCAATTCTTTTGAACATATACCTAGGAGTTGAAGAAACCTACATTTTTAAGGCAAAACATCTTCTCTGCCATGGCAAAATCATAGCCACAAGAAAAGAAAATTCAGATATGGTATGGATGAGAAAACAAAGGTTGATTTAGTTTCTTCTCCACCCATGACAACTTTTCACAGGAAAATCACAAGACTGATGGCCAATGAGGTGCAGCATAAGACTCCACACACATGGGGGTTTTCCTCGTGAAACTGAAAATTCACAGTCTTTTTCAGATCATAAACCCTGATTTGGTAATTTTAAAAATTGCGGAATTATTATGCAATAGAGATTTAAACTTAAACATTTTTAATGACAAGCTAGTGATATCCTGAAGTCTGGGTTTTGCAGTCATTTCTACATGGAAAACAGAGAACAATAATAAACCAAATGCAGAGCCATGAATGCACATCCAATTGTCCAATGCCACACTAGAAAGCAAGCCCCCTTCATCCATCCGTGGCTCATTGTATTTGTCTGTTCTTACCCTGCTAAAAGGACATCCCTGAGACTGGGTAGTTTATGAAGGAAGGAGGTTTAATTGACTCACGGGTTAGCATGGCTGGAGAGGCCTTGGGAAACTTACCCATCATGGTAGAAGGGGAAGCAAACATGTCCTCCTTCACATGGCAGCAGGAGGGAGAAGAATGAGAGCCGAGTGAAGGGGGAAGCCCCTTATAACACCATCAGATCTTGTGAGAACTTACTCACTACCACAAAAACAACATGGGGGAAACCACCCCCATGATTCAACCACCTCCCACCAAGTCCCTCCTGCCACAGGTGGGGATTATGGGAACTACAATTCAAGATGAGATTTGGGTGGGGACACAGCCAAACTACATCCCTCATCTTTCAACTTTTTATTATATTTTTAGACACAGGATATCACTCTGTGACTCAGGCTGGAGTTCAGTAACATGATAACAGCTCACTGCAGCCTTTGACTCCTAGACTGAAGCAATCCTCCTGCCTCAGTCTCCCAAGTAGCTGGTACTACAAGTATGTACCACTATGCCCAGCTAATTTTAAATTTTTTTTGTAGAGACAGGGTCTCACTATGTTGCCCAGCTTCATCTCAAACTCCTGGCCTCAACTGATCCTCCTGCCTCATCATCTTTCAAATTAAATTTGCTAAGTAGGTTTTTGATTATATTTTTCCTGGGGAAATATGATTACTTTAAGATATTTTATGTATTTTTGAGGTGCAAAGACTGACATACGGATAGTAAATAGCTCAGTATTAAGTAGGATGAAGATTGATAGCCATGGATCTTGTCCAACCCCCTCATTTTACAGATTAGAAAATTTAATCTCAGCGAGGAGAGAAAATTACCCAGGTGGATGCAATTTCCAATTCTCTTTCTTTATATTAATATCATGATGCCTTGTTATTGTCCTAAAATTATTTCAGTCATGTTTCAAAGGGAGCCTTTTTCCTTACTTTTCAAGATTAGGAGATCATTGAGCAAAGCACGCCCATGTGGGGCCATGCTGGCCATCTGTTTGCCCCTGTCCTCCCCGTTTCTTCCTCCCTTATAGAATCTCTTTCTTCCTTTGCAGAACTTCCCTGCTGCTGCACAGGTTCTGGGCCAGCCCTGCCCCGGTCGATGAGCCACTCCTCGGGTAACACTGGGTAAAGCCTCTCTGTCGAAGGCACCCGGTCTGGATTCTGCTTCCCCGGGTCCCTCACCTCCATGACTGTTCTGAAGTGGTGGCTGTGGGTTACTGTTTTGTTCTGCCCAGTTAACATCATTTAAATTTTTTTTTTTTTAGACAAAGTCTCACTCTGTCACCCAGGCTGGAGTGCAGTGGTGCAATCTCAGCTCACTTCAGCCTCAACCTCCCAGGCTCAATTGATACTCCCACCTCAGCCTCCTGAGTAGCTGGGACTACAGGCATGTACCACCATACCTGCGTAATTTTTGTATTTTTTGTAGAGGCGGGGTTTCGCCATGTTGCCCAGGCTGGTCTCAAACTCCTGGGTTCAAGCAATCTGCCTGCCTCAGCCTCCCAAAGTACTGGGATTACAGGTATGAGCCACCACACCAGGCCATCATTTAATTTTTTTAAGCATCTTATTGCAGAAAATTCTAAACATCTACAGAAGTAGAGAGATGAGCTTAATAAATCCTCACATGCCAATCACTCAGCCCCAGCAGCCACCAGTGCATCCCTCACTTTGTCTCCTCCACAGCCACCTTCTCCCTGTACCTGCACCCTCTTCCCACCCAGCTTATTTTAAAGCCAGCCCCACACATTGCGCCATTTTGCCCATAAACATTTCAGGATGTATTGCTAAAAGATAAGGACTGGGTTTTTGGTAAACCATAACTACAGTTCCATTATCATACCCAAAGAAATTAAAAATACTTAACTCACCAAATATTGATAAGGACAGGAGGCAGGGACGTTCTGGGCAGAGGAGGGCAGGTCTCCAGTGAGGGCCCCACCCTCAAGCCTCAAAACCTCGTACTGTGGCCCAAAGTGAGAACATACATCTGTGTTTTCCAGCTCCAATGTCGCCTTTTCCAAAACCACCCATGGCCCGCCTCACCAGTGGTCCTGTGCCCATTAAAAACCCCTGGTTAAGCTGGCAGGGAGAGGAGAAGCAGCTGGATGTTGGAGAGAAGTGGCTTGAGTTCAGGGGAACAACTTGATGGCATAGCTTCAGAGAGATTACCTTCCCACTTCGTCCCCTTTTCAGCTCCCCTTACCACTGAGAGCCACTTTCATCAGCAACAAAATGTCCTGCATTTACCACCTTCAAGTCATTCATGCAACCTCATTCCTCCTGGGCGCCAGACAAGAACTCAAGTGCTACAAGTGTGGGTGCAAAAGGCTGTCACACTGACCCTCTGCTGAGCTGTTAACACTTAAGCCATGGATGGCAAAGCTAAAAGGGCACTGTAACACTTCCTCTGGGGCTTCAGGGGTTGCAGGCATCCTCCTTTAGACACTGCCGGGAGGGCTGGTATGGAGTTCGCTCTTGCCGCACCCAAAGCACCCACCCCGACTCCTGCACATGTGCACCTGTGCTCCCACGAGGGGTGGAGCAGGAAGTGAGTGGAGTTGGCCCCTGCTGGTGCCCACGCACTTCAGTTCCCGCGGGCAAAGAGGTCAGGGAAACATCCTGCTTCAACATCTGTCCTTCCGTCAGCCTGGTTCCCAAACTGGAATCTCTCCAGTTCCACTGTTATAAATTAAAACTCTAAACCCGTAAATGGATGGGAAAGAGTGACTGCCTAACTGTAGGGGCTAGGAACTGGGGGTCTAAGTAGTCCTTACCCGTTAACCAGTCCTGCGTGGCCCCAACCGTGCCCTGGGTCAGCACCTGTGGTTGTTCCCTTGTCCTTATTGGATGTAAACCAAACAGCGACTAATAAAGTCCTTAAAATGACCTATCGAAAAACAAAACAAAAAGTGACAGGCAGATCCCAATCGGCTGAGAGATTTATTTTGCTGAGGTTGAGCATGTGCCCGGGAAAAAGAAACTCAAGGCACAATAGAATCTGTGTCCTGTGCTTTTACCAAAGAGGGTTTTAAGGACTTCAGTGTTTCAAGAGAAAGGAGAAAAGGGAAACAAAGAGGGTAGGCAAACAGGTGAGAGGCCACATTCTCATGAGGCTCTGATTAGCACTCAGAGAATCTACATTTCACCTGTGTAAAGAATGGAGCCGGCCGGGCATGGTGGCTCATGCCTGTAATCCCAACACTTTGGGAGGCTGAGATGGGCACATCACTTGAGGCCAGGAGTTTGAGACCAGCCTGGCCAATATGCCGAAACCCCATCTCTACTAAAAATACCAAAAAAATTAGCCAGGCATGGTGGCATGCGCCGGTAATCCCAGCTACTCGGGAGGCTGAGGCAGGAGGCTCGTTTGAACCCAGGAGGCGGAGGTTGCAATGAGCCAAGATCGCCCCACTGCACTCCAGCCTAGATGACAGAGTGAGACTCCATCTCAAAAAAAAAAAAAAAAAAAGAACAGAGTTAGGGGAAAGCCAGTCATGCATCTGTCTCACGCTCAGTAGGTCTACATTTGACATGCGATAACGCAGGCATGGGGATCACAGCTGTCTGGAAACAGAAGGCAGGCAGGCATTGCATGACTCAGTTCCCTTTGGCATGGTGAGTTTGGTCTCGAGATTTTCCTTTCCTTTCACACAGGTCATGTGGAGGGATCCACTGGCTGCTCCAGACTGTCCGCTCTGTGGGGTCATGTTTGCGTCCACTGTCTGCTGACGTTCTTCTACACTGTGATTCAGGTTCCAGGTGTCTTGTAGTCTCACCAAAAGCAGGACTTCTGTTCCTGTGACTTTGCCACCTCATTTTGGTTCAGGCAGAGAGTAAGGTAGAAATGCTGTCATCCCATCATCTTGAAACTGTAGGGCCAGGTGTGGTGGCGCACGCCTGTAATCCCAGCTATCCGGGAGGCTGAGGCGGGAGAATCAATGGAACCCAGGAGGCAGAAGTTGCAGTGAGCCGAGATTGTGCCCCTGTACTCTAGTGTGGGAGACAGAGTGAGACTCTGTCTCAAAAAATAAAAAAAAATAAAATAAAGAAACAGTAAGATTTTTGTATTTAAAAAAATGCACACAACTATCTAAAATAATAGTTTAAATCAAATTATTATTTTAGTTAAGATTTTTAAATTAAAAATCTATAGTAAGATAGATGATATCTTGCTACAAATATTCTTTAGGACTTGCTTTTTTCCAAACTTCCTAAGGGAGGGAGTTGCACCCTTGATATCAGACCATACCTTTGGTTAGAGATCTTTAGATAATCCTAAACTTCTGTTGCTAAGTGAGGGTGGTATTTCTACTTAAGGGACAGACCTGGGAGCCACACAGACTTAGATTTGAACCCCAGTCTGTGGTATATTAGCTGTGTAACATTGGGTAATCAAACTCATCATTTTAATTCTCCAATAATCCTTACTTATAGGGTTGTGGTACGACTTAAGCTAATACACGTAAAGTGTTTGTTTAAGGTATAGTACGTGCTCAATATGTGGGAGCCATTTTTATTTTCTTCATATTGGCAAGATCCAAGGAAGGGTGTGATGATCATGTGAGTACAGTGTAACTAGAAGGGTTCTCTGCTTTTCACTTTTTTTTTTTTTTTTTGAGATGGAGCTTCACTGTTGTTGCCCAGGCTGTAGCGCAATGGCACGATTTTGGTTCACTGCAACCTCCGCCTCCCAGGTTCAAGTGATTCTTCTGCCTTAGCTTCCCAGGTGGCTGGGATTGCAGGCATGCACCACCACACCTCACTAATGTTTGTATTTTTAGTAGAGATGGGGTTTCACCATGTTAGTCAAGCTGGAACTCCTGACCTCAGGTGATCCATCCTCCTCGGCCTCCCAAACTTCTGGGATTCCAGGCATGAGCCGCCACGCCCAGCCTCCTTTTCACTCCTTAGGTTTTCTATTTTCCAGCCACACTTGCTTACTCTAGGGCCGACCACCCTAAAGAGTTCTCAGGAGAGTTCATGAGTCACGATACCCTTCTCTAACAAACCACTTGTAAGTTCCCTGAGTGACAAGTAACTTGCTCTTTCTGAATTACTGAACATACTCCAGAAACAAAATCTAGACAATAGACTTCATTCTACAGAAACGTTCCAGTTGCTGCCAGTCAAGGTGGTGGCTACAGAGCATTAGAGGTTACCTGATGCAGATGCACCTGACAGCAATGACTCAACATAACCTGAGAATGAAGCTGTGGTCTAAGAAGGGTGTGTGTTCAGCGTCCTGAGCGAAGGAATCTGGGGGTGGCCAACCGGGAGGTTCTCTCTCCATCTATGAAGGACCTCCAAACGCCTGGCCATTCCTTGGAACACAGACTTAACAGGGGATCGAGGCCCACTGTTTTGGGTTAAATGAAGGTTGCTAGGAGAGGGCGCTAAGGGAAAATGTCACATAAACTGCTTGCTTTTTACACCCAGTAGAGTTTTCCTGTCCAGCCTACCGCTCCTGGACTGCCCTGTATGTAAGTTTTCAATAACCCTTATGCCCCACTCACTGATTCCAAGTCTATTCTTCAGCCTCTGGGACACAGTGCCCTCCCTGTTGGAGTCAATAGGGGTCTGGCAAAACACTAGCGCATTAATGGGGCAGATAGCCACACACTTTGATTAGGAGCAGGAACCCCAGGCTTCGCTTGTTCAGGTAACTACAGCTGGACTCACGCAAGGCATCAAGGCGCAAAGGGTCCCTGGTCGGCTGCAGTCCCGGGCCCCTCCATCCAGTGCAAACCACTCTCCTGCCCTGCCATTCTGCCTCTCCTGCCTGCTCATTGATAAAGCCAGAGGAATCACACACATGGACAAGTTGCCTAAATTTAGTAAAGGCAAGTGAGATTTCATTCACGCTCACAGCCTTTGGTTTAGCTTCCCAAACTCCTTCCTAAGTGGTGAGAAGGGAAATTTGGTACACTTGGGTGTTCACCTCTTGACCCTCCCTGCTCAGCCCTTCACTCTCCACCTTCTGCACTGGGGGCTCACCCAGCTTCAGGTACGAGGGTAACAGGTGGGTCTCCAGTGCACCTGTGCCATGCCCAACCAAACTCTGGACTAGAAAAACTAGGTCCTTATTCATGTAGATCTAGCTTCCTTCTGCAGAGGAAGAGAAGATCATTGTAGTTGTCTAATGGGTTCTTCCTACCTGCTGCACAGACAAAATCAATTCACTGAGACCACAGCATTGCAGTAAAGAAAGAGTTTAATTGATGTGAGGCTGGCCACATGGGAGACGGAGTTGCTACTCAAGTCAGTCTCCCCAAGAACTCAGAGCTTAGGGTTTTTAGGGACAACTTGGTGGGCAGGGGCCTGGGGAATGGGTGCTGCTGATTGGCTGGGGATGAAATCACAGGGGCATGGAAAACACTCTTCATGCACTGAGTCCACCTCTGAGTGGGGCCCCAGGACTGACTGAGGCACGAGTCATGAATCTGGATGGGATCAGTCCATTGCCAGAAAGTCTGAAAAAATCTCAAAGGCCAATCTTAGGTTCTATAAGAGTGATGTTATCTATAGGAGCAATTTGGGAAATCACAGATCCTGTGACCTCTGGCCGCATGACTCTTGAACAGGAAGAGATTATAGAAGCTATATGTACATTTTAGCAGAATTCAGTTCCCCCCCACAAGCCTAATCTCGTGGCCTTTCCTTAGTCTTACAAAGGCAGTTTTGAGTCCCTGGGCAAGGAGGGATTTAGTTTTAGGGAGGGACAATTATTATCCTTGCTTTCAAGTTAAACTATAAACTAAATTCCTCCCAAGGTTAGCTTGGCCTAAACCCAGGAATGAAGGAAGACAGCTTAGCGCTTAGAAGCAAGATGGAGTCAGCTGTGGCAGATTTCTTTTGCTGTCATAATTTTGCAAAGGTGGTTTCACATCACAGCCTGGATGACAGAGCAAAATCCTGACTCAAAAAAAAAAAAAAGAAAGAAAGAAAGAAAAAATAGGCTGGCACAGTGGCTCACGCCTATAATCCCAGCACTTTGGAAGGCCAAGGCAGGCAGATCACTTGAGGTCAGGAGTTTGAGACCAGCCTGGCCAACATGGTGAAACCCTGTCTTTATCAAAAAAAAAATACAAAATTTAGATGGGCTTCGTGGTGCATGTCTGTAATCTCAGCTACTTGGAAGACTGAGGCAGGAGAATTGCTTGAACCCTGGAGGTGGAGCTTGCAGTGAGCCCAGATCGTGCCACTGCACTCTAGACTGGGTGACAGAGCTAGACTCTGTCTCAAAAAAAAAAAAAAAAGAAGAAGACGAAGAAGGCAAGGAAAGCCTCTTTGAGATTCGAGAGGGTGACCTGAACTGTTGAGACTGCAAACCAAAAATAAAATTCAAAGGCCCCCAGTCAACTAAATGGACCCCTCCTCTCAGCCAAGGACATTCCAAAGTAAACCTGAAACGCTAGCTCAGGCCATGATGGGAAGGGGTGGTCAGACTCCCCTCATTCTGCCCTCTTCACTTTGGAGTTCAGGCACGGCTGACCAGATTAACACTGAAACAGAGACCTGAAGAAGGACAAAGCAGACCCTTTGCAGCCACAGGGTATCAACATGGCAGGTGGCTGATCCTGAAAGAAATGGAAGTATTTTACTCCAAGATATTTTTCTTTGACATATTTTAAAGTGGACTGCAAAGCTGTCTTTTGTGGGGAAAATCTATATTCTGTAGAGAATCACCTTCCCTTTCTAGATCTTTTCCTGATCAAGGAGATAATTAACTAAGAGCCTGGCACCTTCTGATAAGGAACAACTGCGATCTATTGTCTCTGAAGCCTGCTACCTGGAGAGGTTCATCTGCATGAGAAGAACCTTGGTCTCCAAAACCCCTCTATCAGTCTGTTTTTACACGGCTGATAAAGACATACTCAAGACTGGGAAGAAAAGGAGGTTTAGGGCGGGCGCAGTGGTTCACACCCGTAATCCCAGCACTTCGGGAGGCCAAGGTGGGTGGATCACGAGGTCGGGATTTCAAGACCAGCCTGGCCAACATAGTGAAACCCCATCTCTTCTAAAAATACAAAAAAATTAGCCAGGCATGGTGGTGGTCGCCCATAATCTCAGCTACTTGGGAGGCTGAGGCAGGAGAATCGCTTGAACCTGGGAGGCAGAGGTTGCAGTGAGCTGAGATCGCCACTGTACTCCAGCCCAGGCGACAGTGCAAGACTCCATCTCAACAACAACAACAACAAGAACAACAACAACAACAACAACAACAAGGAGGTTTAATTGGACTTACAGTTCCACATGGTTGGGGAGGTCTCATATTCATGGCAGAGGGTGAAAGGCACTTCTTATGTGGCAGCAGCAAGGGAGAATGAGGAAGAAGCAAAAGCAGAAACCCCTGATAAACCCATCAGATCTTGTGAAACTTATTCACTATCACGAGAATAGCACAGGAAAGACTGGCCCCCATGATTCAGTTACCTCCCCCTGGGTCCCTCCCACAACATGTGGGAGTTCTGGGAGATACAGTTGAAGTTGAGATTTGAATGGGGATGCAGCCAAACCTTATCAACCCTTTATCTTCACCAGGACATTCCTTTCTAGTCATCCAGGTCTCTAGATATGACTTAACTCTTTCGACCAATTACCAATCAGAGCATCTTTGAATCCATCTGTGACCTGGAGTCCCCACCCCACCGCTGCCAGCTGTCCCGCCTTTCCAGACTGAACCAATGTACATCTCACATGTGCTGATTGATGGCCTATGTCCCCCTAAAACATATAAAACCAAGCTGTAGCCCAACCACCTTACGCATCAGGACCTCTTGAGATCCTGCCCCAGTCCATGGTCACTCATTTGTCTCAGAATAAATTTCAACTGTTTTACAGAGTTTGACTCTTTTCTCCAACAAGACCCAAAAGACAGAGTTTGAAGAAGGTACTTAGGGCCTAGGAACAGCAGGGAGGGATGGCCTGCAGCAAAGCAGCCTCAGCGCATTCAAGGCAGTGAAGAGCGAGGATCCCAGCACCTGCCTGGGGCTGTCTGGAGAGAGAAAGGCCAGGAAGACAGGGCTGGGGCTTCGGCCTGCCCCACCTCCAAAGGGAAGCCACAGGGGGATTGAAGCAGCATGGGGCAAGATTTGACTCACAGTCTGTGAAGAGCTTCACCTTTCTCCTGCCAATCAAGAGCAAGCAAACAAATTATGAGGCCGGTCACAGTGGCTCATGCCTGTAATCCCAGCACTTTGGGAGGCTGAGGTGGGTGGATCACCTGAGATCAGGAGTTCAAGACCAGCCTGGCCAACATGGTGAAACCTCGTCTCTACTAAAAATACAGAAATCAGCCAGGCGTGGTGGCAGATGCCTGTAATCCCAGCTACTTGGGAGGCTGAGGTAGGAGAATCACTTGAACCCAGGAGGCCAAGGTTGTAGTTGGCCATTGCACTCCAGCCTGAATGACAGAGCAAGACTCAGTCTCCAGAAATGAACAAAGAAATGAACAAAGCCTCCAAGAAATATGGGACCATGTGAAAAAACCAAAACTATGTCTGATTGGTGTACCTTAAAGTCACGGAGAGAATGGAACCAAGTTGGAAAACACTCTTCAGGATATTATCCAGGAGAACTTCCCCAATCTAGCAAGGCAGGCCAACATTCACATTCAGGAAATACAGAGAACACCACAAAGATACTCCTCGAGAAGAGCAACTCCAAGAGACATAATTGTCAGATTCACCAAAGTTGAAATGAAGGAAAAAATGTTAAGGGCAGCCAGAGAGAAAGGTCGGCTTACCCACAAAGGGAAGCCCATCAGACTAACAGCTGATCTCTCAGCAGAAACTCTACAAGCCAGAAGAGAGTGAGGGCCAATATTCAACATTCTTAAAGAAAAGAATTTTCAACCCAGAATTTCATATCCAGCCAAACTAAGCTTCACAAGTGAAGGAGAAATAAAATCCTTTACAGACAAACAAATGCTGAGAGATTTTGTCACCACCAGGCCTGCCCTACAAGAGCTCCTGAAGGAAGCACTAAACATGGAAAGGAACAACCGGTACCAGCCACTGCAAAAACATGCCAAATTCTAAAGACCATCGAGGCTAGGAAGAAACTGCATCAACTAACAAGCAAAATAACCAGCTAACATCATAATGACAGGATCAAATTCACACATAACAATATTAACCTTAAATGTAAATGGGCTAAATTCTCCAATTAAAAGACACAGACTGGCTAATTGGATAAAGAGTCAAGACTCATCAGTGTGCTGTATTCAGGAGACCCATCTCACCTGCAGAGACACACATAGGCTCAAAATAAAGGGATGGAGAAAGATCTACCAAGCAAATGGAAAACAAAAAAAAAGCAGGGGTTGCAATCCTAGTCTCTGATAAAACAGACTTTAAACCAACAAAGATCAAAAGAGACAAAGAAGGCCATTACATAATGGTAAAGGGATCAATTCAACAAGAAGAGCTAACTATCCTACATATATACGTACCCAATACAGGAGCACCCAGATTCACAAAGCAAGCCCTTAGAGACCTACAAAGAGACTTAGACTCCCACACAATAATAATGGGAGACTTTAACACCCCACTGTCAACATTAGACAGATCAACAAGACAGAAAGTTAACAGGGATATCCAGGAATTAAACTCAGCTCTGCACCAAGCAGACCTAATAGACATCTACAGAACTCTCCACCCCAAATCAACAGAATATACATTCTTCTCAGCACCACATCGCACTTACTCCAAAATTGACCACATAGTTGGAAGTAAAGCAGTCCTCAGCAAATGAAAAAGAACAGAAATTATAACAAACTGTCTCTCAGACCACAGTGCAATCAAACTAGAACTCAGGATTAAGAAACTCATTCAAAACCACTCAACTACATGGAAACTCAACAACCTGCTCCTGAATGACTACTGGGTACATAACGAAATGAAGGCAGAAATAAAGATGTTCTTTGAAACCAATGAGAACAAAGACACAACATACCAGAATCTCTGGGACACATTTAAAGCAGCGTGTAGAGGGAAATTTATAGCACTAAATGCCCACAAGAGAAAGCAGGAAAGATCTAAAGTCGACACCCTAACATCACAATTAAAAGAACTAGAGAAGCAAGAGCAAACACATTCAAAAGCTAGCAGAAGGCAAGAAATAACTAAGATCAGAGCAGAACTGAAGGAAATAGAGACACAAAAAACCCTTCAAAAAAATCAATGAAATCAGGAGCTGGTTTTTTGAAAAGATCAACAAAATTGATAGACCGCTAGCAACACTAATAAAGAAGAAAAGAGAGAAGAATCAAATAGACGCAATAAAAAATGATAAAGGAGATATCACCACCGATCCCACAGAAATACAAACTACCATCAGAGAATACTATAAACACCTCTACAAAAATAAACTAGAAAATCTAGAAGAAATGGATAAATTCCTGAACACATACACCCTCCCAAGACTAAACCAGGAAGAAGTCAAATCCCTGAATAGACCAATAACAGGCTCTGAAATTGAGGCAATAATTAATAGCCTACTAACCAAAAAAAGTCCAGGACCAGAATGATTTGCAGCCAAATTCTACCAGGGGTACAAAGAGGAGCTGGTACCATTCCTTCTGAAACTATTCCAATCAATAGAAAAAGAGGGAATCCTTCCTAACTCATTTTATGAGGCCCGCATCATCCTGATACCAAAGCCTGGCAGAGACACAACAAAAAAAGAGATTTTTAGACCAATATCCCTGATGAACATTGATGCAAAAATCCTCAATAAAATACTGGCAAACCGAATCCAGCAGCACATCAAAAAGCTTATCCACCGCGATCAAGTTGGCTTCATCCCTGGGATGCAAGGCTGGTTCAATATACACAAATCAATAAACCTAATCCATCATATAAACAGAACCAAAGGCAAAAACCACATGATTATCTCAATAGATGGAGAAAAGGCCTTCAACAAAATTCAATAGCCCTTCATGCTAAAAACTCTCAATAAACTAGGTATTGATGGGACGTATCTCAAAATAAGAGCTATTTATGACAAACCACAGCCAATATCATACTGAATGGGCAAAAACTGGAAGCATTCCCTTTGAAAACTGGCACAAGACAGGGACACCCTCTCTCACCACTCCTATTCAACATAGTGTTGGAAGTTCTGGCCAGGGCAATCAGGCAAGAGAAAGAAATAAATGGTATTCAATTAGGAAAAGAGGAAGTCAAATTGTCCCTGTGTGCAGATGACATGATTGTATATTTAGAAAACCCCATCGTCTCAGCCCAAAATCTCCTTAAGCTGATAAGCAACTTCAGCAAAGTCTCAGGATACAAAATCAGTGTGCAAAAATCACAAGCATTCCTATACACCAATAACAGACAAACAGAGAGCCAAATCATGAGTGAACTCCCATTCACAATTGCTTCAAAGAGAATAAAATACCAAGGAATCCAACTTACAAGGGATGTGAAGGACCTCTTCAAGGAGAACTGCAAACCACTGCTCAATGAAATAAAAGAGAACACAAACAAATGGAAAAACACTCCATGCTCATGGATAGGAAGAATCAATATCATGAAAATGGCCATACTGCCCCAGGTAATTTATAGATTCAATGCCATCCCCATCAAGCTACCAATGACTTTCTTCACAGAATTGGAAAAAACTACTTTAAAGTTCATATGGAACCAAAAAAGAGCCCGCATTGCCAAGTCAATCCTAAGCCAAAAGAACAAAGCTGGAGGCATCACGCTACCTGACTTCAAACTATACTACAAGGCTACAGTAACCAAAACAGCATGGTACTGGTACCAAAACAGAGATATAGACCAATGGAACAGAACAGAGCCCTCAGAAATAATACCACACATCTACAACCATCTCGTCTTTGACAAACCTGACAAAAACAAGAAATGGGGAAAGGACTCCCTATTTAATAAATGGTCCTGGGAAAACTGGCTAGCCATAGGTAGAAAGCTGAAACTGGATCCCTTCCTTACACCTTATACAAAAATTAATTCAAGATGGATTAAAGACTTAAATGTTAGACCTAAAACCATAAAAATCCTAGAAGAAAACCTAGGTAATACCATTCAGGACATAGGCATGGGCAAGGACTTCACGACTAAAACACCAAAAGCAATGGCAAAAACCCAAAATTGACTAATGGGATCTAATTAAACTAAAGAGCTTCTGCACAGCAAAAGAAACTACCATCAGAGTGAACAGGAAACCTACAGAATGGGAGAAAATTTTTACAATCTACCCATCTGACAAAGGGCTAATATCCAGAATCTACAAAGAACTTAAACAAATTTACAGGAAAAAAGCAAACAACCCCATCAAAAAGTGGGCAAAGGATATAAATAGACACCTCTCAAAAGAAGACATTTATGCAGCCAACAGACACATGAAAAAAATGCTCATCATCACTGGTCATCAGAGAAATGCAAATCAAAACCACAATGAGATACCATCTCACACCAGTTAGAATGGCAATCATTAAAAAGTCAGGAAACAACAGGTGCTGGAGAGGATGTGGAGAAATAGGAACACTTTTATACTGTTGGTAGGACTGTAAACTAGTTCAGCCATTGTGGAAGTCAGTGTGGTGATTCCTCAGGGATCTAGAACTAGAAATACCATTTGACCCAGCCATCCCATTACTGGGTATGTACCCAAAGGATTATAAATCATGCTGCTATAAGGACACATGCACACGTATGTTTATTGCGGCCCTATTCACAATAGCAAAGACTTGGAACCAACCCAAATGTCCATCAATGATAGACTGGATTAAGAAAATGTGGCACATATACACCATGGAATACTATGCAGCTATGAAAAAGGATGAGTTCATGTCCTTTGTAGGGACATGGATGAAGCTGGAAACCATCATTCTCAGCAAACTATCACAAGGACAAAAAACCAAACACCGCATGTTCTCACCCATAGGTGGGAATTGAACAATGAGAACACATGGGCACAGGAAGAACATCACACACTGGGGCCTGTTGTGGGGTGTGGGGAGGGGGGAGGGATAGCATTAGGAGATATACCTAATACTAAATGACGAGTTAATGGGTGCAGCACACCAACATGGCACATGTATACATATGTAACAAACCTGCACATTGTGCACATGTACCCTAGAACTTAAAGTATAATTAAAAAAAAATTATGGGTTGAAAAAGTCAAACAATTTTGGAATACTATTCAATCCTAGGAAGGGGCTTCTGACACAGACGACAATATGGACGGGCCCTGAGGATGTACTGTGACTGTAACAGGCCCGGGGCACAGTGAGTCAGTACTCAGACACCCACACCCAGGGTTGCAGAGGACAGAGTTTTAATCCCAAGGCCTGCAAACAAGCAGAAGGGAGAACTCAAATCCGCCCCCTGGCGAGTTTGGGGCTAGGGATTTCAGGGGGTCAGGGTGGGCCGAGGTGTGGGACCAGATCATTGATGGGTGGAAGAGCGCGGGGAGAAGTCATGGGACAGAGAGAGGAAGAACCTGCATTCTCAGGCGGACTCCGCTCCTCTGTGGGGTCTTCACACTGGTCGGAGTCAGCTTTTCTGCTGGAATCCAGGAGTTGAGGCACAACTTGGCAATTCTTAAACAAGAGCCTCATAATGCTAACATCAGCCATCCTCTCTGTAGGAATACTGGGGCTGCACGTGGTCCAGGGCGAGGGTTACAGGACTTCAGCACCCACGAACTGGGCCACAGTGCAGCCTGAAGAATGCTTCATCACAACTCTATCTGCACCCAGAACGCGGCATGTGGTTCAGGTTAACCCTGTGAGGGCAGTTTCAATTATGCTCACTGTCAAGACACAAAAGGACCAATACTGTCTAATTCTACTTATGTGAAACATGTAAAATTCTCCCAGGACGGTGATGTATAGTTAAAAAAGAAAAAAGGCTGGGTGTGGTGGCTCACACCTGTAATCCCAGCACTTTGGGAGGCCGAGGCGGGCGGATCACAACGTCAGGAGTTTGAGACCAGACTGGCCAATATGGTAAAACCCCGTCTCTACTAAAGATACAGAATTTAGCCAGGCATGGTGGCGTCCGCCTGTAGTCCCAGCTACTTGGGAGGCTGAGGCAGGAGAATTGCTTGAACCCGGGAGGCAGAGGGTGCAGTGGGTCAAGATTGAACCACTGCACTCCAGCCTGGGCAACAGAGCAAGATCCTGTCTCAAAAAAAAAAAAAAAAAAGATATATTTAAAGTTAACACAGGCTGGGTGCAGAGGGCTCACGCCTGTAATCCCAGCACTTTAGGAGGCCGAGGCAGGTGGATCACTTGAGGTCAGAAGTTCGATAGCTGCCTGGCCAATAGGGCAAAACTCCGTCTCTACTAAAAATAGAAAAAATTAGCCAGGCGTGCTGGCAGGTGCCTGTAATCCCAGTTTCTTGGGAAGCTGAGGCAGAAGAATCACTTGAACCCGGGAGTGTGAGGTTACAGTAAGCCGAGATCGCACCACTGCACTCCAGCCTGGGTGATAGAGCAAAACTCCATCTTAAAAAAAAAAAAAGAGAAATTAATAGAGCATGTAGAATGGTGGTTGGCAAGGGCTGAGGGGTGAGGGGATGGGAGTTGGTGTGGAGTGGGGACAGAGCTTGATTATAGTCGGGGAGAATGAAAAGAGCTCCGGAGATGGATGGTGCTCATGGTGGCACAAAATGCGAATGTGCTTGATGCCACCGAAAAGGACACTTAAAAATGTTCAAATGGTCAATTTTATGTTACGTTTATTTTACCATAATTAAAAATAAAAATAAATTTAAAACTTTTTTAGGTCAGGCGAGGTGGCTCATGCCTGTAATCCCACCGCTTTGAGAGACTGACGCAGGTAGATCACTTGTGCCCAGGAGCTGGAGACCAGCCTGGGCAACATGGCAAAACCCTGTCTCTACTAAAAATACAATAATTAGTCTGGTGTGGTGGTGTGAGCCAGTGGTCCCATGCAGGAGGCTGAGGTGGGACAATCATTTGAGCCCAGGAGGTCGAGGCTGGAGTGAGCTATGATTGTGTCATTGCACTCCAGCCTGGGAGACAGAGGGAGACCCTGTCTTAAAATTATAATAAAATAATAAACTTTTAAACACAAGGGATTTGAAGGGAGCCTGGAGAGCGATAGAAGACAGGAAGCTGCAGAGCAGATTGGTGGCCACTGTGCCTGCCCCTCCCCATCAGGAGCCTCATCACAGTGCCCAGCCCTTCCTTCCTGCCCTCACTTCAATTCCCCCTTAGGACCAGGGAGGGGCACACGGCCGCCTCCTAGCACCTGCTGCCTGCCACCTGCCACCTGCCACCGCCTGTCCCTGGAGATCATAGGACTCTTCCACCTGCCCTCCTCCTTTCTTATTCCCTCACTGAGTTTCTTTTCTTTTCTTTTTTTTTAATTTGAGATGGAGTCTTGCTTTGTCGCCCAGGCTGGAGTGCAGTGGCACAATCTCGGCTCACTGCAACCTCCTCCTCCCGGTGCAAGCCATTCTCCTGCCCCAGCCTCCCAAGTAGCTGAGATTACAGGCACGCACTACCACGCCCAGTTAGTGTTTGTATTTTCAGTAGAGACGGGGTTTCTCCATGTTGGCCAGGCTGGTCTCGAACTCCTGACCTCAGGTGATCTACCTGCCTCGGCCTCCCAAAGTGCTGGGATTACAGGTGTGAGCCACTGTGCCCAGTCCCCTCACTGATTTTGTCTTCCCTTCCCAGACGGGCTGGCCAGGGGCTGGGTTGACACCCACTGAGCTGCAGCGAATTGACCTTTAATCTTTTCAGGCAATTGCCGGGAAAAGGGTCATTTCAATGTGAAGCAGAACAGAGTGAAGCCACAGCCCAACCCCTCCCAATGCGTCCTCAGAAGTCCTGATTACGGAGCGTGTGATGGCGCATGGGGGGGCCAGCAGTAGGGGTCTCGTAAAAGCCCGAGGCCCTCCGTGCCAAAGCACAGCCCTGCCCCTGCTTCCACCTGAGCGACGTTTGTGCACTCCCTGCAAATTCAATCAACAAATGGCTACAACTGGCCTGCTGTGGAGGAAGAGCGCAGATAAGTGCCAGGGGAGGGGCACAAACATGGAAAAGATAAGTAGACGGACATATTTCACATAGCTGATATTTTTAAAACAAATTTTGAAAGAAGAAGCGAATTTTGAAAGGAGAGGGAAACACCTAAACTCTGATGCTGACGAGGACTGAGCCCTCCTGGGCCACAAGACAATGTCACTGACCCCCAGGAGAAATTCA
This sequence comes from Homo sapiens, assembly GCF_000001405.40. NCBI lineage: Eukaryota > Metazoa > Chordata > Mammalia > Primates > Hominidae > Homo > Homo sapiens. Next base: position 157,096,780 of record NC_000007.14, on the reverse strand, counting down.
TTTTCAGAGATTATTTTTAAAAGCCAGGGCTTTTCCAGGAGTCTCAAAGCATAAATCACGCCTTTCACGAAAACCCATAAAATATACTCAGCCTGTAAGATGAAATGAAATCCAGACAACCTAATCTTCAGAGGAACCAGCGCTGTTCGCAGGCCTGGCCAGAGGCCCCACCAGGGTTCCCTGCTCCTGGAGAGGAAATTCATAAACCAAAACAACCACCGCACGTCGTTTTTCGCTCTGGAAATGGCCGGCTCGCTGCCCTCCTGCGCACCCTGCTGCCATCCCCTTCCAGGCCGTGGGGCTGCTGTTGCCCTAGCAAGTTCCACCCCACTGCCTCTCCCACGCTGCGGGGGGTTTGTTCGGACCCACCTTATAGCAATGGGAATAGCATTTTGCCACAGAGGCTGCACATCTTTGCGATGCTTTTCACATCGTCCTGAGCAGGCGTAGAACAGCAGGCTACGGGTGGTGCTTTCCTGCTCAGAACGAGCCTCATGTGGCAGCCCATAAACCAAGCCCCAGGTGACAGTTGCCCTGTGCAATCGCCATAGCAAACACTGCACCTGGCAGCACCCTGGCCCACAGCTGGTGAAACCTGGGGGACCCTCAGAGCAAAGTCGGGGTCTTAAGACAGGCTGAAATAATTTTCAAGATTAAATTTTCATTCTCTTAGACTTAAAAGAAAGTACCAGCATTGGATGATGTGGCTGAGGATATTGAGTACGTTGTAAAGGTAGATTCAAATGAAAATAATAAAAAGTCTAGAATGTCGAAAGCCAAACGGAGGACACCCACCCACAGTGCGATCGTTTGGATTAAGCGATCGGTTATTAACGTACTAGACAATCTCAGATTCACTTGTTTGTTGCTCCAGACAGTCTTAGGGTCATAATTGAATAAACCTGTGAAAAGACAAAGTTACAACAGATTTAGTTTGAAGATCTAAACTATTGCTTTATTTGCAATTCTAGGATCTGGCAACACTTCTTTCAATAAAATAGAATAGGCTGGGCATGGTGGCTCAAGCCTGTAATCCCAGCACTTTGGGAGGCCAAGGCGGGTGGATAACCTGAGGTCAGGAGTTCGAGACCAGCCTGGCCAACACGGCAAAACCTAGTCTCTACTAAAAATACAAACATTAGCTGGCGTGGTGGTGTGTGCCTGTAGTCCCAGCTACTTGGAAGGCTGAGGCAGGAGAATCGCTTGAACCCGGGAGGCGGAGGTTGCAGTGAACCGAGATCATGCCATTGCACTCCAGCCTGGGCGACAGAGCGAGACTCTGTGTCAAAAAAATTAATAAAATAAATAAGTGCTCAAATGAACCAAACAGAGGAAGTTGGTTTTAAAGACAGAAAAGGGCTGAAGAAAGCAGAAACAAAGAACAAAAAATCAGATTGGTCAGCTGGGTGTGGCGGTGTGCACCTGTGGTCTCAGCGACTCAGGAAGCTGAGGCAGGAGGATCACTTGAGCCCCAGAGTTCAAGGCTGCAGTGAGCCGTAATTGCACCACTGCACTCCAGCCTGGGCAGAAGAGCAAGACCCTGTCTCAAAAAAAGAAAAAAAGTGAATTGGTCATTTCAAAGTTACTTTCCTTGTATGGTGGGAACAGGGAAACAGAAAAATAGCCAGCTGGTGAGTTTCAGGTTTCTTCAGGCGACATTTGATTCATTATCAGGCCCACTGAAGCTGCCAGTTTGGGAAATTTGGTGTCATTCTCTCGTGATTTCTTAGAAGGCCAGATAGCAACTCAGTTTCTGTTGGGTGACTTGGAACTTTAGTGTGAGTGACTCCATGTTGGTTTTTAGTCAGGTATGTCATGATCTAGTGCAGGAGCTTAGTCTAGAGCAATGGCCTCTAATAATTTTTACTTAACAAACCACAAGGCCGGGTGCAGTGGCTCACGCCTATAATCCCAGCACGTTGGGAGGCCGAGGCAGGTGGATCACCTGAGGTCAGGAGTTCGAGACCAGCCTGGCCAACAAAATGAAACCCCGTCTCTACTAAAAATACAAAAATTAGCCGGGTGTGGTGGTGTGCACCTGTACTCCCAGCAACTCAGGAGGCTGAGACAGGAGAATCGCTTGAACCCAGGAGGCAGAGGTTGCAGTGAGCTGACATCGCACCATTGCACTCCAGCCTGGGCGATGGAGCAAGAGTCTGCCAAAAAAAACCACAAAAAACAACAACAACAACAACAAAAACCACAGAGGCCAGTCGGGGGCTTCTTCAGAATGCGCTGACACCAGATGGCCGTGGTTGTCATGAAGTGGCCGGACAAACCCAAGAGGCGGCCAACAGGGGAGTCTTGGAAGGTCCTCAAGTAATCGCTTGACAGGTTCTTCTTGCCCCAGTGCGCAGAGGAAACCAATTCACTGAGACATTGTTACTGCAGTAAAGAAAGAGTTTAATTAACACAAGGCCAGCCAAGTGGAAGCGCAGGAGTTTATCACTACTCTCATCAGCCTCCCTGAGAACTCAGAGGCTAGTACTCGCTGTGTCGCCCAGACTGCAGTGCAGTGGTACAATCTCAGCTCACTGCAACCTCCGCCTCCCAGGTTCAAGCAATTCTCCTGCCTCGGCCTCTTGCATAGCTGGGATTACAGGCGCGTACCACCACGCCCAGCTAATTTTTGTATTTTTAGTAGAAACGGGGTTTCACCATGTTGGTCAGGCTGGTCTCGAACTCATGACCTCGTGATCTACCCGCCTTGGCCTCCAAAAGTGCTGGGATTACAGGTGTGAGCCACTGTGCCTGGCCTGTTTTTAAATTTTTTTTTTTTTTGAGATAGGTTTTACTCTGTTGCCCAGGTTGAAGTACAATGGTACAACCATGGCTCACTGCAGACTTGACCTCCCAGGCTCAAGAAATCCTCCTGTCTCAGCCTCTTGAGTATAGCTGAGACTACAGGTGCATGCCACCACGCCCAGTTTTTTGGTTTTTTTTTTTTTTTTTTTTTTTTTTAAGAGATATGGGCTTGCTATGTTACCTGGGCTGGTCTCAAACTCCTGGGCTCAAGCAATCCTCCCACCTCAGCCTTCCAAAGTGCTGAGATTATAGACATGCGCCTGGCCACAGAGACTAGGATTTTTATGGGCCATTAGGTGGGCAGAGGGGCTAGGGAATGAGTGCTGCTGATTGGTTGGGGATGAAGTAATGGAAGTGTGAAAGATGGTCCTTCAGCACTGAGCCCACCTCTTGGTGGGGCCACAGTTGAGTTATGAGTCACAGGTCTGGGTGGGGTCCGTTGGTTGCCAGAATGCAAAAGTCTGAAAAACATCTCAAAAGACCAACCTTAGGTCTTAGGAGAGTCATGTCATCTCTAGGAGCAATTGAGGAAGCCACAAATCTTGTGACCTCTGGCCACGTGACTCCTGAGTGTTAAGAAATTACAGAAAACAAGCTGGGGAACGATGGCTGGTTGATGTTTAGCTGTACCTGCATGTTGGCACAACCCCAGGCTCCTCCTAGCATCTGAATCTCGTGGCCTTTCATTAGTCTCACAAAGGCAGTTTCAGTCCCACACAAGGAGGGGAGCAATGTCAGGGAGGGACTATTATATCATCCTTGCTTTCAACTTAAACAATTAACTAACTCCCCCCCATGGTTAGCATGGCCTACACCCAGGAGCCAATGAGGACAGCCCGCCGGTGAGGACAGAGGTAAGATGGGGTCAGCCATGCCAGGCTTCTCTCTCTGTCAGAAGATCTTGCAGAGGCAGTTTCACTCATCCCCTCTTAGAGGACTGGTGGGGCATCCACTTACGGGGCTGAAAATAGCTGAGTGGAAAAGAAAAGTAGCTTAGAGCAGTCAGGGACCCACATCTGGGGGCAACTGTTGAAAGGTATTTTGATACTGATTGGCAACCTCACCCATTGTCTTCATGTTCCTGGAATTTGTGATACAAAGAACAATATGTAGCCAATCGATAGCATATGTTACTTTAATGTAACTTACTGGTAAACAACTTAGGAACTCTCTTTTTTCTCGTATAGAGAAGGGGTCTTGCTCTGTAACCCAGGGTGCTGAAGTGCAGTGGCACAATCATAGCTCACTGCAGCCTTAGCCTCCTGGGCTCAAGCAATCCTCCCACCTCAGCCTCCTGAGTAGCTGGTACACAGACAGGTACCACCATGCCTGGCTAATTTTTTACAATTATTTTTTGTGGAGATGGGGGTCTCATTATCTCTAAGGTAGCCCAGGCTGGTCTCAAACTCCTGGCCTCAAGCAGTCCTGCCACCTTGGCCTCCCAAAGTGCTGCATTACGAGTGTGAGCCACCACACAGACCATCCCTCTTCTTTCCCTTTGTTTCCCTTTCTTTCCTTCCAGCTTTTGCTTCTTTTTACAACTCACTTGTAACTGCTGCTAATCGGAGTCCACATTGGAGGCAACTTGTATCTATGTTCCTGGGCTGCAGTCCTCAAACTTGGGCCAAATAAACTCTCTGCTTATATTCATTTTGCCTTTCTTTTTCCCTTTGGGCCAATCTTCTGGGTTCTGTTGCGCTTTGCTCTTGTGGAGAGAGGGGAGCTGCAGGTTCAATGGCGAGAGGTGAGCCTCTACTGGGTGAATTCCCTGGGGCTGCGGTAATATGTGACCACACATTCAATTGCTTAAAACAACATGAATGTGTTGCCCTACAGTTCTGGGGGTCAGAAGTCCTCATGAGTCTCCCTGGGCTGAAACCAAGGCGTCACAGGGCGGGGTCCTTCTGCAGACGCTGGGGGAGGCTCTGTTCTAGCCCTGTCTGGCATTCCCTGGCTCGTGACCCATTCCAGCAATCACTTCATGCCAACCACTGCTCTGTCCTCAATTCCCTTCCCTGACTGACCCTCCTGGCTTCCCATCATAGGCACCCTGGGATGACATGGGGTCCATCACGTAACCCAGGATCGTCTCACCTGGCAAAATCCTTGACTTCATGACATCCGCAAGGTCCCTTCTGCTGTAAGGTAACGTAGTCCCAGGTTGCAGGGATTAGGGTGTGGCATCCTTGGTGGGAATTTTCTGCCTACCACAAGCGTATCTTTTATTTATTTATTTATTTATTTATTTATTTATTTATTTATTTTGAGATGGAGTCTCACTCTGTCACCCAGGCTGGAATGCAGTGGGATGATCTTGGCTCACTGCAACCCCCACCTCCTGGGTTTAAGCGATTCTCCTGTCTCCCAGCCTCCCAAATAGTTGGGAGTACAGGCTCACGCCATAATACCCAGCTAACTTGTATTTTGAGTAGAGACGGGGTTCCACCATGTTGGCCAGGCTGGTCTCCATCTCCTGACCTCAAGTGATCCACCCGCCTCAGCCTTCCAAAGTGCTGGGATTACAGGTATGAGCCACCGCACCCAGCCTGCATATCTTTTAAATACTTGAGAGACTGTCAGATTGAAGAAAGATCATATATGTGCTCGAGTGGATGAAATAATAAAATAAAGATATAGAAAGAAAAAAAAGAGCACGGTTTTGAGGGGATGCAGGAGCTATGGCTGAGTATTGTCAGCTCATATACCATTTAGGGAAGCTTCCTTAGGGTGCCTATAACCCCGGACAAGAGATGGTAACTACAGATGCTCCCCAACTAGGGACGAGGTTATGTCTCAGTAAGCCCCTGGTAGGTTGAAAATATGGAAAGTCGAAACTGCATTTAACACAGCCACCCTATGGAACACCATGTTTAGCCTTGCCTACCTTAACCACACTCACCTCAGAACACTCGCATGAGCCCACAGTTGGCAAAATCATGGGGCGGCACAGCCCACCGCAACGAGCAGGTGGCTCACTCTCATGGTCACGGGTGACGGAGCTGCCCTGTCCAGCTGTGCAAATCTCTGCTGTCCACTTTGCGCTGCTCTCCGCTGATGCCTACAGCTTCTGTGCCACCCGAAAGTCACGGTGTCAGCCGCAAGGCAGCTCATCCTGGCAGTCCCTGCCCTTACCTGCGGTGTCCCACCCTGCACAGCTCCTGTCCTGTCTCAGCCTGCGTCCCCTGAGATGCTGTTCTCAGGGCCACCGTGTCCCCAAAACGCAGTTGGCTGGTCTTGCCCCTGCTAGCTGCAAGGCTGGCACTGAGTCCTCAGAATGACGTCCAGGGCCCAGGCCAGGCGCCCCTGACCTTGGGGTCCTGGGGGAGGGTGAGGCAGGGCTGGTCAGCCAGGCTGACTCCCTGGGCAAGTCCCTACGGCCACACAAGAGCCCGGGGGCCTGCGTGCTGAGTCCAGCCGCCTCGAGGCTGCCCCAGGTGCCCCTGGGCTAGCGCAGCCCGGGGGGCTGTTATTCAAATCCCTCTTCCTCCTCCAGCCAGGGCCCTGCAGGCCTATGAGGCCAAGTCCTCCTCTCTCCCTCCAGCCCCTGGCAGCATGGAATCTGATGAATCAAAGTGGCTGCCACCTGGAACAGTCAGAGAACATGCCAAGCGCCATTAAGAAACTTTTATTTTAAAATAAATTTGTGCAACACAGGTGAGAGGAAGCCCTGCCTCTTCCTAGGGCTTCCAGGAGCCTAGCTGCCTGGAGCACTGGGGGCCCCTGTCGCCCATTTCCACACCTTCCGCAAGTCAACCCTGGTCCAGATTCCAGAGACATATTTCACAGTCAGTTTCTAACTGTCTGGAACAAAATGATCGAATGACCCTTTATCAGTGTGATTTTGGGCACACACGTGCGGACTTCCCTATGAGAAATAAATCAAGATCCTTAATGAACAAAGACCTGCGTGATTGCCAAAGCAATGAATTAGTTTGTGCACTACCTGCGGGATCACAAAAGTAGAGTAGTTACAATTAATGGATTTAATTTTAAATGTAAGGGCCTCCATACTGAAGTGCTAAAGCAGTCCATCTTGGCATTCTTATTACTCTTTAATGATAATTGATGTACCTGGGAGGGATGTCAGCTGCGTCCAGTTTTACACAGGTGTGAGGCCCCTCCCAGCTCCCCATTCCTGCTAGCGATCGCCAATGATCGGCAACATGGATTTGATGAAATCCAAATTTATTAGGGTTATTAAAAGTCGTTAATTATTTGGCACCATCTAGATTTCATTTGCTTCATCCTTAATGAAAATTGACAGCTTTATATTTTTAGGTGTAAAAAGTGGTATCTCTTTTTAAAGGCTTCCTGTCCTACTCGCAGGGCCACAGCCTCCGCCATCTTTCCCTCATTCCTGCCTCCAACCTTAACTCCCCTCTTCCCCCACTCCTCCCAGTATTGATTTGTAGCCTGTCCCCTTTCAAACAGACTTGTCGTTTGTCTTCCCTGTTGCTCCCTTTCATGGTCCCCGTGGAAACTCCCCGACCAAACCCAAGGACAATGGTTTCAGTCCAGACGTGGCCTCCGAGGGCGTGACTCCAATTTCCCATGGAAGGACAGACAGCGAGGACCCAGAGCCCCCACATCCTGGGAGGAGCAGTTCCCCTCCTGCCTGGTGTCATGGGCTGGGGCGGTGAGCAGTGGGAAAAACGAAGCCTTCTGTGAAGCCACTTCTGTAAATGAGAGGCTGGCCGAGCCATCTGTCCTCCGCTCCCTGGCCGAGTGTGGCAAGCGCGGGTGCAAACATTGTCAGGGGAGCCCTGATTGCAAGTCATCCCCAACACGTGACTCAGGCCAGGAACCCTCCTCCTAGAGGCCAAGGCCACCAGCTGTGGCTCTGTGCTAACATCTAGTTTTCCTCCAAAGCAGAAAGGTTGGTATGGTGGAGGAACACGCAATAAAGGCTGTAATTTCCCACCTGTGGCTGTGTCTCAGGCAGATACCGACTTTCGCATGCCAAGTGGGGACCCCGTTATTCATTCAAGCTAATTCCTGCCCTCTAAACATGTTCCTAATTAAAACAAAGGTGACTACACTCCCTAAACTTCTAACATTCTGATTTGGAAAGAGGACTTGTGATTACAGATGTTAAACATGGATAGCATGTCACACCACAGCCAGGCATTTTCTACCACAATTAGAAGTCCAAGCAGGGCCTGGACTTTTAGTTTTTGTACTAAAAATACAAAAACTAGCTGGGTGTGGTGGTGCGCCTGTAGTCCCAGCTACTCAGGAGGCTGAGGCATGCGAACTCCTTGAACCCAGGAGGCGGAGGTTGCAGTGATCAGAGATCGCGCCACTGCACTCCAGCCTGGGCAATAGAGTGAGACTGTTTCAAAAGAAAGAAAAAAAACCACAAAGTTTATTTTATTTTCATAAGAATGTAATGTAGTCCCCTCACCAAGGATGCCTACCTTGAAACTTCCAGAGAGAAACAGCTTCTTAATGTAATTTTCCCCAATGGAACAGCGTATTGTATGGGACGCAGGAATTCTGACCGTTAGTACTTGTCTACTCCGGATTTCCCAGGGCCACTAACCAGCCAGCCAGAGTCAACCGTGGCCATCCTGATGAGGCAGCTTGACCAGCAGTTATGGACCAGTTCTACGTGAGCAACTCTGTTTCTGCAAAGGGTGAGCGTGGCACTCTCGACCTGACACCAGGTTCTGTCATTGAGGACTCACTGGGCAGCCCTTCTGGGGATTCAGTGAATGGAATGAAATCAGGTGGAATTCATGGGACAATGCACGTCACTCCAGGACTAGAAGTTACTTACGTTAGCTTTGAAACACATTCAAGTCAGACGTCCTGTGGTGGTCTGAGCAGAAAAGTTGTGCAGATCTTCAGCCAGGAAGATCTGTGACCATCCTGTATGTAATTAGATATCTCAACGCCACACAGTCCTTCTTCATCCCGGAAAAGGCAGCCTTTCAGCGTCTCGGTTGCCAGAGTGCCGTATTCAACGATTACAACCTCATGTTTACCGGCTTTGCTAAGCAGCGGCTATAGCAGCAAAGTCGGTTGATAGAAATGAAGGAAAATGCAAAACAAGAACGCAGAAGAAGGTGGTGGCTGCCTTCCGGATATCCACGCCGAGGGCCGTGCTGTCCGTGAGCACCGCCTTGTAGTTGCCGGAGCCGTGGGTGCGCTCATCGTCAATAGCAAGCCCTACTGTATGCCAGCGCGAGCCCTTGCATGCACATTCTTCTGCGTTTAGGTATTTCTGCCACTCCAACCGAGAAAGTGAGGTGCATATGAGAAAAGCCTCTTGCTACGTAGAACCTTACGCTTCTGAAAACAATTCAACTTGGTTTGTGCAGAGTGGAGCATTTCTCCAGGTTTCACCCCAAATTCCCCACACAGGAGGCTGCTTTCTCATTAGGTGTTGGCCTCTCCCCTAGATTCTCTACTGATGTCATTAAACCAATTTCTTTTTCATATAGATTTTTGTCAAAGTAGAGTTTTTCTTCCAAAAACAAAAAAGAGAGCAGAAAGTTAGAGCAAATACTATTTCTCTACTGAGTTTCAAATATACATTTTTAAAAAGTTACAGCAACTTGAAAGACTCAAAGAGAAAGCTTCAATCTGAATTTAAAGAAACTTCCAGTTCCAAAATTTACTATAAGTAGCCAGTGGGTGAAATGCAACCTACAAATGAGTTTTACTTTTATCTGGACAGTGTCTTATTCACCTCATTTTTATTTTCAAAATGTTCAGATTTCCAGGAAATTTAAAAAATAGTACAAGGATTATCCATATATCCTGCCCCCCAATTCACTGCTAGTTAACATTATGGCACATTTGCTTTCTTCTACCTAGTCACGTGTAGCTAAATGTGTGTAGTCCTGGGGTGCAAATGTATAGACACAGGTGTAGGGGAATGTGGACCAGGGGATGCTTGTATATATGTGGGTGTGGGTGTGTGAGCGTGTATATATGTAGGGGTGGGCATGTGGGCGTGTGTATAGGTAGATGTGCACATGTGGGTGTGTATATACGTAGGTGTGGGAGTGTGGTGTGTATCTATATTGGGGTCAGTGTGTGGGTGTGTATCTATATAGGGGTGGGCGTGTGGTGTGTATATATGTAGGGGTGGGTGTGTGGGTGTGTATCTGTGCAGGGGTGGGTGTGTGGTGTGTATATATGTAGGGGTGGGTGTGTGGGTGTGTATCTGTGCAGGGGTGGGTGTGTGGTGTGTATATATGTAGGTGTGGCTGTGTGGTGTGTATATACATAGGGGTGGGCGTGTGGGTGTGTATATATGTAGGGGTGGGCGTGTGGTGTGTATATATGTAGGGGTGGGTGTGTGGTATGTATCTATATAGGGGAGTGTGTGGTGTGCATCTATGTAGAAGTGGGTATGTGTGTGTGTATATACGTAGGGGTGGACGTGTGGCTGTGTATATATGTAGGGGTGGGTGTGTGGCCTGTATCTATATAGGGGTGGGTGTGTGGTGTATATATATGTAGGGGTGGGTGTGTGGTGTGTATTTAGTCCATTCTCACATTGCTATAAAGAACTACCTGAGGCTGGGCGCAGTGGCTCACACCTATAATCCCAGCACTTTGGGAGGCTGAGGTGGGCAGATCACCTGAGGTCAGGAGTTTGAGACCAGCCTGACCAACATGGTGAAACCCCATCTCCACTAAAAATACAAAATGAGTCAGGCATGGCAGTGCATGCCTGTAATCCCAGCTACTAGGGAGGCTGAGGCAGGAGAATGGCTTGAACCTGGGAGGCAGAGGTTGCAGTAAGCTGAGGTCATGCCATTGCACTCAAGCCTGGGCAACTAGAGCAAAACTCCATCTCAAGGGGAAAAAAAAAAAGAAAAAAAGAACTACTTGAGACTGGGTAATTTATAAAGAAACGAAGTTTAATTGACTCACAGTTCTGCAGGCTGTACAGGACGGGAGGAGAGGCCTCAGGAAACTTACAATCATGCTGGAAGGTGAAGGGGAACAATGCACATCTTACATGGCCAGAGAAGGAGGAAGAGAAGAAAGGGGGAGTAAGGGAGAGGTGATACATACTTTTTTTTTTTTTGGATGGACTTTTGGCTCTGTTGCCCAGGCTGGAGTGCAATGGCATGATCTCGGCTCACTGCAACCTCCACCTCCTGGGTTCAAGTGATTCTTGTGCCTCAGCCTCCTGAATAGCTGGGATTACAGGCGCTTGCACCATGTCTGGCTAATTTTTGTATTTTTAGTAGAGATGAGGTTTCACCACATTGGCCAGGCTGGTCTCGAACTCTTGACCTCAGATGATCCACCCTCCTCAGCCTCCCAAAGTGCTGGGATTACAAGTGCAAGCCACCGCTACACACTTTTAAACAACCAGATCTCATGAGGACTCACTCAGTATCATGAGAACAGCAAGGGGGAAATCTGCCCACGTGATTCAATCACCTCCCACCAGGTCCCATCTCCAACATTGGGGATTATGATTCAACATGAGATTTCAGTAGAGACACAATCCAAACCATATCATTCTGCCACTGACCCCTCTCAAATCTCATGTCCTCACATTTCAAAATATAACCATGCCTTCCCAATAGTCCTCCAAAGTCTTAACTCATTCCAGCATTAACTCAAAAGTCCAAAGTCTCTTCTGAGACAAGGCAAGTTCCTTCTACCTATAATACTGTGAAATCAAAACCAGTTAGTTACTTCCAAGATACAGTGGGGATACAGACATTGGCTAAATACTCCCATTCCAAAGGGAAGAAATTGGTCAAAACAAAGGGGCTATAGGCCCCATGCAAGTCCAAAACCCAGCAGGGTAGTCATTAAGTCTCAAAGCTTTAAAATAATCTCCTTTGCCTCCATGTCTCACATCCAGGCAACATTGATGCAAGGGGTGGGCTCCCAAGGCCTTGGGCAACTCTGCCCCTGTGGCTCTGCAGGGTACAGCCCCCACGGCTGCTCCCAGTGGCTGGTATTGACTGCCTACTGTTTTTCCAGGTACATGGTACAAGCTGTCAGTGGATCTACCATTCTGGGGTCTGGAGGACAGTGGTCCTCTTCTCACCGCTACACTAAGCAGTACCTCAGTGGCGACTCTGTACAGGGGCTCCAACCCCACATTTCCCTCCCACATTGCCCTAGTAGAGGTTCTCCATGAGGGCTCTGCCCCTGCAGTGGACTTCTGCTTGGACATTCAGGCCTTTTCATACAACCTCTGAAATTTAGGTGGAGGCTCCCAAGCCTCAACTCTTGCCCTCTGGGAACCCACAGGCTTAACACCATGTGGAAGCCATCATAGCTTGTGGCTTGCACCCTCTGAGCAGCAGCCTGAGACATCTGTGGGTCTCTTTTAGCCACAGCTGGAGCTGGAGTTTTTGGGACACAGGGAGCAGTGTCCCAAGGTTGTGCAAGGCAGTGGGGCCCTGGGCCTGGTCTGTGAAACCATTCTTCCCTCCTAAGACTCCAAGCCTGTGATGGGAGGGGCTGCTGAGAAGGTCTCTGAAATGCCTTCTGGGAATTTTCCCTATTGTCTTGGCTATTAACATTTGGCTTCCCTTTACTTATGCAAATTTCTGTAGCTGGCTTGAATTCCTCCCCAGAAAATGGGTTTTTCCTTTCTACCACATGGTCAGGCTGAAAATTTTCTAAATTATTATGCTGTACTTCCCTTTTAAATATAAGTTCCAGGGCAGGCATGGTGGCTCATACCTGTAATCCCAACACTTTGAGAGGCCAAGGCCAGTGGATCACTTGAGGTTAGGAGTTTGAGCCCAACTTGGCCAACATGGCGAAACCTTGTCTCTACTAAAAATACAAAAATTATCTGGGTGTAGTGACACACACCTATAGTCCCAGCTACTTGGGAGGCTGAGGCAGGAGGATCGCTTGAACCCAGGAGGCAGAGGCTACAATGAGCTGAGGTTGCACCACTGCACTCCAGCCTGGGAGACAAGGTGAGACTCTGACTCGAAAAATATATAAATAACATAAGTTCCAGTTTTAGGTCATCTCATCGCTCATGCATATGACCATATGCTGTTAGAAGCAGCCAGGCTACATCTTGAATGTTTTGCTGCTTAGAATTTTTTTTTTTTTTTTTTTTTTTTTTTTGAGACAGAGTCTTGCTCTGTTACCCAGGCTGTAGTGCAGTGGTGCAATCTTGGCTCACTGCAACCTCTGTCTCCCGGGTTCAAGTGATTCTTATGCCTCAGCCTCCTGGGTAGCTGGGATTACAGGTGCCCGCCACCACGCCTGGCTAATTTTTGTATTTTTAGTAGAGATGGGGTTTCACCATGTTGGACAGGCTGGTTTCGAGCTCCTGACCTCAGGTGATCCACCCCCCTTGGCCTTCCGAACTGCTGGGATTATGGGAGTGAACCACCATACCCGGCCAGGTACTTAGAAATTTCTTCTGCCAGATACTCTAAATCATCACTCTCAAGTTCAAAGTTCCACAGATCCCTAGAGCAGGGGCACAATGCCTCCCATCTCTTTGCTAAAGCATAGCAGGACTGATGTTTACTTCAATTCCCAATGAGTTCCCGATCTTCATCTGAGACCTCCTCAGCCTGGACTTCATTGTCCAGGTCACTATCAGCATTTTGGTCACAGCAATTTAATAAGTCTCTAGGAAGTTCCAAACTTTCCTTCATCTTCCTGTCTTCTTCTAAGTCCTCCAAACTGTTTCAACCTCTGCCCATTACTCAGTTCCAAAGTCACTTCCACACTTTCAGGTATCTTTATAGCAATGCCCCACTTCTTGGTACCAATTTTCTATATTAGTTCATTCTAGCATTGCTATAAATAACTACCTGAGACTGGGTAATTTATTTTAAAAAGAGGTTTCATTGAGTCACAGTTCCACAGGCTGTACAGGAAGCATGGCTGGGGAGGCCTCAGGAAATTTACAATCATGGCAGAAGGGGAAGGAGGCACATCTTACCTGGCAGAAGAAGGAATAGAGGAAAGGAAGAGGCGCTACACACTCTTAAACAACCAGATCTCATGAGAACTCACTCATTATCACAACAGCAGCAAGGGAGAAATCTGCCCCCATGATCCAATCACCTCCATCTGGCCCCTCCTCCAACATTGGGGATTACAATTTGGCATGAGATTTGGGAAGGGACACAGATTCAAACCATATCAGTGGATTTGTATATGTGTAGGGGTGAGTGTGTGGATGAGTACATACATGTAGGTTCAGGTGTGGCAGTGTGGACACATATATATGTAGGTATGGCTGTGTGTTTGCCCTTTTTTTTTTCTTTTGCTGAACCATTTGAAAGTCAATGCCAAACATCAAGACTGCTCACCTGTAAACCCTTGGCCAGCAGGTATCTCCTAAAACTAGGGCATTCTCCTGCATCCCTTCAATCACACTGTCACACCAAAGACAACAGGCATTTCCACAATATCACACAATGTGCCACCATCCACATTCACATTTTCCCAATTCTCCCTACACATCATTTAAGGTTGACTTTACATTTTTTCAATTTTTAAATTTTTTTATTTTTCTGAGATGGAGTTTTGCTCTTGTTGCCCAGGCTGGAGTACAATGGCACAATCTCGGCTCACTGCAACCTTTGCATCTTGGGTTCAAGTGATTCTCCTGCCTCAGCCTCCTAAGTAGCTGGGATTACAGGTGTGTGCCATGACGCCTGGCTAATTTTTGTATTTTTAGTAGAGGCAGGGTTTCACCATGTTGGCCAGGCTGCTTTTCAACTCCTGACCTCAGGTGATTTGCTCGCCTCAGCCTCCCAAAGTGCTGGGATTACAGGCATGAGCCACCACGCCCTGCCGGTTGACTTCTTAATATGTCAAGATCCACTCATGATTCGTACTTTGCACTTGGGGGTCCCTCCGGTGTCTCTTACAGGCCAGAGGCCCAGTGTGTTGGGAGTCCAGGCTGTGCCTCCAGCTACCTCCCAATGGGATGCCTGTGATGGGTGCAACTGAGGTGAAGCTGACACTGAAGATCATCTTTTTGCGTGGGCAAGGGGTTGATGTGCTCTCTCTCCCTCCCATCCTGCTCTCTTGGAGCCAGCCCACTTTCCTCTTCACATTCCCTGCCTGGACCCCTGGAATCGGATTCAGGGAGGGCTGGAGTCCACAGTCAAGTCGTCTGGCCTGGGAAGCAGTGCCTTAGAGGCCTGGAGGTGACCCTCATCATGCAGTGACCTGGCCAAACCCATTCCACCAAGCTGACCCCTCTAGGGGGCTGCAAGGTAGTATCGGGGCTCCAGGCGTCCCAGCTCCACACTTGCAGGTTCCCAGAAGAGAAAGCCATGAATTCCAGCAGAACTCCCAGAAACATGGAAATAGCACAACTCTACCTAACGTATCCATAATGCAACATTTTATCAACATGTTTGCATATACTGTCTAATTTTCAAAAACAGCCCTCTGAGGTAAGCAACATTGTCCTCATTTTGCTAACGGGACACCCTCAGGGAGATGAGCGTGAATTTTCAGAAACAGACAGTGACCGGCACTCGGGTGGTGAGAACCTGGGTGTTTGGACATTGGACAATGTTCACTTAACAACCTCCTGAGACCGCCCAGATGCAGACAGGAGGAAGATCATTCTAGCTCTTTCTGGTTGGCCTTAGAGCTGAAGGAGTAAGCGGTCACTTGGCATGGCTGGTGGCGGCTCATGTCACATAGCAGAGCTTTCCCTCCATGGAAGCAGATCTCATCTAACGTTGAAAGCGCACCCACACTCTCAGGAGACCGCTGGGGTTTACAGATGATGTGTATATTTAAAAGCGTTACTTGGCCACCATTTTGTGTTAGCAAGGTCGATGGACCTATTGATGTGCTTATGCTTATTTTGACACTTATGTTAGTCAAATTTCATTAAAATATGTCAGCTAACTTTTTTTTTTTTTGAGACAGGGTCTCACTCTGTTGCCCAGGCTGGAGTGCAGTGATGCAATTATGGCTCACTGCAGCCTCGACCTCCCAGGCTCAGGTGATCCTCCCACCTCAGCCTCCAGGGTAGCTGGGACTACAGGTATGCACCACCATGCCCAACTAATTTTTTTTTTTAATATGAAGTATTGTTTTATTGCCCAGGCCAGAGTACAGTGGCACAATCTCAGCTCATTGCAACCTCTGCCTCCCAGGCTCAAGTGATTCTCCTGCCTCAGGCTCCTGAGTAGCTGAGACTACAGGCACAAGCCACCATGCCTGGCTAATTTTTTTGTATTTTTAGTAGAGACAGAGTTTCACCATGTTGGCCAGGCTGGTCTTGAACTCCTGACCTCAGGTGATCCACCCATCTCAGCCTCCCAAAGTGTTAGGATTACAGACATGAGCCACTGTGTCCAGCCCCAACTAATTTTTTGTATTTTGTAGTTGAGATGGGGGTTTTGCCATGTTGCCCAGGCTGGTCTTGAACTCCTGAGTCAAGCAATCCTCCTGCCTCAGCCTCCCAAGGTGCTGGGATTGATTACAGGTGTGAGTCACTGTTCCTGGCTTATGTCAACTAATTCAAAAGGAATCAGACAGAGAAATTCTAAATGGCTGAGTAACCTGCTTAAATAATGCAGCTTCTTCTTCATGGTTGGCCCTGGTGGGTATAAGTTGACGAAGGAACTGCCCCTGCC
The DNA here is from genome assembly GCF_000001405.40 of Homo sapiens. Taxonomy (NCBI): domain Eukaryota; kingdom Metazoa; phylum Chordata; class Mammalia; order Primates; family Hominidae; genus Homo; species Homo sapiens. The sequence continues at coordinate 157,080,395 of NC_000007.14, read as the reverse complement.
TGGAGGGGCTCATGTTCCAGTCCCACGGCAGCCTGTGGACGGTGCCCGTGGAGCAGTGTGACACGAGAGGCCACAGTGATGCGGAGAGGGGCCAGGGCTGCCCATCAGCGGCTCCCGGGCATCAAGGGGACAGCTGTGGGACTTCTTCAAGAGGACTTGATTCACAAGCAGCCCTGAGAGGTGACATTTTAGTTATGTGTTGTACCTCATCAGGAAAGACAGAGGACGCAATAGAGGGCTGAAGGCATGGGAGTAGACCTGCCTCACAATTTCACCCCGAGCCTGTCCTGCAAAAGCAAAAATCCAAGCATGTGTTTATTTTTTACCAAAAGCAGGTATATTCCTGAACAAGGCTATGTTTATTTTAAAAAATTTATTTTTATTTTTATTTTTTTTGAGACAGAGTCTTGCTCTGTCGCCCAGGCTGGAGTCCAGTGGCACCATCTCAGCTCACTGCAAGCTCCGCCTCCCGGGTTCATGCCATTCTCCTGCCTCAGCCTCCTGAGCAGCTGGGATTATAGGGACAGGTCACCACACCCAGATAATTTTTGTATTTCAGTAGAGACGGGGTTTTTTCATGTTGGCCAGGCTGGTCTTGAACTCCTGACCTCAGTGATCTGCCCGTCTCAGCCTCCCAAAGTGCTGGGATTACAGGTGTGAGCCACTGTGCCTGGCCAAGCCTATGTTTAGAAGGGAGTACCAGAGCGATTCCCAAAGCTTCCCCGACTATAAAAATGTTAACCAGTGAAGCCATCTGGGGTCAGGCTGAAGGCATTTATCTAAAGACACACGGCCATTGCTCAAGGAGAACATGGGCTGTGTAAACGTGAAGGTGTAACAGGAGGAAACCAGGTGTTAAAAACTGCAGGAGACACAGTCACCACTCACTCCGTGTTCTGCCTGGCCAATGAAGAAAGGAGAAAAGAACACTTTCCCAGTGGTTTAGCCATAAATTTTGTGATAAATAGGACACCTATTAAATTAACTATATGTGATATTAAAGTGATTAGGTTTGCAGGAAAAAAAAAATCATCAGCCGAAAGTCACTGCAGCCCGGCAGTGGCCCAGTTTCCACCTGATGTCTGGGCAAGGCTGGCGCTCTCTGGCAGACCGGCTTCCAGGCACTCCTGTGATTCTCAATTAGGTAGAAAGTTTAGGAGCAACACGAATTATGGGAGGAGAGTAGCTTCATCAGTCATTTCCCGCAGGGACAGTGGCAATTTGAAGAGCTTTAGCACTTTGAAGGTCAAGACTAAAAACCAAGTAATTTATTACCACTGATTTAGGGATTAACATTGTGCCAATTAATCAATTACTTGATGTGAAGAATTGACAATTAATTGACATTTCAGTTCCAATCTGGCAAAGCTGTTTGATTTCCATAGTGAATAATATGAGATCTCTACATTGAAAGGTTATGAGGGTTTCTTCCGAGCTCAAAATGAAAAAGAAATTTAAAAGATACTAAGAAAAAGCATTCACAAAATACAGATATGGGAAATACAGGCCCCGGTTGTGTTTTCACTAGCGAGCAAATCAATCTCACTGCTCAGTAGAGCTGAAGCGTTGTAAAAGTGAGGACCTTTTCTTATTGGCAACGTATGGGTGGGTGTTTGCCCCGCTAGATTCTTTAGTCGGTTCTCTCTGCAGGGGGTCATGAGTTTAAAAACCCCTTATTGCCAAGAGCTTTGAAGATGAAATCTCTGTAGCATTCAAAGCCCTCCTCTACAAGGACACCTGGTCTGCAAACCGGGGGTTTTCTCGGGGTTCACAGGCCAGTGTTCAGATCCCCCGCCTCTGGAGCTCGGGCGCTGTGCACGGGAGTCAGGGCCAAGCCTCAGGTCAGCACAACCGCGTCCTAACTGTCCGGCCGGGGTAAGATCGCGCCTGCGAGGACGGGAAGCCGCCGCGGGCCTGGGAGGAGGAAGCCCGAGCGCCCAGCCGGGCCACACGCGCGGGCAAGAGCCGGGAGCTGAAAACACAAGGACGCCTGGAGTCCCCGCAGACAGGCAGAGCGCGCCCGGGAAGCCACGCGAGGAAGGGAGGGCAGGGGATAGCTTCGGATTTAGGGGAGCCCTCTGCTCTCTGCACCTCGTGGGTTCGCTTCCCGTCCCTGCCCCCAAGCTTGCCTGACAAGGACTCTCTGACTTCGGTGTCCCCAACCTCAGCGTGGGCTGGGCCTCTCCCTCCCCAGCGTCTCCTGCTGCGCTTGCTCTTGTTCCACCAGAAGAAAGGAGGCACCCAGGACACTGAAGACGGCCGGGGGCGGAGACTGGCGGGCCTCGCATCTCCCTCTAAGGAAAGGAGTGAAAACCAGTCAGGCTTTGGCCCCGGACACTGGGATTCTGGAACCACACTGGCAAAGGCACTGGGCTTCCCAGAACCCAGCCAGGCAAAGGGACCAGCAACTCAACGCAGGGAACATTGGGTTCTCGATAAAAAATAGCTGGAAAATACAATGACAAAAGACAATTCTAAAACGGGTGGGAGGCCAGGTGCAGTGGCTCACACCTGTAATCCCAGCCCTTGGGAGGCCGAGGTGGGAGGATTGCTTGAGCCCAGGAGTTCCAGACTAGCCTGGGCAATGTAGTGAGAACCCATCTCTACAAAATATTAAAAAATTAGCCAGGCATGGTGATGCGTGCCTGTAGTTCCAGCTACTCGGGAGGCTGAGGCTGAGGCAGGAGGATCACTTGAGTCCAGGAGTTCAAGCCTTCAGTGAGCCATTTTTGCACCACTGCACTCCAGCCTGGGTGACAAAGTGAGACTCTGTCTCTCAAAAAATAAAATAATAAAATAAAACGTGTGTGGGAGTTACTAGTGACTCTTCTATTCTCACAGTGCTCATATGAGACCACCAATGAGTCCCGTCGTATGAGTCCAACACCCTCTTTTCTTCCCAAGGTACTCTTTTTTTTTTTTTTCCAGGCTCACTCATTTCCTTGGCTTAGGAAAAATAAAAAAAAGCCAGTGAAGTTCCTGTAGTGAGGATTTGGGGAAGGAAGGGAGACACAGGAAGGCTACAGAGTGTGTTCCTTGTCAGGCGGCCGCGCTCTGGCCATCAGGACACGCACTGCTGCCCTCCGGGACTGTTGTCTTACCCTCGGCCCACTCAGGCCACAGGCTCTGCCTCTGATGAGCCACTGTCTGCTGGAGGCAGAAGTGAGGGCTGGGGCCCCCCTTATCAACACGGTCAGGACTGGAAGCCACGGCCAAGGTGGGAACACAGGAATGAGAAGGAGAGAGGCTCCTCGTCCTGGTGAAGGCCAGGGCTGCAGAGGTCAGAGTCGTTGCCCAAACAGCTCAGCATGAGGGTGACAGGACAGGAGTTGAGGAGGCATGAGAGTCAAGCGTAGGCCAGAAGAAGGAATGGAGAGGATGCTGGCTCTGGCCAGAGCAGACCATGGCCAACACTCGGTCCTCCCCAGGCTTATAGAGGGACCACTGCACTGGTCCAGCCCCATGCTCGCTCCTGAGATCCTGTACCCGTGAGGACTGCAACCCCCTGCAAGTAACAGAAAGCTTTCCCAACAGTGGCTTCAGCACCTGCAGCCCCTTCGTATCACATTACAAGAAGTTCTGATGTTGGCAACCCATGGCAGGTGCAGCAGCTCAAAAATACAGCCAGGGACTCACACCCTTTCTGTCTGTCTGCTCCGTCCTCCCTGGTGAAGGTGCTTCCAGCCTCATGGATGTCACTTGGTGGTTCCAAGGAGCAGGCTGGGCTGGGGGCGGTGGCTCACACCTGTAACCCCAGCACTTTGGGAGGCTGAGGCAGGAAGATTGCCTGAGCCCAGGAGTTCAAGACCCGCCTAGGCAACATAGCAAGATCCTGTCTCAACAAAACATTTTAAAATGTAGCCGGGTGTGGTGGTGCGAGCCTGCAGTCCCAGCTACTAGGGAGGCTGAGGTGGGAGGATCACTTGAGCATGAGAGAGCAAGGCTGCAGTGAGCTTGGATCGTGCCACTGCACTCCAGACTGGGCAACAGAGTGAGACTCTGCCTCAAAAAACAAAGATGCAGGCTGGCTGCCTATCCAGGAGTTACACCTGCCCTGGTTCCAGACAGAGAAAAGAAGGGAAGGGAAGGAAGGGGAGGAAGGAGTGCGCTCTGTGTCAGGCTAGCAGAACCTTCCCAGACATCGCACCTCTACTTCTATTCATGTCTCGCTGGTCAGAGCTGTGCCACATGGTCACTTGAACTGTCCCAGACATCCTGCCCATACCTCACCTCACATCCCATCGGTCAGAATGGTGAGACATGGCCCCCACAGCTGCAAAGAGTCTTTGGCAGGTTGGCGTTTTAGTCAGGCATATTTCCCCTCCTCCAAAATTAGAGTTCTTTTAGTAAGGAAGTGCTTAGGCCTCAGGTGCAACGTGTAGGACTATAATTTCAGACACTGGTGCTAGGGAATCTGGTAAAAGCTGGGGTGGAAGGTGGGGAGGGCCGATTCCATAGAGGAGAGGGGCAGACACGCAGGTGTCCCCATGGGCTTTGCTGCTCAGGGCAGGAAAGACCTCAGTCATGCCCACGACACACTGTGACCTGGAAATCGTAAGTCCCCACAGGGACGCTCAGCTCCTAGACCAAATTGTTCTTTAAGCAAATTACAGAGAGAGGCCAATTGTATCATTTCTCTTAATTAACAAACCAATTTCTTTCAGAGGCTGAGAGTCCAAAAATGAAATCTGTCATCCCAAGTTCTCTTCCAGCTGCCTCTCCAAGCAGAGAGAGGGAAAGGTGCAGATGGAATGCACCCCACCGAGCATTTGCATCCAACCCACCCGATAGAGACGGGGAGCCAGCAGAGCATTAGCGTTTAAGGAGCCCGTTAATGTCTGGAAACCCAAACAGTCGCAGAACAGCAATAAAGTAGCTCTTCAAATGTTGCTGGAGAATGTCCATAAAGAGGATATAATGAAAAGGACTGCCCAAATGTGCAAGGATAATATAGTTAATGTATTACTTCTTTTATTATTTTATCATCTTTCATTAATTGCTGGCAGCACGCCTGCAGGAGTTGGTTCTATGGAAAGGGCTTTTAGTTAAATGTCTTAAATGAAACGACCACTTAGAACCTACGAACAAGGTTGAACCAAGGTTCACTTGACTTCAGTAAATCTTGTCTGAAGGGGGTACAGGGAGGGAAGGAGGGGATCCATTCTGGGATGGGCTAGCAGTGCAAGTGCTTAGACACACCCAGAGGTGTCAAAACTGTTTCAAATTTTGAAGCAGGATGATGTGATAAAAAAAAAAAACCACAACCTACCCTGTCATCTGCCATTCCTAACCCACTGTATGACCTCGGACAAGTGACTTTCAATCTCTGAGCCTCAATCTCCTCCTTCTCTGCTGCAGCTCACTCAGCGATGACTTTCCCTGACACCACGCTAATTGCTTAGTGATTTAAGGGTCAGCAGATGATTGTTAAATAATGAGGAAGGTGGTGAGGTTGGAGAGGAGAATGGGGTATAAACCTAAACCAAAACATGGCCCCAGAACATGGGTGTGGGCTGCTGAGGACTTGCTGACGCTCCACTCCTTAAAGCCCCAAGCTGCCCTTTATCCTCACCACGTTCTCCATCCCTCTCTGTAGACAGCAGAACACCATGGCATTAGGCCCATAGGTGCCAAGATGCCCTTACTGTGGTTGCATTTGGTAACCCATCAGCCTCCTCTTCTTACCAGTCTAGAAAAATAAAAATAAAAACGCTGGCTGCTCTGCCGATGGAGTAGCCATTCTTTTATTCTTTTACTTTCATAATATAACAAAATTAAAAATAAGTAAAAATGCTGCCAACTCCTAATTCAGCACCTTGACACTCCTCTCTTTTCATACTTTTCTGATTTCCTTTCATACAAAGCCAACATTTATAAAGCATCTACTGTGTGCCTCACACCCCAAGAGACATCGGAGAAGGTGGCAGCTGCCGAGATGCAGGCAGCGAGGATCCCAAGCCGCTTTTTAGGCCATGGCAGTGGGATGGAGCTTGAGGACACAGTTGGCTTGAGAAGAGGGAGCTGCCACAGCACTGGGTGTCCATGTGGGTGAGGAGGTAGAGGGAGAGGAAGGAGCTGAGGATGCTCCTAGACCTGAAGTTTTCAGGCTTGACCTTGGGATCTGCTGGACATTTCCATTTGGCTATCCCATGAATACACCAAAACCACCAAGTTCAAGCGGAATGAATCAACTTCTCCCCAAAATGAATTCTCCTTCAGACATTCTGATTCCCCTACAATTTTCTTATTCAGCAAGTTGTAGTGCTGCCTACACTACAGCACCGCCTAACCCCTGGCCTCCTGTTCAATCCCCTATCTCCGTCTAAGCAAGAGATGACTGGACTATAGGCTGGTATAATGCCCAACACCATGAAGCTTTAATGCAAGTAGATGGACCATAATGGGTTTAACTGGAATGATTCAAATTCTTTCTTGGCTAAAATCTTTCCTATTTATCAGTTCCATTTCCCCACTTTAATTCCAGTCTAAAATAGACCCTCTCCTGTCACTATTTATCTTACTATCTGCTATGGTTTGAATGTGGTTTGTTTGTCTCCACCAAATTGCATGTTGAAATTAATCCCCCATGTGGTGGTTGGGAGGTGGAGCCTAGTGGGAGATGTCTGGGTCAGGGGGATGGATCCTTCATGAATGGGTTGGTGCTGTTCTTGTGATAGTGACTGAGTTCTTGCTCTCGGGAAACTGGATTGGTTCTTGAGGTAATGGATTAATTCTCATGAAAGTGGGCTGTAAGCCAGGACATCCCTTAGGTTTGGCTCCTCTTTGCACATGACTGCTTCCCACTGGAACTTCTCTGCCATGTTTTGATGCAACAGAAAAGCTCTTACCAGAAGCTGACCAGATGTTAGCACCCATGCTTCTTGTACAGCCTGCAGAACCATGAGCCAAATAAACCTCTTTTAGTTGTAAATTACCCAGACTCGGGCATTCCTTCATAGCAACACAAAACAGACTAGGACAACATCTCATTTCATTGCTTTAAAAATAATTTTTGCTATCTGAAATTACTGTGTGCATTTGTTTACTTTTACATTACACGCCTTTTTTTTTTTTTTTTTTTTGACAGAGTCTCACTGTCACCCAGGCTGGAGTGCAGTGGCACGGTCTCAGCTTACTGCAACCCTTCTTCCTAGGCTCAAGCAATCCTCCCATCTCAGCTTCCTGAGTTGCTGGGACTACAGGTTCACGCCAGCACACCCAGCTAATTTTTTTTTTTTTTTATAAAGGCGGGATTTTGCTATGTTGCCCAGACTAGTCTTGAACTCCTGAGCTCAAGCAATCTGCCTGCCTCGGCCTCCCAAAGTGCTGGGATTGTAGGCATGAGCCACTGCTCCTGGCCCTATTTTTTTTCTTTAATTTTTTTAAAAATATTTTTATTTAATTAATTTATTTATTTTAGAGATGGACTCTTACTCTGTCACCCAGGCTGGAGTGTAGTGGCACAATCCTGGCTCACTGCAACCTCTGCCTCCTGGGTTCAAGTGATCCTCTTGGGTTCAAGCCTCTCGAGTAGCTGGGACTGTAGGCATGTGTCACCTCACCCAGCTAATTTTGGTATTTTTAGTAGAAACGTGGTTTCACCATGTCGGCCAGGCTAGGGTCAAGCTCTCTCAGGTGATCTGCCTGCCGTGGCCTCCAAAGTGCTGGGATTACAGGCATGAGCTACCGTGTTCGGCCTGACTTATACATTACGTGTCTTTTCCAAGTAGAATGTTAATTTAATGGTGGCAATGACTTTATCTATTATATTCCTTGTTGTATTTTCAGGGCTTGCTATATAGCAGGAGCTCAATAAATACTTGTTGAATTAATGATGTCATCTCCTTTCCTTTAATATTCCTTTTTAGGAAATTCACACTGGGTCCCCCACTCCCAGGACACCACAGCATGTCATCAATGTGAGAACAGAGCCACCATCTGAGTGCATCTTGCCCTGAGTCCCAATAGCCCCCACATCACCACATCCCTGGGACCCCACTTACAGTCCTCCACATCTACACAGAAGACTGCGGCATTACAACACCAGCTGGACCCAGCAGTGCAGCCATGACTCTGGCACCTGAGCATCAGTGTGCACTTGAAGGCATAGGCAGTCCGGCACAGAGAGGAGATTGCCTCCAGGACAGTGGAAGCTGATGCACTTGCTCCCCAGAACCTGAGAGCTGCTTGACTGGGACCCACTGCTGGCCTCACTAGTGACCCTGCCCCCTCCAAAGGTGGAGTCACCAGATACCTGCACATACCCACTGCAGGGCCTGAGGACTGGCCTGTCCAGCATCCCTGCTCCCAACACAGCCATCCTATAGCTTTCACAAACAACTGCAGCCTAGGCCACCCGGGCACTCACAGACACCACTGACACTGATTATGGTTGAAGAAATCAAATGAAGACTATACTACTATGGCTACCCAGAACCAAAGGCAAAGTACCTTACCCAATTGACACCACTGGACACATCTACAGGAAAAATCTTTCCTTACAAAAGCTACTCCATTAAAGTTGGAAGAAGTGGCTGTTCCACCAGATGTGCAGATATCAACATAGGGACACAAGAAACCTGAAAAAGCAAGGAAACAGAATATCTTCAAAGGAACACAATAATCCTCTAGTAACTGACTTCAAAGAAAAAGAAATCTATAAAATGCCTGGAAAGGAATTCAAAACAATCATCTTAAGGAAACTCAGCAAGATTTAACAGAACACGGATGATTCAACAGAAGCAGGAAAAGAATTCATAATTTGAATGAGAAATTTAACAAAAAGTTATCATGAAAAGGAATGAAATGGAACTCCTGGCACTGAAAGAAAAAATACAATTGAGGGCTTCAGCAATAGACTAGATCAAGAAGAAATAACTTCTGAACTTCAAGACAGATCTTTTGAAATAATCCAGTTAGATAAGAAAAAAGAATGAAAAAAACCTACAGGACATACGGGACACCATTAAGTGAAAAAGTGTTTCCATTATGGGAGTTCCACAGGAGAAGAGATAGGAAAAACAAATTAAATAATAACTGAAAATCTCCAAAATCATAGGAGAGGTATGGACATCCAAATACAGGAAATTCAAAATTTCCTATACAGGAAATTCAAAATTTTCTATACAGGTTCAACCCAAAAATGCCTTCTCCAAGCCTCACTATTATCTAACTGTCAAAAGTCAAAGACAGAGAAAAGACAATGCAAGGAAAAATGCATTAAGTCAGATATAAGGAAACCTCCATCAGACTAACAGCAGATTTCTCAGTAGCAGCCTTACAGGCCAGGTAAGAATGGGATGATTTATTCAAAGTGCTGAGTATATATTTTTAATATATATTGACAGCTTGGGTGCAGTGCCTCATGCCTATAATCCCAGCACTTTAGGAGGCTGAGGAGGGCAGATCACCCGAGGTCAGGAATTCGAGATCAGCCTGGCCACCATGGTGAAACACCAACTCTACCAAAAATACAAAAAATTAGCTGAGCGTGGTGGCATGTGCCTGTAGTCCCAGCTACTAGGGAGGCTGAGGCCAGAGAATTGCTTGAGCCTGGGAGGTGGAGGTTGCAGTGAGCCGAGATCGTGCCACTGCACTCCAGCTTGGGCAACAGAGTGAGACTCCATCTCAAATAAATAAATAAATAAATAAATAAATAAATAAATAAATACTGACAGATTAATATGTCAATTTCAATGACAATTATCAAAATTATCAGTTAAGAATACTATACCTAACAAATCTTAACTTTTTTTTTTTTTTTTTTTTTTTTTTGAGATGGAGTCTCACTCTATTGCCCAGGCTGGAGTGCTGTGGTGCAATCTTGGCTCATTGCAAGTGCTGCCTCCTGGGTTCACGCCATTCTCCTGCCTCAGCCTCCCGAGTAGCTGGGACTACAGGCGCCCACCACCACGCTCAGCTAATTTTTTGGATTTTTAGTAGAGATGGGGTTTCACCGTGTTAGCCAGGATGGTCTCGATCTCCTGACCTCATGATCCACCCGCCTCGGCCTCACGAAGTGCTGGGATTACAGGCGTGAGCCATCGCGCCCGGTCACAAATCTTAACTTTCAAAAACGAAAGAGAAAGTCTTCCCCAGATAAGCAAAAGCTGAGGGAATTCATCACCACTAGACTGATCCTACAATAAATGCTTAAGAGAGTCCTACATCTGGAAACACAAGGAAAATACCTACCATCATGAAAACATATAAAACTCACAAGTAAAGCAGATACACACGTGAGAAAGATAAAAGAATCAAATAATTTCACTACAGAAAAACATCAAATTGCAAAGATAACCAATAAGAGAGGAAAAAAGGAAGAAAAGTATACAAAACAACCAGGAAACAGTTGACAAAATGACAGGAGTAAGTCCTCATCTATCAATAACAACTTTAAATATAAACAATTTAAATCCCCCAAGTAAAAGATATAGATTGGGTGACGGATAGAAAAATAAGATTCAACTATAGCTGCCTACAAGAAACTCATTTCACCTGTAAAGACACATATGGACTGAAGGTGAAGGATGAAAAAATATATTCCATGCACACAAAAACTAAAAGCTAGCATGAATAGCTACACTTATTTTGGAAAAAATAGTCTTTAAGTAAAAAATGTAAAAAGAGACAAGGAAGGTCATTATACAATGATAAAGGGATTAATTCAGTAAAAGGATATAACAGTTATAAATATATATTTACACCTAACACCAGGGCACCCAGATATATAAAGCCAATATTATTAGCGCTAAAGGAAGAAATAGACCCCAATATAATAATAGTTGGGGATTTTAACACCCTACTATCACCATTGGTCAGATTGTGTAGACAGAAAGTCATCAAAGAAACATCAGAGTTAAACCCATTTAGACCAAATGGATCTAACAGACATTTACAGAACATTTCATCCAATAGCTGCAGAATACACATTCTTCTAATCAGCACATGGGACATTCTCCAGGATAGATTATATGATAGGCCACAAAACAAGTCTCAACAAATTTTTAAAAATCAAAACTGTATCAAGTATCTTTTCAGACACAATGGAATACAACTAGAAATCAGTAACAAAAGGATTTTTGGAAATGATACAAATATATGGAAATTAAATAACCTGCTCCTCAATGACCAATGCATCTATGATGAAATTAAGAAGAAAATTTAAAAATTCCTTAAAACAATGAAGATAGATACACAGCATACCAAATATGTACGGGATACAGAAAAAGCAATACTAAGAGGGAAGTTTATAGCAATAAATGCCTACATCAAAAATGGAGAAAGGTTTCAAATAAACAACCTAGCAATTCACCTTAAGGAACTAGAAAAACAAGAACAAATGAAACCCCAAATTAGTAGAAGGAAAGAAATAATTAAGATCAGAATAGGCTGGGCATGGTGGCTCACGCCTATAATCCAAGCACTTTGGGAGGCCAAGGTGGGTGGATCACCTGAAGGTGAGGAGTTCAAGACCAGCCTAGGCAACATAGAAAAACCCTGTCTCTACTAAAAATACAAAAATTAGCTGGGCATGGTGGTGGATGCCTGTACTCCCAGCTACATGGGAGACTGAGGCGGAGGTTGCAGTGAGCTGAGATAGTGCCATTGCACTCCAGCCTGGGCAACAGAGTGAGACTCTGTTTCCAAAAAAAAGATCAGAATAGAACTAAACAAAATAGAGACAAAAATACAAAATATCAATGAAATGAAAAGTTGGCTTTTTGAAAAGATAAACAAAATTGACAAGCTATTAGCTAGACAAACTAAGAAAAAAGAGAAGACAAACAAAATCAGAAACAAAAAAGGAGATATTACAACTGATATTACAGAAATGCTAAGAATTATTAGAGACTATTATGAATAACTATATGCCAACAAATGGGAAAACCTAGAGGAAAGGGATAAACTCCTGGACACATACAACCTACCAAGATTGAACCAGGAAGCAACAGAAAGCCTGAACAGATAAATAATGAGTATCATGATTGAATCAGTATTGAAAAGCCTCCCAATGACGACAACAACAAAAAGCCCGGGACTGGGTGGCTTCGCTGCTGAATTCTACCAATTTTTTTTTTTTTTTTCTGGGAGACAGGGACTCTCTCTGTTATTCAGGCTGGAGTGCAATGGCATGATCATAGCTCACTGAAGCCTCAAACCCCTGGGTCCAAGCATTCCTCCCACCTTAGCTTCCCAAGTAGCTGGAACTACAGGAGTGCACCACCACATCCAGCTAATTTTTTTAAATTATTTTTTTGTAGCCAGGCATGGTGGCTCACGCCTGTAATCCCAGTACTTTGGGAGGCTGAAGCGGGTGGATCACCTGAGGTCAGGAGTTTGAGACCAGCCTGACCAACATGGAGAAACCCCATCTCTACTAAAAATACAAAATTAGCCAGGTGTGGTGGCGGGCGCCTGTAATCCCAGCTACTCAGGAGGCTGAGGCAGGAGAATCACTTGAACTTGGGAGACAGAGGTTGCAGTAAGCAGAGATCGCGCCATTGCACTCCAGCCTGGGCAACAAGAGCAAAACTCCATCTCAAAAAAAAAAAAATGATTTTTTTTTAGAGACAGGGCCTCCCTGTGTTTCCCAGGTTGGTCTTGAACTCCTGACCTTAAGTAATCCTCTCATTTCGGCCTCCCAAACTGTTGGGATTACAGGCATGAGCCATCACACCAGCATATCAAACTTTTCTGGAAGAACTAACACCAATTTCTCAAACTACTCCAAAAAATTGAAGAGGAGGAAATTATTCCTGACTACCTCTACGAAGCTAGCATTATCCTGATACCAAAACCACACAAGGACACACCCTCAAAAAAGAAAACTATGGGCCAATATCCCTGACAAACATAGGTACAAAAATTTTCAACAAAATACTAGCAAACCAAACACAAAGATTATATTATGATTGAGTGGAATTTATCCCAGGAATGAAAGGATGGTTTGCCTCATCAACAAATGTGATACATCATGTTAACTGAATGAAGGACAAAAACCAAATGATCCTCTCCATAGACACAGAAAAAGCATTTGATAAAATTCAATGTCCCTTCATGATAAAAACTCAACAAAGTAGGCATAAAAGTACCTCAACACAATAAAGGCCGTAAATAACAAAACCCACAACTAACATCATACTGAACAGGGAAAAACTGAAATCTTTCTATCTATGAACTGAAACAAGACAAGGATGTCTGCTTTTACCACTTTCATGCAACATTGTACTGGAAATACTAGCTAGAGCAATTAGGCAAGAGAAAGAAATAAAACACATCTAAATTGGAAAAGAGGAAGTCAAATTGTCCCTTTTTGCAGATGACATGATCTTATATACAGAAAATCCTAAAGACTCCACTAATAAACTCTTAGAACTGATCAATGAATTCTGTAAAGTTGTAGGTTACAAAATCAACATACAAAATCAGTAGTGTTTCTGTACACCAACAATGAACTAGCTGAAAAGAAATCAAGAAAGCAATCCCATTTATAATAGCTACAAAAACAAAAAGGTTAGAAATAAATTTAACTGAGGAGGAGAAAGATCTCTACAATAAAAACTACAAAACATTGATGAAAAAAATTGAAGAAGATACAAAAAAGAGAAAGACCTTCCATGTTTACAGATTGAAAGAATTAATATTGTTAAAATGACTGTATTACCCAAAGCAATCTTCTGATTCAATGCAATCCCCATGAAAATATCAATGACATTCTTCACGGAAATAGAAAAAAACAGGAGCAATAGGTTAATGGATATAAAATTATAGCTAGATAGGCATTATAAGTTACAGTGCTCTATAGCACTGTGAAGTGACGATAGTTAACAGTAACTTATTGTGTATTTTCAAATAGCTAGAAGAGATGATTTTGAATGCTCCCGATGCAAAGAAATGATAAATGTTTGAAGTGATGGATATGCTAATTACTGTGATTTTATTATTATACATTGTATACATATTTTGATATATGTATCAAATATACATATATTGTATATTGGTTTGTGAGCCAAGCTGGCTCACACCTGTAATCCCAGCACTTTGGGGGGCCAAGGCAGGTGGATCACTTGAGGCCAGTAGTTAGAGACCAGTCTTGCCAACATGGCGAAACCCCGTCTCTACTAAAAATACAAAAATTAGCTGGGTGTGGTGGTACATATCTGTAATCCCAGCTACTCGGGAGGCTGAGGCATGAGAACCTCTTGAACCCGGGAGGCGGATGTTGCAATGAGCCGAGATCGCACCACTGCACTCCAGCCTGGGTGACAGAGCAAGATTCTGTCTCAAACAACAACAACAAAAACCAAAGCCAAAAACAAAAAACAGTCTGTACTCCATACATTAATTGACATGTACAATTATTACATATCAATTAAAACATTTTTAAATATTCTTCTTTAAGCTATACTACTGAGTATCATCAGTGCTGAATCCGACTTCCCAAGACCCAGTTCTACACTTGTTACCCCTGTTCAGAAACACACAGCATCTTATCATTAAGGAAGTAACATTCTTAGTCTAACTTTAAACCTACCTCAATCCCATTCAAACTCGCCTTTCGCCCACAGCTTCTCACAGAAACACTGCAGAACTCTTGGTGACTTCGACACATCTTGCAGAATCCCACATGCCTTAGAACTCTTACCTACAAGTACTGGAAACCAGTTGAAGCCAGCTTCTTATATAAGCAAGGTAGTAGAGTGTTAGTTTCGCAAGATGATGAGCGTTCTGTGGGTGCACAGTAGCGGTCGTGGCGCAGCAATATGAATGTACCCAACGCCTCCAAACTGGACACTTACAAATCATTCAGATGGTAAATATTACGTTATGCATACTTTACCACAATTTGGGTGGGGTGTAGAGAAAAAGTGGGGTAGAATATAGTACCATGACAATAAGGTGATAGTGTTGTTTGAGTGAACCAAGGAGAGAGACAGAGAGCCATCTTGGTGGGATGAAACCAGGGAGTGGGAACACCCGCTCTTCATAGACCCTGTTTCTGTTCTGCCTCTGGGTCAGCTTCACTCTCTTCTCTCTGCAAACAAGCTTTTCCTGCCCCTCAGGTTGAGTAACACAGCATGGCTGTCCACAGTGCCCAAGTTAGTCGAGGCTCACAGGCTCAACCCCGTGAGGAGGCTGGATCTCAAACTCAAGCTCCCAGAGCAGAGAGTGCCACTTCGCCCAGGCTGGGTCAGGGTCCATCCGTCCCTCGTCAGACGTGACAGACAGAGATGGCTCCTGGGGCCTTTCCCTGTAATTCTGTTTTTAGAGAGCTGGAAGTTCTCAGTGAAGGGAAATTATCATAAAACCAGAAGTCACCCCTAAAGGGGCTTATAACTCATCTGAGTTTCAGCTCAGGGAAGGCTTCCTGGAGGAAGCAGAATTTAACCTAAGATCTTAAAAAAGAAGATGCATCATTTGAGCAGAAAGATGGAAGACAGATGTATTAGTCCATTTTCACGCTGCTGATAAAGACATACCTGAGACTGGGAAGAAAAAGGTTTAATTGGACTTACAGTTCCACATGGCTGGGGAGGCCTCAGAATCATGGTGAGAGGCAAAAGGCACTTCTTACATGGCGGCGGCAAGAGAAAATGAGAGGAAGCAAAAGTGGAAACCCCTGATAAACCCACAGATCTTGTGAGACTTATTCACTATCATGAGAATAGCATGGGAAAGACTGGCCTCCATGGTTCAATTACCTCCTTCTGGGTCCCTCCTACAACACGTGGGAATTCTGGGAGATACAATTCAAGTTGAAATTTGGGTGGGGACACAGCCAAACCATATCAAGAGAGGAGTTCTGGGCTGAGGTTGGTATGTTTAGAAGCCTGAGATGGTGTGTAAGTGAAGAATGGAATTGACTGAGGATGGAAAATCCAGAATAATAGTGGCTCCTACCTCTTCTATTCAAGAGGATACTTGAGCTCCAGCCATCGCCTACCTTCCAGGAAGGGGAAAGAGGCAAAGGACATGATGCTTCCCATGAAGTGTCCATTCTAGAGACTGCAGATAGCCCTCCTTACAAACCCATGTAGATCCCAGAGAGACTGGAAAAGGTCACTTTTAATTCTGGGTGGGTAAATATCTAGCTAAGAATCAGAGATTCCTTTTTTTTTTTTATACTTTAAGTTTTAGGGTACATGTGCACAATGTGCAGGTTAGTTACATATGTATACATGTGCCATGCTGGTGTGCTGCACCCATTAACTCGTCATTTAGCATTAGGTATATCTCCTAATGCTATCCCTCCCCCCTCCCCCCACCCCACAACAGTCCCCAGAGTGTGATGTTCCCCTTCCTGTGTCCATGTGTTCTCATTGTTCAATTCCCACCTATGAGTGAGAACATGTGGTGTTTGGTTTTTTGTCCTTGTGATAGTTTACTGAGAATGATGATTTCCAATTTCATCCATGTCCCTACAAAGGACATGAACTCATCCTTTTTTATGGCTGCATAGTATTCCAGGGTGTATATGTGCCACATTTTCTTAATCCAGTCTATCATTGTTGGAAGAATCAGAGATTCTATCACTAAAGATGAAAAAGAAAACAGATGCTGGAGGAGACGTAGCCATCACTGACTCAGAGGGACAAGGCATTGCTCTTCCCAGGAAACTGAAGAGTATACGGTGAGGAGCATAAAGGTTGACAGAAGAGATTTTGATTGTACAGGGAAGTTTGTCCACATGTTTCTTTAAAGTTACTATTTATTTATCATTGTCCATAAGCCAAGCCTATTTCTTAATTAACTTTTGCTTTTTGTTTTTAGAGATGGGGTCTCACTATGGTGTCCAGGCAGGTCTCAAACTCCTGGCCGCAAGTGATCGCTCACCTCAGCTTCCCAAAGTGCTGGGATTATGGGTGTGAGCCACCACACTTGGCCATAACTTTTACTTTTGTAATAATTACAGATTCACAAGAAATTGTGAAGAAATGTATAGAAAGTTTCCACCTACTCTCCACTCAGCCTCCCCCAGTGTTGAATTTTTACCCAATTATACAATAATATCAAAACCAGGAAACTGGTACAATCCACGGATCTTTTTCAGATTTCATCAGTAAACGTGCACTCGTGTGTGCATGCGCGTGTGTAGCTCTAAGACGTTACCACACACGTAACTTCATGGAACCACCACAATCAGGCATTCAACTAGACTAGCACCACGGACTCCCCTGGACTCCCCAGACACCCTCCCTCTCTGCCCCATCCCTAACTCCTGGCAACCACCAATCTGATAATTACATTAACACTGAATGCAGTCTGTGTCCCTTTGAGATGTGCTTCCCATGCAACCCGATTTCTTTGAGGGTCATCTAAGTTGTTGTACATATCAATAGCTCGTTACCTTTTGTTGCTAAATGCCATTGCCTTGTATGGATGACCCACCATTTATTTAACCATTCATTCATTGAAGGACATGTGGGTAGTTTCCAATTTGGAGCTATTACAAATATAGCTGGTATGAACATTCATTCACAAGTTTCTATCAGTTTTCATTTCTCAGGAATATATGCCCAGGAGTGCAAAAGCTGGGTCACATAGTAAGTCCATTCCCAGTTTTAAAAGGAACTGCCAAACTATAGTCCACAGCAGCTGTCCCTACCAGTGAGTATTCTCATCAGCAATGTATAAGTGGTCCTGTTTCTCAGTATCCTTGCCAGCATTTGTGTTATTGGTTTTTGATTTTGGCCTTTCTAATAGATGTGCAGTGATGTCTTGTGGCGGTTTTCACCTGCATGTCTCTGATGGAGGACAATGTTGAACAACTCTTCCTGTGTTTATTTGCCACGTGTACATCAAACACAGGATGGTTTGGAAATGTGGATGCACTGATGTGAGACCTGCCTGTCCCCTCCCCCACCTGCAATGCCCTCTTCAGGAGACTGGAGATCTCTAGAGAAATTGAACTAAAGGGACTTCTTACATGAGGACACCGAGTGTGGAAGGAGGTGGGAAGAGCAGATGAGTCTCAGACCGGGGTGGCAACATGCTTTGCCACCTTCCACTTGGCACCCAGGCAGGAGGTGAATGGTTGTCTATTGCTGTGTAACAAGCCACCCCAAAATGTAGTGGTTTAAAACAACAACAATCACTTACATTCCATACAAATCGGGAATGTGGGCAGGTTCAGTGAGGACAGCTCATTTTTCCTTCACATGATGTCATCTGGAGTGGTTCGGCTGGGGCCAGAGGATCTGCCTCCAAAATGCTCCTTCATGTGGCTGCAGGCTGGCAGAACAATCCAGGAAGTTGCCAGTGGCCTTGGTGCCTCTCTACATGGGCCCCTCCAGGGCGCTGCTTGGGCTTCCTCACAGCATGGTGGCTGAACTCCATGAGCAAGAATGCCAAGAAGCCTGGGTAGAAGTCACAGGACTTTCTATGATCTTGGAAGCCTTAGAAGTCACTTCTACTATATTCCATTGGTCAAGGAAGTCATTAAGGATCTAAGTTCAAGGGAAGGGAGATTAGGTCCACCTCTCAATAAGAGAAATAGAAATAATTTGTGGCAGGCCAGGCATGGTGGCTCGTGCCTGTAATCCCAGCACTTTGGGAGGCCGAGGTGGGCAGATCACTTGAGGCCAGGAGTTTGAGAAATAATTTGTGGCTATCTTAATCTACTACACACATGAAGCTTTCAATAGATTTTTAGTATCTCATTCTCAAATGTGAGCTGATAGCCAAAGATCACAAGACATTTGAGGAAAGCCTCTAATATGAAGATAGAGATAAAAAGAAAGGATAAAGAGGCAAAAATAATAAAGGAAACTGTAAAAAAAAAGTTATTATAGGGGGTAGGGCCAGGTGTGGTGTCTCAGGCCTGTAATCCCAGCAGTTTGGGAGGCCAAGGTGGGTGGATCACTTGAGGTCAGGAGTTCGAGACCAGCCTGGCCAACACGGTGAAACCCTGTCTCTACTAAAAATAAAAAAATTAGCTGGACATGGTGGTGGGCGCCTGTAATCCCAGCTACTTGGGAGGCTGAGGCAGCAGAATCTCCTGAACCCGGGAGGTGGAGGTTGCAGTGAGCTGAGATCGTACCACTGCACTCCAGCAGTTAGAAAATAGGTTCAAAGCAAAATGGAGGAGAAGGTAGAGAGATTTCTTACAAAACCCCATTCCCACATATGCATGGTCTCTTCCACTATCAAACACGATTTTTTTTTTTTTGCAAGGGGTGAGACAGGGTCTTGCTATGTCACCCAGGCTGGAGTTCAGTGGCATGATCTTGGCTCACTGCAGCCTCAACCTCTTGAGCTCCAGAGATCCTCTCACCTCAGCCTACTGAGTAGCTAGGACTACAGGTGCACACCACCAT
The DNA here is from genome assembly GCF_000001405.40 of Homo sapiens. Taxonomy (NCBI): domain Eukaryota; kingdom Metazoa; phylum Chordata; class Mammalia; order Primates; family Hominidae; genus Homo; species Homo sapiens. The sequence goes on along the minus strand of NC_000007.14, from coordinate 157,061,076 downwards.
GTCTGGCTAATTAAATTTTTTTTTTTTGTAGAGATGGAGTCTCACTATATTGCCCAGACTACAATCCATTTTTTTCTTTTTCTTTTTTTCATATTTTCTTTTTTCCTACTTTTTTCTTCTTCCTTTGTGGTTTTCATTTATTTTTGTTATATTTATTATTTGCTAAGCTTCAGTAGACACAATCTATCTTTTTTTTTTTTGAGACAGAGTCTTGCTCTTGTCACCCAGGCTGGAGTGCAGTGGCACAATCTCAGCTAACTGCAACCTCCGCCTCCCAGATTCAAGCGATTCTCCTGCCTCAGCCTCCTGAGTAGCTGGGACTACAGGCGCCCACCACCACACCCGGCTAATTTTTGTAGAGATGGGGTTTTGCCATGTTGGCCAGGCTGGTCTGGAACTCCTGACTTCAGGTGATGCTCCCGCCTTGGCCTCCCACAGTGCTGGGATTACAGGCATGAGCCACCGTGCCTAGCCGACACAATCCACTTTTAAAGAAAACGTTTTGAAGTATTTTGAGATCTTCGTCCGCATTGTTGTGTGTAGCCATGGTTGGTTTGTTCTCTTCGCTGTATGGCGTTTCACTGAATTACTACATCGTGATTTATTTGTCCATTCTGTTGTTGCCAAATCACTCAGAACTTTGTCTACCACATTATAAGCTTCGGATTTGACTCTGTGTGCACAGGAAACTATCAGAAGACTTCGTTGTTGTTGAAAAGTTTGGGAAATGGATTTGAGAAAGCCAGAATCAATACAGGGACACAAGCAAGCCATTGCCAAAGCTTAGGAAGTTATTGAGGAAGGCAGAGACCATGGTGGGGTGAAGAGCAGCAGGTTCAGGAGCGGTTGGGATGGAGGACTCCATGCATCTCGGTGGTGGGTTGGTGAGAAGGTGGAGCATGAGGGAAAATGCCAGCATGTCTCCTGGGTGTCTGGCTTCTTAGCTGGCTGGAGGATGGTGCCTCCCCGGACACCACACCAGAAGAGGAACAGGTTTGGGAGTAAGGAGGAGTCCAGTTTGGGACAGGGTGAATTTGAGTGGCCTGTGAGACATCCAAGCGGAGACATCAGATAAGTAGTTGAACATTTCCATCTAGAGTTCTAAAAAGAAGTTTTGGGTAAAGATATAGATTTGGGAGTTAGAACCATGAAACTAGATTAGTTGCACAGGAGGATAGCTTAGAATGAGAAGAGAGCAAGGCCTGAACCTTGAGGAAAACCCACGTTTAATAAGTGCAGGGAGACCCACAGACTATTATAAAAGCTCAGGCAGGTGCTGATGAGGGCTGAGACTAGAGAGGTGAGGACGAAGAGCAACAGGTTCAGGAACTATTCTGGGGGAAGGTTCTATGCAGGTCGGTGATGGGTGGGGCGTGCAGATTGTGGGAGGGCCCTGCTGGGCAGGATGGAGAGGGAGCAGGAGCCACCAGAGAGAAAGGGGGAAAACCAGGAGGGACTCAGGAATAAAACTGCCCTGTTTTGTAAAATTTGTAGATCTTAGAATTCCCACTGTAATTCTGATTCTTAGAATTGCCAAATGACTTCCTGTATTAGTCCATTTTCATACTGCTATGAAGAAATACCCGAGACTGGGTAATTTGTAATGAAAAAGAGATTTAATAGACTCACAGTTACACGTGGCTGGGGAGGCCTCACAGTTATGGCAGAAAGTGAAGGAGGAACGAAGGCATGTCTTAACATGGCGGCAGGCAAGACAGCATCCTTTATAAAACCAGCAGATCTCATGAGACTTGTTCACTATCTCAAGAACAGCATGGGAAAAACCTGCCCCCATGACTCAATTACCTCCCACTGGATCCCTCCCATGACACGAGGGGATTATGGGAGCTACAATTCAGATGAGATTTGGGTGGGGACACATATCCTTTCCTTTCTTCTAACCACCTCCCATCCATCACATTTCTGTCCTAAGTTGTCTCCTTTCCCCCTTGGGGGACCCAGGCGATGATGAAACGCTTGTTCCAGCCTGAATACCGTAAATAGACTTTCTGTGGTCACATTTGTTTAGTAAGAGTAACGTGTGGACCCGGAAGTTTTCTCTTGCAGATGTGGATTTTCATTCCTCCTTCACGGACACGGGTCCTTTAGTGTCTCAGTGGCTGCCTCCCTCGCTGTGACCCAGTGCGGGCCTGGGATGCTCCCTGTGCTGAGGAAGCTCAGAGGGAGTGTCGAGAAGCAGCTCCACATCTGCCCCACGCCTTCCCCATGGGCACCTCAAGGAGAAGGTGTCCACCCAGGGACCACTGTGGGGACACTGCTCTGAAAACTTCCAGGGTTAGTGGGGAACCAGAATTCCCTAATAGCCAAAGTGAGTTGATCCTCCGGAACAATCCTGGAGGTGTCCTGACCCTGGAATGCACACCGCCGATTAGACCTGCCATTTCTTACATCACAGTGCTCTTTGTGAAGGTCGCCCAGGTGACTGTCCATGGTGACCTCCCACTCAAAAGAACCCAAAGCAGGACTAAAAACGGAAAAGAAGAGACTCAAGATGAGAACCCGCCAGACCCACACGCAAGGTTAAGGACGTGTAGACTTACCCTGGGCTTGCTCACACTTGACCCAGAAGCCTGAGATGTGGCATTTCTGAAGTGTCCAATTTATGAAGTTGAAAACTGGGGCAAGCTCATCTGTTTGTGCAATGTTGATTGCCAACGGTTAATCACCAAGGGTAAGTGGAAGAAATCATTCCTGTTCATTTGCAAATGGAAATCAAATGAGGACTGTGCCGAAATGCATCAGCATTTTCACTTCCAACTGCAAGGATTTCAGAAGACAGCTGACCTTGGGCTGCCTGGCAGGCACGGGCCTGGCGCCGATACTTCTGCTCAGAGTGCCTGTGCTTTTTGGTAAGGCTCAGGACGTTCCCTGCCATTCCTGCCCGTTTCAAAGGCAGACCCATTTAGTTTGGAAAGTAGGAAGCATTTTCAGATGCTGTGAATTCATGTGCACACACCACTGCCACTTCTTGCTTTTTTATGGCTCCGCAGAGACTTGGGATGCACTTCACCTTGCTGAAGGGGCTCAGCTAATTATGCTGAAATCCTTCCAAGAGGCGAAGTGATGTGTTTATACATCCTCCTTGCTGAACTGTTGGCCTCAAGAAATTTTATAATAATAAAGCATTTCCATGTTGGGTAGGTTCTCTCCCCTCCACCCCCGGAAAGTGCAATGTTTTCTGTTCATGGGCAGTTTGTTAATACTGCATTTTATGCCCTCATAGGTGCATGCATCAAGTCCTGAAGTAATAGCCCCACGTATCAGATGTGTAATGGATTTCTCTCCATGCTGCGGGATTCATTACCATGATTTATGGCTGTTTTAATGTACACAGCCTTCTTAAACAACTTAGAGTTGATTGTTCTGGAACTAGACTTGGGTCCAAGATAACTCTGGAGGGTTGCCATTGTTCAGGAAAGCTATCGGTGTCCCTGAGGAGGTAAACAACCTTGGATCAAAGGCTTGAGTTACCCCATGATCACTCTAGCGACTGAAGTGGAAGTGCCTTACCACGGGGAGGGGACCGCAAGAGTGCTCCCTCATGGGAAGTGAGTCCCTGCTGTGGCTTCGGTAGAGCGGCTCTTCCCCTGTAAGCCTAGCAGAGATGAGCGGGACTGCAGGGAGGGACAGCCACCCCAGCATAGATGAGCGGGACTGCAGGGAGGGACAGGTACCCCAGCAGAGATGAGCAGGACCACAGGGAGGGACAGGTACCCCAGCAGAGATGAGCAGGACCACAGGGAGGGACAGGTACCCCAGCAGAGATGAGCAGGACCACAGGGAGGGACAGGTACCCCAGCAGAGATGAGCAGGACCACAGGGAGGGACAGGACTGGGACCGCAGGGAGGGACAGGCACCCCAGCAGAGATGAGCGGGACCACAGGGAGAGACAGGAACCCCAGCAGAGATGAGTGGGACCACAGGGAGGGACAGGTACCCCAGCAGAGATGAGCAGGACCACAGGGAGGGACATGACTGGGACCGCAGGGAGGGACAGGCACCCCAGCAGAGATGAGCGGGACAACAGGGAAGGACAGGTACCCCAGCAGAGATGAGCAGGACCGCAGGGAGGGACAGGACTGGGACCTCAGGGGGGACAGGCACCCCAGCTGGCCTTCTTGAGTCTAGTCAAGGCACAGTCATGGTATTTCCCAGAAGAGGCCTTCGGAGACTGAGGGACAAGAGAGCTGGGCCTGAACCCTGCCCAAGGCCATCGTTGGACAGAACCAATCTGGGTTATTCGGTTCACAAAAATCCTCCCTTTTATTCAGAAACAACACTTGTGGTATTGTTTTTAGTATGTTAAGAATGGCTTTGATGCCTTGTCCAAGTATCAGGCCATGATTTCAACCTAAACCAAGTACCCACTTACAACTTGGACATTAGGACGGGTTCTTCCCAGAAGGGCAGGAGGCATGAACGGGGGATGACAGTACACTCTGCAGAGCTGGGGGAGGCGCTGGCACTCGGTTCTTTATAGACTCCTTTGTTCTATGTAAAACCACAGAGGGTGTCTACTGGAGGCCCAGCTAGCTAGGCCAGGGCTCCAACAAAGAAAGAAGTCTCCAGAAAGGAGTGGGAGGGGCACTGGGTGCTGAATAGGGGGAGGGTAACTTTCGGAAAGTCACTTTGGAGGAGGCAGAGGAGGAGTTCCTAGCGGCCAGTGTGAGACTGCACCCTCCTCCCCAAGAGGCCCCTACATTCCCGCAGAGGCAGGGATGGTGGCGGTGTCCCCTGGGAGGGCAGATGGCCCACCTGTGCCCAGGTGTGAGCTGTCATGGGAAGTAAATGGCTCCCGGATTGCCGAGGGCTCTCCGTCCACCCACTGGTGGATCTCTTGGTCTCTTGGTCAGCTGCCCTTTTTTTTTTTGTTTAAGACGGCGTCTCACTCTGTTGCCCAGGCTGGAATGCAGTGGTGCAATCTCAGCTCACTGCAACCTCCGCCTCCCGGGTTCAAGCCATTCTCCTGCCTCAGCCTCCTGAGCAGCTGGGACTACAGGCACATGATACCACGCCCGGCTAATTTTTGTATTTTTAGTAGAAACGGGGTTTTGCCATGTTGGCTAGGCTGGTCTTGAACTGCTGACCTCAAGTGATCTGCCCACCTTGGCCTCCCAAAGTGCTGGGAGTACAGGCATGAACCACTGTGCCTGGCCAGTCACCTGCCCTTTAATGTGCCAGCCACCTTGTTGTCCTGAGAGCCTATGGGATGGGATCCGAGTTCATTTAACCAAGAGGTGTTTAATTTTCATTTTTATTTATTTATTTATTTATTTTTGAGACGGAGTCTCGCTCTTGTCACCCAGGCTGGAGTGCAATGGCACGATCTAGGCTCACCACAACCTCTGCCTCCAGGGTTCAAGCGATTCTCCTGCCTCAGCCTCATGAGTAGCTGGGATTACAATGCGCCACCACGCTCAGCTAATTTTGTATTTTTAGTAGAGACGGGGTTTCTCCATGTTGGTCAGGCTGGTCTCGAACTCCTGACCTCAGGTGATCTGCCTGCCTCAACCTCCCAAAGTGCTGGGATTACAGGTGTGAGCCACCACACCCGGCTGAGGTGTTTAATTTTTAATATAGCATGGGACATAGCATATTTAGCAAAATGTGATATTTTCTTGCTTTTTTTCTGTGATTGTTTCACGGGCCCCTTGTCTTATGCCCCCAGTGAGACCATCAGGTAACAAACATGTATTTGGCAGCTGCTGTATACACTACCCCTGGCTGAATTCTCACAACAACCCAGGAGCTGCTTGGTATTTTTGTTGCCATTTTAGTGCTGAAAAAGCGGGCTGTTGAGAGGTTCTGTCACTTGTCTGTGGCCACATGGCTGGTAAGAGACAGCCCAGAGTTTCCATTTCCGTCTGTGTGCCCCTTTAGGACAGGCATGGGATCTCTCCCTGCAGGTGGGGCTGTGGGAGGGAAGCGGCCTCGCAGCCGTCCACTGACAGTGGCTGGAGCTCAGGCCCTGGGTTCACGTCCTGCCTGGGCCATACGCTGCTCTGCAGCCTCAGATCACCTGATCTCTCCATGCAGTCATTTCCTACTGTCTATGTTGGGAATGATGACAGTACCTATTTCCCACCTACACAACAGGGACGGTAACTGTGGCGTCTGCACCCTGCACTGAGTGATGCACGTGGAGACCCAGCACAGAGCCGGGCCTGGTGAGCCTGGATTCCTTGGGATTTCATGACAGTAGCTCTTTTATTTGGAAGTAAAGTGAAATCCCTGGAGGGGTAGCTCCTCTGAACTGGAGTTTAGACCCATAAAACACCCAGTGGTATTTTATGTAAATATATTTACATCACAACCTACCCTCTCCTAGAAACCTTTGCATCCTCTGTTGGCAGGGTCTGGGGGAGGGAAGTTCTGTGCAAACGTGCAGAGCTGAGGCTGAGGCTGTCTGTCCATGAAGCTGAGGAAACAAACCTGAGAGGGAAGACGTCGAAGGACCTCTGAAGAGACAGAAGGCCAGGCTTTTCTAGAACTAAGTCCTTTTCTTGAACTAAACCCTAGAACTAAACTAAATTGACTCCAGAGACCTACACGGCCCCTGTCTCATAAACACATGGAACACACAACCCACCAGCCATTTCCAAAAACCCAACATGTGAAAGAAGACCCAAGAGAAACAACAGAGCAGCTGATAACCAGGAGGACAGAACAAAACTTTTGAAAAATTCTCAGTATCCTCAGAGACGCTCAACAGAGTGGGTGGCTTCATTAAAGAAGGGTGAGTTCCTCAGAAAAGGAGAAATCAAAATTATCTTTAGAAATAAGTATATAATTGCTGAAATAAAAAACTCAATTGATACACTGAAGATTAAGTTGATACACTGGAAGATAAATGGGAAGGAATCTTCCCTCCAAATAGAGCAAAACAATGAAGAGACGGAAATTATCAGAGAAACATTAAGAAACCATAGAGGGCCGGGCGCGGTGGCTCACACCTGTAATCCCAGCACTTTGGGAGGCCAAGGCAGGCAAATCACCTGAGGTCAGGAGTTCAAGAGTAGCCTATCAACATGGTGAAACCCCATCTCTACTAAAAGTACAAAAATTAGTCAGACATGGTGGCACACACATGTAATCCCAGCTACTTTACTCAGGAGGCTGAGGCAGGAGAACTGCTTGAACCCGGGAGGTAGAGGTTGCTGTAAGCCAAGATCATGCCACTGCACTCCAGCCCGGGTGACAGAGCAAGACTCCATCTCAAACAAACAAACAAACAAACAAACAAAAACCCCACAGGGATTTGGTATCTATGTAATAGGAGTTACAGAAAAGAGACTACAGAAGGAAAGAAAATATCAAAGAAATAAAAGAAAACATGAAAGAAATAATAGAAGACAATTTCTCTGAGCAGAAGAAAGTCATATTATTGGATGACAAAGACCTAGAGAATACCAGCAGAATTAATTTAAAAAATGCTCTCAAACCTAGACACACTCTGATGAAATTTCAGAATTCCAAAAATTAAAAAACAAAAAATCCTAAGAGCTTCTGGGAGGAGAGGAGAAGGTACGTATAAAGTGACAAGACTCCTCAGATTGCTTCTTGGTGATAATATATAATAATACAATGAAACGAAGTGTCCAAAACTTAGAGGGAAAAGTTGCTGAACCTAGAATTCTATAGCACATGAACAAATGGCCACCTGTGAGGTCAAAAAAAGGATATCAACACGCCACACAAGACTTGAAAAAATTACTCAAGGTGGTGCTCCAGCAAAATGAAAAAGGAATTCACAAAGAGAAAAGCATGAAATACAGGATTCTGGGGCAACTAAATATCTGCCATAGTGGAATGATTGGAGGAACTATGGCCTTGATACATCATGGAAAACTAAGCAGCAGCTGAGAAGAATGCGACCAACAAGGAGAGACCAACACGGACATCGCTGAGTGCACAGGACAAGTTGCAGCATGACAGGGAATACTGTTTATGCTAAACACACACATACACAGATGCAAAATCTTATATACTATTATAGATACATGAAGATTTAGGAAAATTCAAATGTAAAGGTCTGTGAGTATACACAGGCATGGTAGGAGGAAGTTGGGGGTATTGGGAGCAGAGGGAATGATCAAAGTGACTTCAGACCTTTCAACAATATTTTAAATTTTACAAGGAGAATGTACAAGCACACACATTATTATAAAACTTGAAAAACAAAAATATAAACAAAGCAAAGCACAAGTCTATTAGACAAAAAGTGCAAAGCTAGAAAAAATTAATTAAAAGAGAGTCACCTAGACCTTGGTGTTTGGAAGAGTCTACTTTTGAGCAGCAAAGCTTTGGAAGCCAAGGATCACATTTCCTTTTTATAGGTCCAATCATACTGTCTGGCTCCAAAGGGAATCACATAATCATAAAATCATAAGTGTATTTTTAAGCTATTTTACTGAGATGTAATTCATATACCATCCATTTAAACTGTACAATTCAGTGTTTTTTAGTATAGTCAGAGTTGGCCAACCATCACCACAACCAATTTTAGAACTTTTTTATCACACCAAAAAGCAGCCCTTTGCCCATGGCAGTCATTCTCCATTTCTCCCTAATACATCATCACCCTCCCGTCCTAGACAACCACGAATCTATTTATTGTCTCTGTAGATTTGCCTATTAGGAACATTTCTTATAAATGGCATCATGTAATAGGTGGTCTTTAGTGACGGGTGTCTTTTGCTTGGCAGGATGTTTTCAAGGTTTATCCGTGTTGTAGCATGTATCAATCCTTCGTTCCTTTTCATTGCTGAATAGTCTTCCACTGCATGGATATTCCACATTTTGTTTATCCATTCATCAGTTGCTGGATATTTGGGTTGTCTCCAGTTTTTGGTTATTCTATAAATAATGCTATTGTGAACATTTATGAACAAGCTTTTGGGTGAACATATGTGTTCATTCTTCCTGGGTATATACCTAGGAGTGGCCATATGGCAACTTTATGTTTAACTTTTTTTTGTTTTTTTGAAACAGTCTTGCTCCGTCACCCAGGCTGGAGTGCAGTGGCGCAATCTCAGCTCACTACAACCTCCACCTCCCAGGTTCAAGCAGTTCTCCTGACTCAGCCTCATGAGTAGCTGGGATTACAGGTGTGCACCACCACGCACGGCTAATTTTTGTATTTGTAGTAGAGATGGGGTTTTGCCATGGTGGCCAGGCTGGTCTCGAACTCCTGACCTCAAGTGATCCGCCCACCTTGGCTTCACAAAGTGCTGGGATTACAGGCGTGAGCCACTGCACCCAGCCCTGTTTAACCTTTTTTTTTTTTTTTTTTGAGACGGAGTCTCGCTCTGTCACCCAGGCTGGAGTGTAGTGGCGCAATCTCGGTTCACTGCAAGCTCCTCCTCCCAGGTTCACGCCATTCTCCTGCCTCAGCCTCCCAAGTAGCTGGGACTACAGCCGCCTGCCACCACGCCTGGCTAATTTTTTGTATTTTTAGTAGAGATGGGGTTTCACTGTGTTTGCCAGGATGGTCTCGATCTCCTGACCTCGTGATCCGCCTGCCTCAGCCTCCCAAAGTGCTGGGATTACAGGCGTGAGCCACCACGCCCAGCCAACTTTTTTCTTTTTTTTTTTAATTAAAAAAAACTTTTTTTAAGGCAGGGTCTCAGTCTGTTACCCAGGCTGGAGTGCAGCAGCACGATAATGGCTCATTGCAACCTCAACTCCCTGGACTCAAGAGATCCTCCCACCTCAGCCTCCCGATTAGCTAGGACTACAGGTATGCACCACCACATCTGGCTAATTTTTAATTTTTTTTGTAGAGTCAGGATCTCTCTATGTTGCCCAGGCTGGTCTTGAACTCCTGGGCTCAAGTGATTCTTCCACCTTGGCCTCCCAAAGTGCTAGGATTATAGGCATGAGCCACCACGCCCGGCCTATGTTTAAGTTTTTGAGAAACTGCCAAACTGCTTCCAAAGTGGCTACACCATTTTATGTTCCCGCCAGCAGTGTACGAGGGTCCAGTTTTTCCACATCTTGCCAACACTTGTTATTACCCATGATTTTGATAATAGCCATCCTCGTGGGTGTGAAGTGGTGTCTCACTGTGGTTTTGAGTTGTATTTCCCTAATAACGCAAATGTCTTTTACTGCATTTTCCAGTTATACTGCCACCCTGTAGACAAAGTGTAGAAGAGTTGATTATAATTACAAAACGAAATGTAAGCATAGAACTTGGGAGTGTAAAAATGACAACTAACGAAGACTGGAGGCCGGGCGCCATGACTCACACCTGTAATCCCAGCATTTTGGGAGGCCGAGGCGGGTGGATCACGAGGTCAGGAGTTTGAGACCAGCCTGGCCAACTTAGTGAAACCCCATCTTTACTAAAAATACAAACAATTTGCTGGGTGTGGTGGCAGGCGCCTGTAATCCCAGCTACTCGGAAGGTTGAGGCGGGAGAATCACTTGAACCCGGGAGGTGGAGATTGCAGTGACCCGAGATTGTGCCATTGTACTGCAGCCTGGGCAACAGAGTGAGGCTCTGTCTAAAAAAAAAAAAAAAATTGCTGGAGGAGACAAGTGAAGAAACGCAGAAGGAAGTTTAGTGTGCTAATATCCTCCTCTTTCATCAAGGAGAGGCAAGAACTAGAATTAAATATGTTGACATAAGTAACAGCAGGAAATGAAGAGAAAAGGTGGGACAAGGCGCCCTGCCTTCCTAAGACACCTTCCACGTCTTGCATAGTGAGGCACATTTGTTAGCTTATATTACTTATATAAACTTACTATTTACGTTATGTCACAAATTGTATATTAACTTACATTACTTACAATCACTGGAAGAACTAAAATCATCAACTGTTAACGGTGAAGGAGTGGGTTTGAAGGGGGAAATGAGGGAGATAGACATTCAATTTTTATTGCAATTAAAAGGTACTCGTGGCCGGACGCGGTGGCTCAAGCCTGTAATCCCAGCACTTTGGGAGTCTGAGGCGGGCAGATCACAAGGTCAGGAGTTTGAGACCAGCCTGGCCAACATGGTGAAACCTGTCTCTACTGAAAATACAAAAATTAGCCAGGCGTGCTCACACGCACCTGTAATCCCATCTACTCGGGAGGCTGAGGCAGGAGAATCGCTTGAACCTGGGGGATGCATGTTGCAGTGAGACAAGATTGCACCACTGCACTCCAGCCTGGGCGACAGAGCGAGACTCTGTCTCAAAAAGAAATTTATTAACATATACTTGATAACTACATACACGTGGTAACCTGTGCATGCAAAGATGCAGGATTGTTTATGCGCAAACCGTACACGTGGTAACCTGTGCATGTACAGATGCAGGATTGTTTATGTGCACGCTGTGAAGGAACCCCGGGGGAGTACGTAGCACATTCTTAGCGATGTGGTGTGAACTGGGGGCCTGATGGGTGTACAGAAAATCTCCACTGAACAGTAGATAGCCACAATACTTACATATTTTGTTTACTTTTCTGTCAGAAAATAAGTTCTACATCCTTAAAAATACCTCTCCCAGAAAAAAGAGAAAAATCCTCCTGGTCCCATTTGCTCCTACTGCTCCCCTTTGAGACCACCATCTCTGGAACCTCCTGGCCAAATTGCCACGGCGGTGTCTTCCAGAATCATCTTCCGGCTTTTGTTAGATGTGAGTCTGACCATGTCCATTCCCCGCTGTAAAATCTTCAGTATCTTTAAAGAAAACACAAGGAAACACAGAACCAATCAAACAGGTGCAGTGTTCAGAATGTTCCACAACTGGCATGGCCTTGGTGAGGGATGTGGGGAGAGCCACACGGAGCACAGGGAGTGGCCACGGGTCACGAAAGCGGCAGGCTGTTCCTGAGTGTGGGGCTCCGCACTCATGCATGGAGTACAAAGAAAGAATGGTTCGTGTGCTTTTAATAACCTCAGAGTGGGAACGGCATTGCTAAGACATCGTAAAACCCAGAAGCCATAAAGGAAAATATTGATAAATTTGACTGATAAAAATGTAACAGTTTTTTTTTACAAGAAAAATGCATAAATCAAACCATTATAGAGACAAACTGAGAATAAACATTTACAACACATACAGTACACTGAGAGCTCATTTCCTCGATTTGCAAAGAGCTCCTACAGATCTGGAAGAAAAAGACCAAGAATCCAAGAGAAAAACATGGGCAAAGGACATAAACTGAGACATGATTCTTAGGAAAAGAAACACAAATGCTTTTATGCCTATGAAAACATCCCCATCATCACTCATAAGGAAAGAGAAGTGCAAGTTAAGACTAAATTGAGGCCAGGCATGTTGGCTCACACCTATAACCCCAACACTTTGGGAGGCCAAGGTAGACAGATCACTTGAGGTCAGGAGTTCGAGAACAGCCTGGCCAACATGGTGAAACCCCGTCTCTACTAAAAATACAAAAATTAGCTGGGCGTGGTGGTGGGTGCCTGTAATCCCAGCTACTTAGGAGGCTGAGGGACGACAATGGCTTTAGCTGGGGAGGTGGAGGTTGCAGTGAGCTGAGATTGCACCACTGCACTCCAACCTGAGCAACAGAGTGAGACTCTGTCTCAAAAACAACAACAACAACAAGAACAACAAAAATTAACCGCATGTGGTGGTTCACACTTGTAATCCCCGCTATTTGGGAGGCTGAGACGGGAGGATCACTTGAACCCGAGAGGCAGAGGTTGCAGTGAGCCAAGATCGTGCCACTGCACTCCAGTCTGAGCAACAGAGCAATACTCTGTCAAAAAAGAAAAAAAAAGAAAGTAAAGAAAGAAAGCAAGGAAGGAAGGGGAAAGAAAGAAAAGAAAGGAAGAAAGAAAAAGAAAGAAAGAAAGAAGGAAAGAAAGAAAGAAAGAAAGAAAGAAAGAAAGAAAGAAAGAAAGAAAGAAAGAAAAAGAAAGGAAGAAAGAAAGAGAAAGAAAGAAAGAAAGAAAGAAAGAAAGAAAGAAAGAAAGAAAGAAAGAAAGAAAGAAAGAAACAAAGAAAGGCAGGCAGGAAGAGACTAAATTGAAATACTGTTTCTCACCCACCAGACTGGCAAAGATGATAAAGTTTGGAGTAAGGAGGTAGAGAAACAATCTTTTCACACATTGCTCAATCTCTTTGGTGGACAATTTGGTATTATCTATAAAAATTTTAAATGAATATACCCTCTGCCCCAAGAATTCCTCTGTAAATGTCCTTGTAAATATATCTTTATATATATTATATACATAATATATAAATGTATTATATATATATATATATATATATATAGAGAGAGAGAGAGAGAGAGAGAGAGAGAGAGAGTCTCATTCTGTCACCCAGGCTGGAGTGCAGTGGTGCGATTATAGCTCACTGGGCTCAAACTCCCAGGCTCAGATAATTCTCCCACCCACCTCAGCCTTCCAAGTAGCTGGGATCACAAGTGCACACCAGCACGTCTGGCCATTTTATTTTATTTTGTTTTATTTTTCTGTAGAGACAGGGTCTCACCATGTGGCCCACGCTGGTCTGCAACTCCTGGCCTCAAGCGATCCTCCCGCCTCGGCCTCCCAAACTGCTGGAATTGTAGGCATGAGCCACTGCACCTGGCCAAAAATATCTTTATAAGGACTTCCATCATAGTAGTTTTTAGTAGCACCTTGGGCCAAGGGCTCCTCATCTTGGCTTAGAGTAAGGCATGCACTCAATAAATATTTAAGTTATGCAGCTTAATCATTGACTGTATCAGACAGGCCGCAGAAAGGTAATAACAGAGAGTGTGCAGGGCACTGAAGACAGCATCCACCTCCTTCCCAAGGCCAGCCATGGCAAGCCCCGCCTCATCTAACAGAAAGGCAGCAGGGCCTCGGGGTTCCCCGCACCTTGCACTGGCCTGTGACAGGTGCCCCACAGGAGAGACCACCGAGGGTCATCTGTGCTTCTTCCGCCATCCATGGCCAGCATTCCTGCAACGATTTACTTAAAAATCTTCTACTAAATCCAATTAGTTGAGGTTCTTGGCTACAAAAACAGGAACTGGTTAATTTAAGCAAAAAAAAAAAAAAAGGAATTTATTGGAAATACATCAGAGAGATCATGGAATGAATGGGAAGACTTGAGATCAGGCTCAGAGAGCAGCATTGCTGATGGTAGACTCACAGCCAAGCTCCCCTCAGGCACTCACAGCCCCAGCTGCCTGTGGTTCTGTGACGAATCCTGAGTGGTCCCTTCATCATGTGTCACTGCCTCCAGGCCCAGCATGGGAAAGTCCAGCTGGACAAGCTGGGGCACAGGAGCTGGGAGGAGGGTGGATGGGTCCCTTTGGCTTTCATGGGGGCTGGACACAGGTCCTTCTTACATAGACTCAGCACAGGGGTTCCCTGCCTGGAGTTTGGGGATCTGGATGCTGGGCAGGCCCTTCCTCTTTTTTTTTTTTTTTGAGATGGAGTCTTGCTCTGTCACCAGGCTGGAGTGCAGTGGCCCGATCTTGGCTTACTGCAACCTCCGCCTCCTGGGTTCAAGTGATTCTCCTGCCTCAGCCTCCAGACTAGCTGGGACTACAGGCGCGCGCCACCACACCCAGCTAATTTTTGTATTTTTAGTAGAGACAGGGTTTCACTATGTTGGCCAGGATGGTCTCAATCTCTTGACCTCATAATCCGCCAGCCTCGGCCTCCCAAAGTGCTGGGATTACAGGCGTGAGCCACTGCACCTGGCCCGTTTCTCTTACAAAGATTCAGCACGGGGGTTCCTCACCCAGAGCATGAGCTTTGGATGCTGGGCAGCTGTCTACTGCAGTGACCCAAGCTTCCCCTTTGGAGACTCATTCATCAATCAATCAATCAATCAATCAATAAACATTCATTGAGCATCGGAACTGAAATACCATTGGTTGCTTTGGCTTCCCGCCACACCCTTCCCCGGCCCCAGCCCCTGCCTTTCTCCTTGCCATTTTTTCTATTCTAAATTCCTTCCACAGCTGATCACACCAAGGATGAAAGCATAACCCACGGAGCATCAGCCCAAGTTACTCCTTCTCTGTCTTGGTACCTTGAACTAAGAGCTCAGGAGTCAACAGATGACGGTTCATGCTGGAATGAAAGGCCAAGCAGAGCCGAACCAGAGTCTGTGCTGAGGCAAGCTGAAGGCCTGTGTGCATGTGTGCACACGTGTGTGCATGCGTGGGGCATGGGCATGCACAGGTGTATATGCACAGACCATGTGCCCCCATGAAACAGGGAGAAGCCGTGTCTTTGACAGCCCAAGGTGTCTAAGACACATGTGGCCTGGTTTGGCTTCTGCCTTGAGTGTCTGTGGGGTGAACTGGGTATCCTCCAGCATGCCCCATGCCACCCAGGCAAGGCCGAGTGGGTTTCTATTCCTTGTAACCACACAACCCCTGATGAAGACAGATGCCAACCCTGTGCCGGGCACAGCAGCAGCACTAGGCACTGGAGTCATGGGTGGGGATGACACCCGGAAGGTGGGTCCCGTAGCCCCTCCATGAGTGAGAGGCAGTTGTGCTCCCTGACAGGCTGCCGGATCACAGAACAGATACAAGGAGTGGAAGGGCCAGAGAGTTCCTCCGGCTCAGGCCCTTCGTGAACAGATGGGGACACGGGGAGCCACGGCGGTGAATGACAGGCCTGGAGTCACGCTGCGGGCGTGCCTGCGGAAAGCTGAGCCTGGAGGCAGTTCTCCAGTTCCTCAGGTCCTTTCTGCCTTGCCAGGCTTCTGCCAGGGTGGGAGTCTGCCCCTAGCCTGCTGGTGAGGGGCAGACACCGTGGCATAGAGGCTGTGCCCCCTGCTTGACGTGCCTCCACCCTCCACCCAAGGGCCACCTCAAGGTCTGCCCAGCAGATAGGGAGACTCGGATCCTTCGTTGCCACTTCCCGTGTGCACAGACACCTCTGGGACTCCAGGGCAGCATTGCCGCGTGTCTGAACACCCGCCGACAGGTATTAATCAACTGAGTGTGGTGATAAACTGCTCCGTCTGACAGGCATCGGCTCCAACACCGCTGGTTTACAGCTCACCGCCAAGGCCACGGTTGAAGGGGGTTTCTAAGACCGGGAGAAAAGCAGTGGGGTGTGAGCACGTCACAGAGAAAGCATGGATTTCCATCGGCATCAGCCGTTCCAGTCCTTGGCCAACTCACCTGAGCATGGGGTGTCAGGCAGGAAATGGGGCTGGGGGAATTTGGCTCAGCTCGTACTTCTGAATTCGACCCTGTGTCTGAGAGGCAAGAAGGCCTTGGAGACGCTGCTTCTGCATTGAGAAGCTTCCACTTTCCAAAGAGATCATGTGTGTTATGGGTGGGATTATGTCCCCTAAAACTCACACATCAGAGCCTAAGCCCCAATACCCGTAAGGGTAGCCTCATGTGGATATACGGTGTTTGCAGATGTAATCAAGGTAGGATGAGGTCTCTAGGATGGGCCCTAATCCCGAGTGCCTGTGTCCTTATGAAAGGGGGAGATTAGACAGAGACAGACCGCACACGGGGAGAGGCCAGGTGAGCACGCAGGAAGAGGTGGGGTGATGCTTCCAGAAGCCAGGGCCACCAGAGACTGCCAGCAACCTCCAGAAGCTGGAGGGCGGCCTGGGACAGACTCCCCCTCAGCCTCAGAAAGAACCAGCCCTGCCGGCGCCTCGGCCTGGTCTCCCAGTCTCTGAGCTGGGAGCTGACACATTTGACACATTTCCGTTGTTCAAGCCCCGGGATTGTGCTACTTTGTTACGGTGGTCCTGGGAAAGTAATAATACACCGTGTGCAGCAAGTCACTACGCAGCAGGGCTCCAGGACCCCATGAGTCATACTGTCAACGCAGGGTCCATAAATAGAAGTCATGTGGAGAATTTTCATCTGAACCATTCATTTAATTAAAAGGAAAAAAAGACAAGCTCGTCGGACAACTGGTTTAGCGGATCTTCTTCCCCTCTTCCATCAGCAGTTTGCCTCCCTTTTCTTTCGGTTCCGTGGTTCTGGTGACCAAGGGAGGCTGTGGGTGGAGGCCTGCCACCATCTCGCCGGGTCTGAGCTCGGCAGCCACTTCGAGCAAACGTCTGCATCTGTGACCTAATTCAGAACCCCAGTGGGGCCAGAGATGCGTGCACAGGGCTCCATTAGGAAAGAAAGCTGCTTGCGCCACAGCTGACTAATGCTTCTTTTGGGGCCAGGAAACTGTCTCCAGCGAGGAAATATATTATTCTATAATTTCCCTAAAATATTAAAAGTGGAATTCTGCTTGGAGAGGACCAGCTTGCACTGATTCACACCAACCTGGGGACGACAAGCCTGGAGGGCTTTGGAAGTTACACCAAGCCTTTCACATCCGAAGTGCTGTTTTGGGAAAATGTGGACTTCTGTTGAGCCCAGACAGAGGTGCCTGCTGAGAATATTCAGCCTCAAAGAGCAACGACTTTAACTCTGCAAGGAGTCAGACACCGTGGGGAAGGCAGCTGTGCGGTCGGGAGAAAGAACGATGGTCACTTCAAACCCAGCTGACTGGGAGGCTGAGGCAGGAGGATCACAAGGTCAGGAGTTCAAGACCAGCCTGGCCAACATAGGGAAACCCCGTCTGTACTAAAAATACAAAAAATTAGCCAGGCATGGTGGCAGGTGCCTGTAATCCCAGCTACTCAGGAGGCTGAGGCAGGAGAATCGCCTGAACCCAGGAGGCGGAGGTTGCAGTGAGCCGAGATCACACCACTGCACTTCAGCCTGGGTGACAGAGTGAGATTCCATCTCAAAAACCAACCACCAGCTGAAATGGGAAGAACAGTGTGGGTCTCAGCCTGAGAATTCAAGGGAACGTTTAATTTATCTCCAGCAAGTTTGTTAATCTGGATTTTAGAGACCCTCCAAGAGGTCAGTGGATAAAATTTAGAAGTCCGTGAACCTGAGTGAGAAATAATTATATCTTTATTTTCACTAATTTCCAACTAAAATCTCACATGCCCTTCAATAATGAACGTGAACTACAAAGCACAGTTGTATTAGTTCATCCTGTGGCTCTGTCACCAGCAGAAAGCACAGATATTTTTACTATCACACTAGTGCAGACATCTCCATATGCCTCACATTTTCACAGAGATCTTAGATTGTTTACACACGTCATTCCTTCAAAATAGCCAGGGTTAGACCCTCCGAGAGATCTGGTCATTTCGTGCGTTAACAGAGAGGTGTACACGGTGCTCTTTCACACATTTGTTTAAATGTTTTGATAAGTATATTCCAGTATAGTGTTCTCCTTCTTAAGCCTACGTATTTTGCATTATTCACTGAAACACTTTCTTCTGAGAAGCTACCCCTGGGTTCCACCAAATAGCTCAGCAATGGAAGGCACCTTGGGAGCCCCTGACCTAGGGCTGGGACTGGAGTCAGATTCCAACAAGGAGAGTAGAAGGCACTGTGAGTGCAGTCATATACCATGTAACTGCGGTCACCTCGAGACCACATAGACAACAGCGGTCCTGTAAGAATCTTTTTTTTTTTTTTTTTTCTTTGAGATGGAGGCTCACTCTGTGGCCCAGGTTGGAGTGCAGTGGCACAATCTCGGCTCACTGCAACCTCCAACTCCCAGGCTCAAGCGATTCTCCTGCCTCGGCCTCCCGAGTAGCTGGGATTACAGGCACCCGCCACCACGCCCAGCTATTTTTGTATTTTTAGTAGAGACAGGGTTTTACCATGTTGGCCAGGCTGGTCTTGAACTCCTGACCTCAAGTGATCCATCTGCCTCAGCCTCCCAAAGTGCTGGGATTACAGGCGTGAGCCACCGCGCCTGGCCATCATCCCGTAAGTTTCTAATGCCATATTTTCACTGTGCCTTTTCTATGCTCGACGTGTTTGGATATGCAAATCCTTACCATTGTGTGACAACTGCCTACATTACTCATTCTCAGACTCTGGAACAGCTGGAGCCACAGGGGGTGCACGACCCAGCAGCCAGGGACGCCCACTGAGTCACCAAGACTCAAAACGCCTGGTGTCACCCTTCTTTCTGTTTCCCGTCTTTCACCTGTACCTTCGTTATCAGGATCCAGCCAGAAGCCAGCGGTCTGCGGAGCTGCAGGGTCAGCCAGCTGGGGCCCCAGCAGAGCAGGGGAAGGTGAGGCCAGGGCCCCAGGCAATGACCAGGGTGTGGGATCCTGCAGTGCTCGCCTGCCCAAGCACAGCCATTGGTGTCCTGGGTATCTCCGAAGTCCAAACACGTGCTACCAGCTCAAGCAACACAAAGAGTTTGAGAGAAAATTCAGATGTTAGACCACAGTCTCAACATCATGGCCCACAATGTCCATCCACCAACAACTCTGGCCACCTGGGCTTGGCTGGGCCACAGAAAGCATCGCATCTCTGCGTGTTATTTATGCATCCGGAATGTCCACTCCTGGGCTCCTGCAGTCACCTCCCTCCGCTTATCTCATCGATAACAGCAGGCATGCTTGTGCCACAGACACTGCTGAGGGAGAAGAAATCAAGTAATGAGACGCTCTTATTGATTTATTCATCCTCAGGCAAACTTGATCTGGAGCATACAATAAATATTGTGATACCTACGTGAATTAAAACAATCACTTACTTATTAGCGCTTGGCACCAGAAATACAGTCAGGATTAATGTCTTGGGATTCCTGCCTCTCCTTCTAATCTTATCTATTTTACAAGTAAGCTCTTTGCCTTCTGAGTTCATTGTAGGAATTGCAGTTTTACATCAATTACATTTCCATTAGCATTGTAGATATCCCTTTTCATATAACATTATCAGGCTGCAGATACACAAAATGTCAATATTTTCCCTCACTTCATTATGCTAATCACACTCTGAGCTCCAGTGCCGGGTCCGTCCAGGAGTCAGATGTTTGCGCTGATGCAACATTTACAAGCAGCTGATCTTCCCAGGCAGCCGCCTCCCTCATTTGCAGATGCAGACGAGGGCTAATGGGCCAGAGTAAAGCATGTGTCTGCTGTGGTGACCTTCTAACCATGCCGGCACCCCGAGATCTGTCACGCAGCTGCAGGGGCCACGCCGCTCCCCGCAGTCTCCTTCACCGGCTCCTTCTCCACACTGCAATCAGAAGTGCTTACATCAATGACCGAAGCAGAAAGAATGACAATGTGAACTCACACCTAGGAATGTGTTTCTGGCTGGTGTTCAGTCTCGATCTGCTCACCTTAGAGCTCCATGTCCTGTGGCGCCCATCAATCCTGTCCATGGAATTTGTTTATTTATTTATTTACTTTGAGATGGAGTCTCGCTCTGTCACCCACCCAGGCTGGAGCGCAATGGCGTGATCTCGGCTCACCCTGACCTCCGCTTCTTGGGTTCAAGCGATTCTCCTGCCTCAGCCTCCTGACCACGCCCAGCTCATTTTTGTATTTTATTAGAGACAGGGTTTCACCATGTTGTCCAGGCTGGTCTCGAACTCCTGACCTCAGGTGATCCACCCACCTCAGCCTCCCAAAGTGCTGGGATTACAGGCGTGAGCCACTGCACCCCGCCACATCCATGGAATTTAAAGGTGGAAGAAGAACTGGAGGCTCGGGTCAGTCACTGAACTGGCCGTTCCTCGACAGCCTAAACAGCACATGCTCCAGGTGGATCAGCCCGCCCTGTCGAAGGGCAGCTTCCCTAGCAGCGACCCTTGTGCTGGGGGCGATGCCTGCACGTTTTCGCGGTGTGCTGTTGAAGAAGCCTTGCGGGAGAAGGCACGGAACAGGCAGGACCAGGGCTTGGGTAAGGCAGCCTTGGCTGGACAGGGGAAGCTGTGCCCTGAGGCTAGGGGGTGGGCCTCGGGCCCCTGCTGTGGGCTTCTAGCAGCCAGCACCCAACAGTGTGGGCTCCCGGACCGGCCCAGCAGCGCGCACTGCAGCCCAGTGCACACCGGCTCACATCCACTTCCACGCCTCCCTCACGGTCTTCCTCCCGGGAAGGAGTTCCCGTCTCCCAGATGCCCAAACCCCGTCGCTCCCAAGTCCGCTTGTCCTTGTCCCCAGCCAGCCCCCCCCGGAGCTCCCATCGCGGAGGCTGTGCCGGGTCTGAGCCACACAGCCTGACGTTTGCCGGGGGCTGCCTCAGACGGTTCCTGCCTCCTGCGTGTTAGGTTTGCGTCTTCAGCACACTTGCGTTTCCTCAGTGGTGGTGCTGCGGGTTGAAATGTGTCCAAGAGACAGGTGGAAGTCCTAGCCCCAGTGTCTCGGAATGGGACTTTACTGCGGAACAAGATGTGGTTAGTGATTAGCTGTGCAGGAGTAGGATGGGCCCCCAATTCGATGTGACTGTGTCCTTATAAGATGGTCCCGCGGACACAGAGACATGGTGGGTAGAATGCCTGTGACACCAAAGGAAGAGATTGGAGCCAGGCAGCTGCAACCAAGAAACACCAGGAATTCCGAGCCCCTGGGAGCTGGGAGAGGCGGCGGGACGATCCCCAAGAACGTCTGGAGGGAGCAGGCCCTACCCACACCTGGATCTCCAACTTGCAGCCCCAGAACTGTGAGAACAGATTTCTGTCGTTTCAAGGATGTGTCTTGGTACTCGGTCGGGGCCATCTGAGCAGACTCGCCGTGGGGAATGTGACCTGGTTTAGCTGACATTCTGTTTTGGTTTCATTTTCATTTGAGACGGAGTCTTGCTGTGTCGCCCAGGCTGGCGTGCAGTGGCACCATCTCGGCTCACTGCAACCTCCGCCTCCCTGGTTCAAGCGATTCTCCTGCCTCAGCCTCCCAAGTAGCTGGAATTATAGGCGTGTTTTTTGCCGTCTTGCCCAAGCTGGTCTTGAACTCCTGCGTTCAGGTGATCTGCCTGCCTCAGCCTCCCAAAGTGCTGGGATTACAGGTGTGAGCCACCGTGCTCGGCTTAGCTGACACTCTAAATGCAGACATCCAGTTGAGCAGAAGACCTGGAGGAGGTCGTCTCAGCAGCACTAACTCAGGGCGCTTTCCAAACCCGCTCCAGAATCACCTCCACAGTTCATGGCACCTTTAAAAAATGTTTCCTCGGCCGGGTGTGGTGGCTCACGCCTGTAATCCCAGCACTTTGGGAGGCCGAGGCAGGTGGATCACCTGAGGTCAGGAGCTCAAGACCAGCCTGACCAACATGGAGAAACCCCGTCTCTACTAAAAATACAAAATTAGCCAGGCATGGTGGCCCATGCCTGTAATCTCAGCTACACGGGAGGCTGACGCAGGAGAATCTCTTGAACCCGGGAGGCAGAGGTTGGGGTGAGCCGAGATCGAGCCATTGCACTCCATCCTGGGCAACAAGAGCTAAACTCTGTCTCCAAAAAAAAAAAAAAAAAAAAAAAGTTTCCTCAATGGTAACAAAACTTGATTCTCTGAGGGGAAAATAGATTTTTGGAAGCACCAGATATGGGCGATGAAGTTGGGTTGAGACACTGTTGGGTCAAGGGTGAACTGGGACTAGAAAGTCCCAAGGTCCCATGTACTGAGGCAAGCAAGCCCAGAAGGGCCTCAGGAGACCTACACAGTGGGCTCAATATACACGTGTGTCACGGTCATGAGAAGAATGCCCTGGAGACCAACACCCAGGCAGATGTAGCTGGAGTTTGTTTTTAAGTCTTTATGGGTTTTATTTATTTTTTTTTTACTTGAAACGGACTCTCACTGTCTCCCAGGCTGGAGTGCAGTGGCGCGATCTCGGCTCACTGCAACCTCCACCTCCTGAGTTCAAGCAATCCTCCTGCCTCAGCCTCCCCAGTAGCTGGGATTACAGGCACCCACCACCACACCTGGCTAATTTTTGTAGTTTTAGTAGAGACAGGGTTTCACCGTGTTGGCCAGGCTGGTCTCGAACTCATGACTTCAGGTGATCCACCCACCTCGGCCTCCCAAAGTGCTGGGATTACAGGCGTGAGCTACTGTACCTGGCCACATCTTTTTATTTTATAGTCATAATTTGCATATCCTTTAAAAAATAATCCACAGACGTCTGGGTGCATAGAAAGGGACCCGTTAACGTGTTCCATTGACCAGCCACACGCTTCTAGGGTGGAAGCTAGGTCTGCGGTGGAAGCTAGGTTTGCAGTGGAAGCCTGTGACACCGCACAGAAATTGCTGAATTAAGGACTCACTACCGTTGTCCCTGCATCGATGCCCCATGGCTACTGCCACAGATCGCCACAAACGCAGTGGCTTAAATATCATTAATGTCTTCTCTTCCAGCTCTGCAGGTTAGAAGCCCTGCATGGTCTCCCAGGGTTACATCAGCGCATCATGGGCTGTGGTCTTTCAGGGACTGTGGGGAGGACCCGCTTCCTGCCTTCCACAGCTTGAGAGGTGCCCACATACCGTGTCTCTCATCCTGTCCTCCACGGTCAAAGACAACCGAGCTGCCTCCCTCTGCCCTCTCCCCTCTCCCCTCCCCAGGCTCCCTCCCCTTTCTCCTGCCTCCCTCTTCCCCTG
The DNA here is from genome assembly GCF_000001405.40 of Homo sapiens. NCBI lineage: Eukaryota > Metazoa > Chordata > Mammalia > Primates > Hominidae > Homo > Homo sapiens. Next base: position 157,037,688 of record NC_000007.14, on the reverse strand, counting down.
TCTGGACCCTGTAATTTTACTGGGCCCACCTTGATAATGCAGGACACCCTCCCTCCCTATTTGAAGGTGAACCAAGCAGCACTTTCAATTCCATCCTAAATACCCTTTGCCATGTAACCTAACATATTCGTGGGTCCCGGGGATTTGGATGTGGATACCTTGGGACGGGGGAAAGAGGGTCATTATTCTGCTAACACATTCATTTATGCAAATGAAAACATTTATGCATTTATTTAACTTTTTCTTTTTAGCCTTTACCATGCCCCAGACACTCTTCCAGATGCCGAGGACAACAGCAGAGAACAACACAGATCTGATTCTTGGTCTCATGGAGCACACACTGTAAGGAGTGGACAAGAAATAAGACAAAGAAGACTGGGTGTGGTGGCTCATGCCTGTAATCCCAGCGCTTTGAGAGAGTCGCTTAAGGCCAGGAGTTCAAGACCAGCTGGGCAGCATAGCAAGACCCCAAGAGTGTCCTCTGTGGGGCTCTGGCTTCTGCCCCCTGGACTGCTTTGAGCAGGAAGGTCTGTGACTGCCTCTCCATGTCCTGGATCAGAGGCTGCGTGGGGATGAGGAGGGCAGGAGGGCTTGGCAGGAGGCTTTGCTCTACTCCAGTAAGGAAGGAGGGGATTGGACCAGGGAGATGAGTGCTGTTGCTGCTGTATTGCTGGATTCCAGATCTAGTGGGAAGACAGAGCTGAGATAATCCTCAGACAGGTTGGGTAAGAGCAGGCGAGAAGGGGAGGTGTGAAGAGTAACCCCAAGGTTTGAGCCTGAGTGATGGGAAGGATGGAATTGCCATTTCCTGAGGAAGAGAAAAGGTGCGTCTTGATGAGAGAAGAGGCTAAAGTCTTGTTCTTGGATGTTCTGAGTTTGAAATGCCCACAGGGTACCTACCTGGAGAGGTCAGTGTCAGTTGGACACATGAGTCAGAAACCCAAAGGAGAAATCCAGGGTGGAGATATAAAGTTGGGAGTTATCACTAAGTAGAAGACATCCGAAGCCATGAGACTCGGTGAAGGCCCCCAGGAGAGACTTGACACAAGGAAGCAAAGAGGTTCAAGGATGGAGACTGGGCACATTCCAAAGCTCAAAGCTTGGGAAAATGGGGAGGAGCCAGAAAAGAGGGCTGCAAAGGAGCAGTGAGTGAAAAATAGAAAAAGCCTGAAAAGGGGATACCCCGGATCCCAAATAAAGAGAGCACCTCCAGAAAGAAGAAGTCATCCACTATGTCAACTGCTGCAAAGAGCTTTGGTAATATTGACACTGAGAACTGGCCACTGGATTTAGCAAAACAGCGGTCTCTAAGATCATAATGAGAGGAATTTCAGGGAAGGGGTGGGGTAGACTGTATGGAGTGGATCCAAAAGAGTATGGAAGATTACCAGTGGCCACATAATCTTAGAAAAGAAGGACAAAATGGGAGGACTTACACTTCCTAATTTTAAAACATATTACAAAGCTACAGTGATCAAGACAGTGTGGTACTGGCCAAAGGATGGCTATATGGATCAATGGGATAGAATTGAGAGTCTAGAAACAAGCCCTCACACGTATGGTCAATTGATTTTCAGTGAGGATATCAAGACAATTCAACAAATTCAACAAATAGGTAAAGCCTTCTTAGATATGACAATAAAAGCATAAGTGACAGAAGAAAAATAAACTAAAGAAAGTAAAAAGACAACACTTCCAGTGGGAGAAAATATTTTCAAATAATGTATCTGACAAGGGACTCGTATCCAGAACATCTGGAGAACTCTTATAATAATTTTAAAACCCATTAAAAATGGGCCAAGGAGGGCCAGGCGCAGTGGCTCATGCCTGTAATCCCAGGACTTTGGGAGGCCGAGGCAGGCCGATCACCAGGACCAGCCTGACCAACAGAGAAACTCCATCTCTACTAAAAATACAAAATTAGCCAAGCATGGTGGTGCATGCCTGTAATCCCAGCTACTCGGGAGGCTGAGTCAGAAGAATCGCTTGAACCAGGGAGGCAGAAGTTGCAGTAAGCCGAGATCGTGCCATTGCACTCCAGCCTGGGCAACAAGAGCGAAACTCCGTCTCCAAAAAATAAAAAAATAAAAAAGGCCAAGGATCTGAATAGATATTTCTCCAAAGAAGACCCACAAATAGCCAATAAGCACGCAGAATGTTCAACATCATCAGCCACTAGGAAAATGAAATTGAAACCAAAGCGAGAACCAAGTCATGCCTGCTAGGATGGCTACAGTGAAACACAGATCGCAAGGGTATTGTGAGGATCTGGAGAACCCTCATTGCCAGTGACAACACAAAATGGTGACAATATTTTGCACTTCATCGAAATGTGACACATAGAATTACCATATGACCCTGAGACAAATGAAAATGTATGTCCACCCAAAAGTCACACGTGAATGTTGATAGCAATGTTTTTCATTGTAACCCAAAGATGGAAGCAATACAACTGTCCACCAACTGAAGAATGAAGAAATAAAATGGTTATATAAAGCCCGGGTGCGGTGGCTCACACCTGTAATCCCAGCATTTTGGGAGGCCGAGGCAAGCAGATTACTTGAGGTCAGGAGTTCGAAACCAGCCTGGTCAACATGGTGAAACCCCGTCTCTACTAAAAATAAAAAACTTAGCTGGGTGTGGTGGTGCACACCTGTATCCCAGCTACTCAGAAGGCTGAGGTGGGAGAATTGCTTAAGTTCAAGAGGTCAAGGCTGCAGTGAGCCATAATCACATCACTACACTCCAGCCTGGGCAACAGAGCAAGACCCTGTCTCAAAATTAAAAAATATTTAAAAATCAGAATTCTGTACAGAAATATACTGTACATGGCTCACATGCCCCAGATTGATCTGCCGAGAGTACACTGTAGACAGGACAGATTTACCTCGCTATCAGAACCAAGGCAATCGATTAGATATATAGCTTCAGGAAAGCTCAGTATTAAACTGTCATTTTGTCAATAAAACGTTATTTCATCAATATAATGTCTGTGTGCCTGAATGTTTCTGCATAATTAATTCTGCAGATGCATTAAGGAATGTTATACACAATATTAATCAAAAAGTAGTGTCAATAGGAGGGTACTATATAACCCAGATGTAAAGATTACAAACCTTCCTGAAAGCTGTATTCCCACTGAGACTCTTCTCATTTAGAAATATTTGTGGGGTTTTTTTGTTTTTTGTTTTGTAAAATTGCAATTTACAAAATTAGTCAAGGAGAAAACAATTAGAGTAATACAGAGAAACCTCTTGGGAAATTAATGTTCTTAACGAAACATTGTCTAGTAGTTGGAAAGACGGAGATGGCAGTGTCACCTACACCTGTGAGGTCCTAGCGCTGTCCCCTCGCCTGGCCACACCAGCACTACCCCATGCTGTCCTCCAGCTGTCGCAGAGCAGACACAGCCCCGCCACTCTTAGAGGGACCCACAGGTGCCCCTATTGCACAGGCTGAGGCCGAGTCAGCCCAAAGCCCTGGGTGTCTGTCCAGCACCCTGGAAATGTTCCAATTTGCTCCACAGTTGTTTCAGAGCCTAGCACCGCCTGACTATTGTAGATGGGCAGGGATTTGGGAGTGGTAGGGGAAAAGTAATCCGGCCCCCAACAAAACTGGCCCCAGCTCCTGCCCCCCTTGACAGTGCTCCCCAAGTCCTAGTTCCTCTTCTGATTTCTCCTCCGCCCTGGGGCTCTCAGCATCCCTGCTTCTCTCCTGATCTCCACAGCCAGCTCACTCCTGCCTCCCACCCCACGTCCTGGGCCCAGGTCCCACCGAGGGATCTCTATCACCATGGCCCTGCAAGCCCAGGCTCTGCTCTTTCAGGCCCTCATCGCGATGGCCGCGGCTTTCCACAGGGAAACCTGCTGTCCTCATCTAGAATCCACAAGGACAGAGGAGGGGGTGAGAATTCCCGTGCAGATGGACAGAAAGGGGCTTTGGGATGTACCCAGGGCCTCCTTAATGAGGTCCTAGTGTTTGGTTAATCCATGGGGAGGGTGTTAGGCTGAAGGCTCAGCCCTGGCCAGGCCTGGAGCACAGCAAGGTGTGACTGAGAGGCCACAGGAAGCCCCGCCCTGGACAGTGGGGCCTGGCACAGGTCCTGCGGCCCCAGTCAGCACCCCCGGACACCTGTGGGCGCTGAGCACTGAGGCCTTGCCTGCCACCCACATTGTCATTTCTCAGCCTATGACGGAGCTGCCGCCTGGCTGGGGTCACACTCCAGACACCCGGCAGAGTGAGGTCCCTGACTCCCAGGCTGTGAGCCTGGGCTTTGCCACCACACACTCTGCTGCCCTGGGCAAGTTCCTCTTCTGTTTGTGCATCTGAGAAGCAGGGGTGATGATAATAATGCCGACTGTGCAGCCGACGAGACAAGACACTGCCATGTGTTTCAAACAGTGTTGGGTTGCTGTAAGCTGCCAGTCGATGTTGGCCGTTGTCGTTGGGCTGGGGCTGAGGCGCCCTGTTCTCTCGGGGCTGGGCCCTCCTTGTGCAGGAGACTCAGACTCGTGCTGTGGACCTTGGCTTTGCAGTCAAACACACTTGAGCCCTCATCCTGGCTCTGCTGCCCCAGCTCTGTGGCTCTGGGCGAGTCACCCCTCCAAGCGCTTCCCTCTGAGGGAATGCCAGGTCCTGCTCTGCTTCCTGTGACTTTCTGTGGTTAGTAAAAGCCTGCGTTGGAAAGGGTGAAAGCAGTGACCGGGGGCAGCGTCAGGAGATGCCTCCCTCCAGGATCTCAGCAGTCAGCAGCCCGAGATGCAGGCTCACCACAGAGACCCCCAGGAGAATGAATGGGAGGGGCCGAGCCCTGGACTCCGGCAGCCAAAAGCCAAGGAACACGTGGCTAGACCTCCAGAGAGCAGAGCCCTGCAGACCGCCCCGCCCAGGCACCTGTGCCTCCCAAGCCCCGCCTGAGCCCCAGGTGATTCTCACTTCACCCTGAGCAGCCCTGAAAGAAACCAGCAAGTCAGGCGCAGACTGCGTGTGATCACTTTACCAGGCGGGTGATTTTTTAAATTAATTAATTAATGTATTTATTTATTTATTTAGAGATGGAGTCTCACTGTCACCCAGGTTGGAATGCAATGGTGCGATCTCGGCTCACTGCAACCTCTGCCTCCTGGGTTCAAGCAATTCTCCTGCCTCAGCCTCCTGAATAGTTGGGACTACAGGCACACACCACCACACCCTGGTAATTTTTTTGTATTTTTAGTAGAGACAGGGTTTCACCATATTGACCAGGCTGGTCTCAAACTCCTGACCTCAAGTGATCTGCTGCCTTGGCCTCCCAGAGTGCTGGATTACAGGCATGAGTCACCGCGTCCAGCCAGGCAGGTGATTTTAGACAGGTCATCTCATTTCTCTGAGCCTCAGTCTCTTGATCTGTAAAATGGGGCAACTATAGAATCAACTCATGGAAATATGAGGAGTAGATGAGGCAATGTGCTTTGACCAATGTGCTTTGACCACAGTCTGGCGTGGAGTTAAGACAAATAGCTTTAGCTTCTGGTTTCCAATTTCAGTTTTTAGGCACACATACCCGTACAGATTCCCACCACCACCATCAGCTACAATAAATTCATAGAAAATAGAACATATCCTGCCAGGAGAGCGAGGTGAGCCAGCGAGTGTACATTCTCATGATGTGCTGGGTGTTCCGATGTATTTTCAATGTTCCCAGCATCCCCGTTAGGACTGACACATATCATCTCCATTTACAGATAAGATAAGGAAACTGATGCTAAGAAGGATTGGCGAGCTTGTCCGAGGTCCCATCACAACCTGCAGTGACAGCCACTGGGACCTAGACCTGCCTGGCTTCAAAGCCAGGCTCCCTCTCCCAAGCTGCACTTCTCCCCACAGCAATGACACAACGCCCAGGCTGTATAGGAAACACAGACATGCGTGTTCTCACCTTCTTCGCACACATCACTAACTTCTAAGATCCTGTTCTGAGACTCTTTAACACAGATTTGGTCATTTATATTTCTATTTTGCAACGGAGTCCTAAAATTTTAAAAGCCACATTTTGGCCAGGCACAGTGGCTCATGCCTGCAATCCCAGCACTTTGGGAGGTGGAGGTGGGAGAATCGCTTGAGCCCAGGAGGTCAAGACTGCAGTGAGCCGTGATCGCACCACTGCACTCCAGCCTGGGTGACAGAATGAGGCTCTGTCTCAAAAATAAATGATTTATTAATGTAATTTAATAAAAAAGAAAAAGTCATATTTTTTGGAAAATTATATATTTTTATTCACAACTATAAGATAAGGATATTGCAGCATTATTTTACATTTGTTTTTCTTTAATATTTTCAGAGACTACACTTAAATGTGTTTTAATATAAAAACCAACATTGCATTAATAAAGGGCAGATAGCACTTTTGGAGGCTGAGGTGGGTGGATCATGAGGTCAGGAGATAGAGACTATCCTGGCTAACATGGTGAAACACCGTCTCTACTAAAAATACAAAAATTAGCCGAGCATGGTGGTGGGCACCTATAGTCCCAGCTACTCAGGAGGCTGAGGCAGGGGAATCGCTTGAACCCAGGAGGCGGAGGTTGCAGTGAGCCAAGATCGTGCCACTGCACTCCAACCTGGGTGACAGAGCAAGACTTTTTCTCAAAAAATAAAAAATAAACGGCAGATAGGTGCTCAATTGTGGATCGCTCGATGCAGTCTTTTAAAACCTCTTTAGGGCCGGGCATGGTGGCTCACGCCTGTAATCCCAGCACTTCGGGAGGCTGAGGCGGGTGGATCATGAGGTCAGGAGATTGAGACCATCCTGGCTAACACAGTGAAACCCCGTCTCTACTAAAAATACAAAAAATTAGCTGGGCACGGTGGCTGGCACCTGTAGTCCCAGCTACTCGGGAGGTTGAGGCAGGAGAATGGTGTGAACCTGGGAGGTGGAGCTTGCAGTGAGCTGAGATTGTGCCACTGCACTCCAGCCTGGGCAACAGAGCGAGACTCCATCTCAGAAAAAAAAAAAAAAAAAAAAACCTCTTTAGGTGGCAAGACAGATATTATTAACTCTGTGTATCATTAAAAGGCTCATGTTTGAATCAAATGGTTCTTATTAATTTATTAAATGAAATTCGCCATCATTACAGTCCCTTTCAAAAGAATAATTGTATTATCAATATATTTCCCATCAAATATTCCTAGGAGCTTACAACTACCTATAGCTCTATATTCATGGTCTGAATGAGGTCCTATGTGTTAAACATTTTATCTTCTGCATCTGATGCCCTTTATCATCTAAAAATGTTTTATAATAGTTTGGGGAAGGCAAACTCTCTTTTTTTTCTTTCTTTTTTTTTTTTTTTTTGAGACAGAGTCTCACTCTGTCGCCCAGGCTGGAGTGCAGTGGCGCAATCTCGGCTCACTGCAAGCACCGCCTCCCGGGTTCACGCCATTCTCCTGCCTCAGCCTCCTGAGTAGCTGGGACTACAGGCGCCCGCCACCACGCCCGGCTAATTTTTTGTATTTTTAGTAGAGACGGGGTTTCACCATGTTAGCCAGGATGGTCTCGATCTCCTGACCTTGTGATCCGCCTGCCTCGGCCTCCCAAAGTGCTGGGATTACAGGTGTGAGCCACCGTGCCCAGCCAACTCTCTCTCTTAAGCTATAGGCCATCAATTAAAAGGAGCGCTGTTTTGATGTATGTAAGTTGTGCCATGATTCCTCTGCATATTTTCTGTCTGTGGAGGAGCCCAGCAAGCATTTCCCCTTAGGTGATCTAAGTATGAAAGATTCACTAACAAACAATAAGTGTAGAGTGGTGATCACTCAGAATGATGGAAAGGTGACAGTGATGCTGATGACGAGAGTATGTTAATAAAAGGTTTCCTAAATTGCTCCTTAACTAAATCAATAAATCCCAACCTAGGGTGTCCAGGTCTCTAGGCACCTAGGAAGGTAGCCATGGGGAAGGGGAGGGCAGTGTCTTCCAGGTAATTCCCATATGTTATTTATAAAAGCTTAATTGAAATCCTGCGCTCTCTCTTCAAGAGGTGGCCTTAGCTAGTCTTCGGAATCTCTGGTTGGAAATGGAGTTAGCTTGCCTCAGTGCAGGATGTGTGTTCTCCCTCTCATGTGGACAAGATGCTCAATATAGATTTAATTAATTGTTTTAAAGCAATGCATTATTTTAAATACAGCTTGGTATGCAAGTATAAGGTTATTAGGGGAAAAAAAGGGGGTCTTTCATGGTGCAAAGTTTAAGCAGCAACCAAATGAATTCTAGAAAGATCATATACAGACAAATTAAGAAACAATTATGGCCAGGTGTGGTGGTTCATGCCTGTAATCCCAGCACTTTAGGAGGTAGAGGCGAGAGGATCATTTGAGCTCAGGAGTTTGAGACAAGCCTGGACAACATAGCAAGATCTCATCTCTATTTAAAAAAAAAACGATTTATAATGAACATCAAAACACATAGGTTACAAATTCTCATTACTAAGTATCTGGCTAAGAAACCAGAGGGGAAAAAACCCACGAATTTGAAAAGACCAAATAAAATGAACTAGTAATGAGTTAATTTTAATAGTTTATATTAAATATTAATAGCTTAGCAAATCACCACTCACCATTTAGAAAACGCTGGCCTACACCCTGTAGACTATTCTAGAACAAGAATGTTATTCTATGCTATTGAAAAAGAATAGGTCCTAGTTATTTGAGAACCAATATAATGTTCACCCCCAACCTCCAAGGACACTTCACTGTCTTTTCCCTTCCCTGTCCTCTTAAAAATAAAGGGCAGCATTGATATACTGACTTTACCTATGTACATCAAAAGCCCTGAAAACCATGCAACGTCCACAAACACATCAAAAATGAGGCAAGCATTTCTGTGATTAAGGGAGAAATGTCACTCTAGGAATGTCTTGTGCTGTTTCACCGATGAAGGGGACAGGGTCGTGGAAGGTGGGGACTCAGCCCAGGCGCAGGGGAAGTCCTCCCACTGTGGCCTTCCCGTAGGCTGAGCCTGCCGGCCTCGTCTGCAGCAACCAGAAGACCAGTGAGAACACGGTCCATAAAGAGCTACTGGCTTGTTCAACGACTCACGAGGTTTTTATGGAATGCTTACATTTTGAATTTTAGAAGCTAAAGACAAAAACCCAAAAAGCAGTCAGCCAGCGATTTTTGCAGGACATCTGTTTTCTTTGGCTCTCGTGAGAACACCCAACTGTAGGATTTTGAAGCTTGGTGGCTTTAGGTGAAATGCAAGGTCGTGCCAGGTTGATTTAGTGCATTATTAGCTGTTTATACAGTACTGAAGCAGCACATGACGTATGAAAAATGACTTTCCGATCTCAGGGAATAAATCAGGACTAGCAAGTGATTCCACTTAATACTTAACTTTAGCGAGTAAAATATTACACCTGTTATTATTCAGGGCAAACACAGCCCCTTCCATTTGTTTATTGAGGAAACAATTTATTTGAGGACATTTAATTGCAATAGTGAAACCTGACTTGGGGGGTTAATCCCAGTTTATCGATGCAATTAAAAGCAGTGTGTGCTGTGTCTCGTATTTATTATCTAGGGGTAGAATGTTGACACAACCCCGGTGTCGAGATGGGTGTGCTTGAGAGTATCTGCGCTGTGCGAGGTGTAAGGTGGATGTTGCGTCATGTGTACAGCAAACACAACTCTATTCTGTGTCAGCGTTTGCATAACCTAATTGGGGAAAGGCTTCTAATTTGATTTTACTTGGAGCAATATAGGTTCAAATTGTTATATAGATCCAGCATTGTTTGGTTTCTTGTCAATGATTCATGGTATTTTAATGCCCAGCAGGCAAATACTAAAGCTTCTCATCACACATTTGGCAGTATTCCACAATTCCCTTGGCCTGAATTCCGCCCCCTTTTTTCTTTCCCCACCACTAGATCCCCATCCTCCCATATCTCAGATGTTGCTGCCTCTGGTCTAAGTCAGTTCCTGGTGTCTGCTCCCTCACAGCTTGTTGAGGCCTGTGTCCCTTGCACACACCCAGGTCGGACGTTCTGACTGGGGAGTGTGAAGGCTGTGTCACTTCCCCTCTGTCCCTTCCTGGGATCCATCATGAAAGGCAGCCAGAGAAGGCAATTTCAAAGATTTTAAAAACTTCTCTATTGGCCAGGCGCGGTAGCCCCGCCTGTAATCCCAGCACTTTGGGAGGCCAGATCACGAGGTCAGGAGTTCGAGACCAGCCTGGCCAACATAGTGAAAGCCTGTCTCTACCAAAAATACAAAAATTAGTCAGGTGTAGTGGCACGTGCCTATAGTCCCAGCTACTTGGGAGGCTGAGGCGAGAGAATCACTTGAACCCGGGAGGCGGAGGTTGCAGTGAGCCAAGACCACGCCATTGTACTCTAGCCTGGGGGTGACAGAGTGAGACTCCATCTCAAAAAAAAAAAAAAAAAAAAAAACCTCCCTTTTAGGGACCACTTCCCAACTCATTTTACAAGTCTACTATTTTGCTGACATCAAAGCCAGATAACGACACAGCCAGAAGAGAAAATGACAGACCAATATCCCTGATAAACATGGATGGAAAAATCCGCAACAAAACACCAGCAAACTGAATTCAACAGCACTTTAAAAGGATCATTCCCTGTGATCAAGTGGGATTTATCTCTGGATGCAACGATGGTTCAATATTACAAATCAATAAGTACAATATACCACATTAACAGAATGAAGGACAAAAACCATATGATCATCTCATTCGATGAATAAAAAGTGTTTAACAAAACTCAACATCCTCTCATGATAAAAAAAAATTCAACAAATTATGTATAAGGTAGAAGGAACGTGCGTGCCTCAATATAGTAAGGACCATATATGAAAAGCTCACCGCTAGCATCATACTCAATGGTGAAAAGCTGAAAGCTTTTCCTCTAAGATCAGGAACAAGACAAGGATACCCACTGTCACTGCTTCTATTCAACATTGTCCTGGAAGTCCTAGCCTAGCCAGGGCAATTAGGCAAAAGAAAGAAATAAAGAGCATCAAATAGGAAAGGAGGCAGTAAAATTGTCTCTGTTTGCAGATGACATGATCTTATGCACAGAAAACCCTGAAGACTCCACAAAAAACTGTTAGAACTGATCAACAAATTCAGTAAAGTTGACGGATACAAAATCAACAAACATAAATCAGTAGCCTTTCTATACACTACGAACTGTCTGAAAAGGAAATTAAGAAAATGATCCCATTTACAATAGCATCAAAAAGAATAAAATACTTCCATGTAAATTTAACCAAGGAGGCGAAAGATCTGTGTAATAAAACCTATAAGACACTGAAGAAAGAAATCAAAGAAGGCTACAAATAAGTGGAAAGGCATCCCCTGTTCGTGAATCAGAAGACTTAATATTGTTAAAATGTCGGTACTACCCAAAGCAATCTACAAATTCGATGCAATCCCTGTCAAAATCCCAATGACATTTTTTGTATAAGTAGAAAAAACAATCCCAAAATTCATATGGAACCACAAAAGACCCCAAATAGCCAAAACAGTCTTGAGAAAGAAGAACAGAGCAGGAGGCATTCCATTTCCTGATTTCAAACTCCATTGTAAACCTATGTGATAAAAATGAGCATGGTTCTGGCATAAAAACAGACACATAGACCAATGGAACAAAATCTAGGGCCTAGAAGTAAACCCACACATATACGGTTAACTGATATTTTTTCTACTTTATTTCCTATAGAGATGGGGTCTCACTAAAGCGCCTAGTCTGATCTTGAACCCCTAGGCTCAAGTGATCCTCCCATCTCAGTCCACCAAGTAGCTGGGATTACAGCACGTAACACCATGCCTGGCTCAGGTTAACTAATATTTGACAAGGATGCCAAGAATAGACAATGGGGAAAGTATTATCTCTTCAATAAACGGTGTTGGAGAATAGATACACACAAGCATAAGAATAAACCTTGACCCTTATCTTACACCACTCACAAACATTAACTCGAAATGGATCAAAGGCTTAAATGTAAGACCTGAAATGGCAAAACTCCTAGAAGAAAACACGGGAGAAATCTCATTGATATTGATCTTGGCAATGATTTTTGGATTTGACACCAAAAGCACAGGAAACAAAAGCAAAAATGAAGTAGGGCAATTTCATCACATCAGAAAGCTTTTGCACAGCAAAGAAAGCAGTCAACAAAATGGAAAGACAACCTATGGAATGGGAGGAAGCATTTGCAAACCACATATCTGATAAAAGGTTGATATCCAAAATATATCAGTAGCTCATACATCTCAATAGGAAAAAAAAAGTAATAATCTGACGTTAACACGGATAAAGGGCCTGAATACATATTTTTCCAAAGGAGACATACAAATGACCAACATGTACACAAAAAGGTGCTCAATGCCACTAACCATCAGAGAAATGCACATCAAAATCACAAGCAGCACTTTACACCTGTTAGCATGGCTGTTATCAAGAAGACAATAGGTAAGTGCTGGTGAGGGTGGAGAGAAAGAGGAATCCCCTACGCAGCTGGTGGGAATAGGAATTAGTGCAGCCATTACGGGAAACAGCTTGGAGTGTCCTCAAAAAATTCAGAATGAGAACTACCATATGACCCAGCCATCCCGCTTCTGGGTTTGTGCCCAAAAGAAACAAAGTCAATATCTCAAAGAGACATCTGCACTCCCATCGTTATTACAGCATTATTTGCAATAGCCACATCATGCAATAATCTGTCTACCAACAAATGCATGGAAAGAAAATGTGATACACACACACACACACACACACACAGGAATATTATTCAGCCATAAAAAAGGATGACATCCTGCCATTTGTGATGGCATGGATGAACCTTGAGGGCCTTATGCTAAGTGAAGTAAGTCAGACAGAAAAAGACAAAACACTGCATGATCATGAACAAATACTTGTTTTTGTTTGTTTTTTGAGACACGGTCTTGCTCTGTAACCCAGACTGGAGTGCAGTGGTGTGATCATAGCTCACTTCACCCTCAGACTCCCGGGCTGAGGTGATCCTCCCACCTCAGCCTCCCAAGTAGTTGGAATTACAGGCATGTACCACCATGCCTGGCTAATTTTTTATTTTTAATAGAGACAAGGTCTCACTATATTGCCCAGACTGGTCTCCCTTAAATGTGGAATCTAAAAAAGTCAAATTCATAGAAGCAAAGAGTAGAATGATAGGCCAGGGGCGGTGGCTCACGCCTGTAATCCCAGAACTTTGGGAGGCCAAGGCGGGTGGATTATCTGAGGTCAGGTGTTCAAGACCAGACTGGCCAACATGGCAAAACCCTGTCACTACTAAAAATACAAAAATTAGCTAGGCATGGTGGTTCATGCCTGTGATCCCACCTACTTGGGAGGCTGAGGCAGGAGAGTCGCTTGAACCTGGGAGGTGGAGGTTGCAGTGAGCTAAGATCATGCCACTGCACTCCAGCCTGGGAGATGAGAGAGACTCCATCTCAAAAAGAAAAAAAAAGAGTAGAATGATAGCTGCCAGGAGAGGGAGGAGCAGGGGGAGCGGGAGGGGAATGGGAAGATATTAGAGGGCGCAAACTTTTAGTTCTAAGATGAATAAGCTCTGGAGACTGTAGTTAATACTGTATTGTATACTTGAAATTTACTGAGATATTTAAATGTTCTCACCAGAAAAAAAGAAAAAGGTAACTATATGAGATTAACTAACTTGATTGTGATAATCATTCATAATATATATGTATGTCAAATCATCACATTGTATACTTTAAATATATAGAATTTTATTTGTCAATTATACTTTAACAAAGCTGGCTTAAACAAAAGTTCTCTCCTCCCCTATTGGTTATGATTTGTGTTTTTCTGGTTACATTTCTGTAGTTTTTATTTTGGCTTTTAAATTTTTATCTTTATTGTGTTTATGTTTAATATTTGCCTACCAGTAGTTAGGAAACATTTCCTTATGTAACTTGGCTACATTAGGTTATGAAATGAAGCTGATCTTCCCTGAGGTTTTTCCATCTTCTCCCTTTCCCTCTCAGTCCCACAGTTTTATAACCTCTCCGTTTGTCCCAGCCATCTCCTGCCTTCGGATGCCATTAGTTTGCGTATTTTGCGACTGTGTCCTGATGCCCGACTGTAAGCTGCCTGGGAAGGTGCTCCAAGTAGACAGGTGGTTGGAGCCAACTCCTGAATGACACGGAAACGGGCTGAGCTGGTAGTGTGGCCAGAGTTCTCATCAGAAATGTGCAAACTTCATCCTGTCTACAGGATGCAAATTATCTCTGTGTACAAGGTAATGGTTAATAAAATGACAAACCAGGGCCACAAGCAGGACATCGTCTTGTTGCACAGAACAGAAAAATGGAAGATGCGGGCTGTTTCCCACGCATCCCCATGTCCTTTTCCCTTTGAAGGACTCTGGGAAACACACTCTATGATATGCCCCATCGTGCGGAAACAGCAGGCTTTAAGTCTGACTTCCCAGAGCACTGCTTCCTTCCCCACTCTGGTCTCTGTGTCCAGGATTTGCTGATGTTCTCTGGTTTTTCACAGGTGCACACTTTCCTCCTCCAAGGAGGCATTCAGTTCCTTGAGCACGGAAAGGGCATTCTAAGCACCTCCTTATCCTTCAGTATCAAGTGGGTCACACAAAGCACTTGCTGACCTGAACCACGTTAAATAGCCTCGTTGGAGCCTTGAGATTAGAAGAGTGCAGGCCAGTGTCACTCACAGCAGGGGGAGGGGCCGCCTCACATGCCCAGCAGGTGTGGCCTCAGCCAGCGCTCACGCACTCAAGTCTGGCAGGTCACCCTTGGGCTGGCCTCTTAGCTATAGCTCCGATCACGTTCAGATGGAGTGGAGAGATGGAAAGAAAGCTAGTCATTTTCCCAGGGTGGACCAGGGGCTGCTGGGGGGAGGCTGGGCCGATTTCTGCAGATTTCAGCCATCCAGTGCTCTTTAATTGCCAAGGACTCCTTTTCCCCTTTAACCCGTACGTAGACAATAGAAGCTAACATTCAGTAAGAGAAGATGAGCAAATGTTGAATTTACCCCCCCAGATGGACTCGGGTGCACACAGGAAGATGGTCAGCTGTTGAGATCCTGCTGGGAATGGCCAGCCTGCGGTTGCAGTGTTAGAGATTTCTGGGAGTCTCTGACCTTCTCCTGCTAGACCACAGCGTCCTTCTCTCCCCTTCCATCTTAGCCAGCGGCCCTGAAGGAATGGCTGCTAGCTTCAGTTGACCTGAAATCCTCCTCTCCCCTCAAAAAAAAGCCATTGTGTAACAGCAGGCATTCTCCCCAGAGGGACAATTTCTAGAAGGGGCGCTGGATGGGAGTCAGGAGTCAGGCCCTGCTCCGGCCACAGGACCCTCGGCAAGGCGCAGCTTCTTTCCCCTTTCCGACCTGGCCTCTAGGTCCATATTTAAAACGGTAAAATTCTCCGCAAGGCGTGCCAGCCCCATCCCTGCCTGCAAAGAGCAAAGCTAGGGACCAGGAAGGAACCTTTCGGGGTTGAAGGGAAGGGCTCCCTCCTCCCCTGACCGGGGGAGGCTGCCCCGGGAGAAGCCGGGGGCAGGTTCACGATTCCCAGTGAATCTCACCTCCCCACCTTTTAGGACGCGGGTCATGAGGAAAACGGGGGTCTCCTTGCTCTGGGAAGAAGAAACCCAAGGTGACGGCGCGCTTACTATTCCGGGGAACCCTTTCCACTCTAGGAGTCTTGGGCCTGAAGGATCAGCTGCTTAGAAATTCACGCAGTAGACAGGTTTCTCCCTGCAGGGAGGGCGAGGCTGAGGGGCTCCCAAGACCCCGGCGGGAGGAAACCCGGAGGAAAACCGCCCCGCCGGCTCTCGGAGCCCGGAAAAGGCCACGGCTTCCAGCCACTGCGGCCGGGGTTGGGGTGGCAGGGCCCGGCAGCGATGCGGACACGGGGAGCCGCCATCCCCCGCTAGGAAAACGCGGGGCGAGGCAGCCTATGGGAACCGGCGAGTCGGCCAGGTGCTGACGCCCTCCACGCCCCAGACCTTGGGCCGCCGAGCGCCACGCTGAGCTGGGGGGCACCGCGCAAGGCCCGCGGGGACCTGGTGCTCACCCGCAGCAGGAACGGGCGGCGGCCGGGGCCCCTCCCAGCTGCCCTCTTCCCTCGGGCCAGGCGGGGCCGCCGGGGCACCTGTGGCCGGGCCCGCGGGCCGAGCTTGGGGCTGAGGCGGAGGGCGGGGCCCGGCACCGGGCGGGCGCGCAGATGCGAAGCAGCGGGCGCCGGCACAACGCGCAGCCCCATAAATCCGCCCGGGAGGAATCCGTGACTTCGTCAATTAAGGAAAAGTGGAGCCCCGCTCCCGTTGAAGCCGAACTCGGGCAGACGGCTGGGAAGCCTGTGGGGGTGGGGGCTGAGCGCAGCCCGGGTGTCCGCGCCGCGCAGCTCGCAAAAGCAAAGGTGCGCCCCTCGGTGCGGGGCTGCTCAGGCGCCTGCGAAGAGGTCGAGGGGGGCTGCCGAGAGGAGACACGGTCTTTTAAAAAGTGATTTTAAAGTTTTGTAGGGCAGCAAGAAGGGAGGGGGTGGAACTGACGTGCTCGGGTAGGGGAGCCCGGCCTGGCGCCCCTCTTGGCCTGCACCCCCGAACCAGGCCCAGGCCCAAGCCCAGGCCCGCCGGGCTCTCCCTGCGCGGATCCGCCCGGGGAGGGGAACCGCGGAGCGGCACGGGCCAGCCATCCCTCTGCGGTGCGAGCGAGGCCTACGGGGAGGCTGGGGAGTCACCGCTCTCCTAGCCCGTGGAAACACAGTGCAGCTCAGGTGTCTCGTAGGAACGCGGCGCTGGGCCCCTCTGCGGGGTCTTCTTATCCCAGAACCACTGGGCTGGGACCAAGTCTTCAACAGAAAGAATTCCAAGTAAAGGCCCAGGCCGGACGCTATGGGCTGCCCGACCCTTGGCCCCGGGCAGCAAGAGGCGCCTGCGGGAGCCCCCGGGAGGGTCCCGCGTGGTGCCCACCTGCCCCAGGAAGGATCTGCGAGGAGGCCGGGTGGCGCATCCTGGCCAGATGTTTAAGACAGATGAGGAACGAGTAGTTAAAACCCACATTATATAGTCCTGTCGGGTATAAAATTGCATGTGCTGACCCATATATTCTAACTGGAAACGGACTCAAGTCACTTAAAATATTGCAACGTCGATAGGACTAATTAATTGGAAATAAGAAACGAAAGAATACAATTAAACGAGAAGAGAATCATTTTCTAATTTAATAGAGGGACATTTATAAAGATCACAAGCTAAAAGGCATCGAATGATTCTATCGACATTCTATTAAATCAGCCCCCGCGGTCTGCGTGGGGAGGAGGGCTCCAGGAGTGCCGAGTCCTGGACCTGGGTTCGGTGGCCGCCTGGAGAAGCTCCTGCTACGAACCGAACGTTTGCGCCGATCGGACGCGGCCCTTTCTGCAGAATTTACTCTTCTCAGCCCGAGGCTCAGACCCAGCTACTCAGACCGCCCCAGCCGGGAGAATCCTGCCTCCCTGCCCGGGAGTCCCCGGTTCGCAGATATATTACAACAAAATTACTAATTGGAAAATGAAATTGTCAATAAAGCATACCCCCCGCGTATACAATATCCTTAAATATTAAGATATTTTATTAGACCCATTTCCTAACAATAATTTATTGCAATAAAACAGACACCGCAGGTCCCCTTAAATTGTCTTTTCATAATGAATAAATTTAAGGGGGCTAATTAATATATAAACTAGCCCAATTTGTCAAGTTGATTTGTATTTTAGTTAATTGTGAAAGTAATTACCACATGGTCAAATTAACAGCTTTCTGGAAATGACCAAGCCTGAGGTTTTATTTCCTTCCTGGGTGAAGAAAATTCATTTTTCCAAGCTCTTGATGTGATGAATAAAAGTCATAAATCTGGGTGATTGGTGCAGGCAGAGTCTAAATGGCTTCATATTTCATTTTAGGTTTAATAGAAATATTCATGCTCTGTTTTAATGAAATTAAATTGAAGGGGGATGGGGCCGGGAGGTGGCAGTGGCCGGGGGCTTAAAGGGACAACGCACATTTTCCTTCCCCGCCCCTGAGCCAGGGCGTTGGGGTCACCTCCGCCGGCGGCGGCCGATGGGCTCACTCCTGCCAGCGGGAGCCGAGGGATACCTGGGAGGGCCCTTCCTGCAGCCGCTCACCTGAAGCGCAGGTAGAGCCAGCTACTGGAACCTCAGCCCAGGTGCCCTCGGGCGCGCCCAGCTCCCTCCCACGAGCTTGCGAAGTCACTGAGCAAGTAGGAGTCTGCGCTGGGTGCGGGTTTGATCCCCTTCTGCCTGTCCCCCAAGCTCAGGCCCGCGCTGCCCGGGGTGGGGGGGTCCTAGGGTCCTGCACTCTTCCCCTTAGGTCGCCTCATGGGGACGCGTAGGAGAGATTCGTGGCCGCGGACACTGCGCGGTTCCCAGCTCCCTCCCTCATGCCCTCGCTCTCCACCGCCCTGTGACCTCCAGCTAGGCTCCGCCTCGCGTGGAAACTGTCCCCGACCGAGCCCAGACGCCAGGGCCGGAGCCTTGGAGCCATAGCGCGGAGCCGCACAGGCGCTGCTCCACCTGCAGAGAAAGAGAAGTTTCCGGACACAGTTATGTGCATCCGGGTCGTGGTGCTCGGAGTTAAGGGGGGCCACGCTGTCAGCCCCTCTGCGAACCTCGGGGGAGGCCCGAGGTCCGTCGGGGCGTCCCTCGGCTCCAGGACTGTCCTTGCCGGGCCGGGCCCCTTAATGGAGCTGATCTGTGACTTGTTGATTTCCCCTGAGCAAATAAGGCTTTGATGCAGTTCCAGCAAGAGTGGTTAGCTGATGAATTGACAAAAACTAATCAGCTTTATTGGGAAACAGGTTAAGGGCACGGGCGTGTCAATAACTCTCAGCCTGACCCCCTCGTCCATTAGCTCAGGCAGGCTGATTAGAGTAAGAAGACCCTCTCGCAGTTTGCGCTGAAATCGCTTCCATAAACTCACCATTATTAGCAGTCGATGCGAGCAGCTCATTTAGAGAAGACATCGCAGGCACGCCACATCTATCATCCGGGTTTATGGATCATTATCTCATTTACAGAATGTCGCAGGGTAATATGTTTTTGGCAATAGGCTTGGCCCCGCGCCTGGGCTGGCCGCTCTCTTTTCAGCAGCGTCCCCGGGACCTCCTTCCCCAGCGCCCGGCCTGGAACTCCGCGTGGACGCTTCTCAGGCGGGAAGGGAGGACTGGAAGCCACCCTACACGTGCGCTCTCGCACGCGCGCACCCAGGGCGCACGCTCCTGACACGCTCGCCCACGCGCTCGCCGCAGTCCGGCGTGCCCGGCTGTGAGCCCCGAGGGCCGGCGCGGCAAGCGCCCCTCCAGCAAGCCCCTAGCTCCGAGCCCAGTGTTAGGAGTTGCTCCAACCTCGGAGCCCGGTGCGAGTTCGGGGTTCTGCTCGGGCACCCGCATACCCCAAGCTTGGGTGGCAGCGCAGGTGGCCAGGTGCGTCCCAAGCGGTGCGCGGGCTGCGCTTACCTGTGCCTGAAGGCGACGGCCTCCCTGCTTAGGCCTCAGCCCGCTCGGCCGCGGAGGCCTGGGTGCCCCGGGACCGTCTGTCCCTAGGAAAGCCCCTCTCTACCCTCCCGGCTCCCGGCTCAGCGGGCCTGACCTTCCCTCCCCTGGGCGTGCCGCTCCCCTCCTCCCGGGCTGCGGCTCCGGGGGCCCAGATGCACCCAGGCGCCGGGAGTGGGCCACCTGTTCCGCCGGGTAATTATTTTAATGTAAGGGGCCCAGAGTCACCGGGTTCGCGCCTCTAGCAGCGACAGAAGGCGGCGGGGCTGAGGAACCTTCTCCAGCCTTTCAATGGAATTTCCCAGATGGGCCGAGGGGAAGCCGGGGCGGGTCACCAGGGGCCCTTTAACGAGTTCATTAGCCAAATTATCTTGCCTGCAGCACAGGGCCCCGGAGACTGCGGGGAGGGTGGGAGCAGAGGGCTGGAGGGTCTTTCTCCCTCCCACCTCGGTCTCTGCAGAAACAGCGGAGAGGGGCCTGTGTACAGAAGACAAGAGAAAAGACCCAGCCGGCCCAGCTGTTGCAAGAAAGGATCCCAGTGTGCGTTTCTGCTGCAAACACGACACCCCCTGTTGTTCCACTGGGAGGAGCCCAGCCCAGTCAAAGGCCAAGTGGGAAAATAAATTACTAGAATCACGCAACAAGGAGGTTATAATATAATAACTAATGCCATCAACCCCGATTATGGACGCAGCCCTGGTCTACGGGGCTTGTGGTCAGAGCTGGTGACACTCTTCGTGCCTGGGTCCTCAGCCGGTTTGCCCCTCGGTGAGGCAGAGGGCGGCCCATGCTGCTCCCAGGTGTGGTGTAAGCACTGGCTGAGGCTGCAGAAGGCCGCTGAAACCCCTGAGCATCTGGGGCCTCCTGGCAGGGATGGGCACTCTAGTGGCTCGGGAACTGTCCAGAGTCCATCTTAAATCTGCCCCCACCCCACACACCCTTACTCTGTGTGTGACGGTGGCTTCTCCATGTCCACATTCTCTCTGGTAAAATATTCCCAGTTCAAATGGTGAGGTGGGCAGCAGGTTCTTTTTTTCAGACAGTCTTGCTCTGTGGCCCAGGCTGGAGCGCCATGGTGCAATCCTAGCTCACTGCAGCCTCACCTCTACCCCTGGGCTCAGGCGATTCTCCTGTTCCAGCCTCCCAAGTAGCTGGGACCACAGGCACATGCCACCGCACCGGCTAAGCAGCGGGCTCTTGGCAGATTAGCTTCCCAACCCAGTTAGAAAGCAAAGGGGAGAGAGATGGGGTGCGGGGAGAAAAGCTGCCCTGGGAAGGGGAAGAGTGGGGAGAATGCGAGGCAAAGCAGCCAGGTCCCACCGGCATATAGAGCCCCTCCCAGGCGGGCCCCCAGCCCGGGACATGAACACTGTTGGGGGCGGGGAGGGCTCTTCAGGACTTGAATGCGTGCACCTGTGAGAAGAGCTTAGGCAGGGTTGCCAGAGGTGAACTTGACCACAAACACCATCCTGGGGAATTCCCCCTCCCCCACTGCCACAGCTCTGGGAAGTGGCCTAAGAGGAGGTCTCTCTCTCTCTCTCTCTCTTTCAGCCACCAGCAGCTGCAGCTTTTGCCACCTCAGCAACTACTAAATAGACCAATTAGTGCAGACTTCCTGCCATTATCGAACATGGACTTGGACATTAGTGCGCCACTATTCAGCCATAATTTCGAGTCAGAATGCGCTAAAAAATTCACACACTGAAGCATTCAAATGTCCCTGAGCCACATCTGTGTGTGTATTTGTGCTTCTTCCCTGTGTGTTTCACCCACCCAGCAGCCCGCAGGGCAGTAGTCACCATCCAGGCGCGATGGACGCCACCTTCTGTGACTCTGTCGAGTTGTATGTTGTCTGCGTTGTTCCCGGGTTGCAGAGCTGCCGGTATCTGTCAGTGTAACCCTCTCCTCCTCCCACTAGGGTGGGTGGGGGGAACAGGTGGGTTCTAAAGGAGTGCCTGGGCGCCCAGGCCAATGCTACCAGAAAGCAGTGTGGAGCCTTTGCAAAGAGTGTTGATTCCAAAACACATTTTCCGTGGAGGCTGGAGGCTGGGCTCTGGTAAAGCATGCAGGCAGTGCTCTCAGCCTCGCCATAAAGATCTCCTCTTTGCAAGACTCACGTAGCACTGTGGCCCGCAGGCTAGTGTCTATCTGGAGGGTAGTTCTGCTGCAGCATTCTGGGAAAAGTCCAGCTTATGCATGTGTTTGGTGGCTACCTTTTTTCTGCCAACAGTCTGCAGAGGGCCCTGCGTGAATCTGGAATAAAATAAAACAAAATAAAATGTTTGTAGCAAAGAGAAAAAGACTCCAGAGAAGGCTTTCATTTCTGTGGAGGGTTGTTATTCCCCCAAAACAATGAAAGGGGCTCAAAGGAGCCTCTCTTCCCTCCCAAGGTTTGTTTCTCTTTATGACACAAGAAGCTTCGAAGAGGCTGGAAAGGATTTCACCTTGTGTCAGAAGGAGACCTGGGCCAGAAGCTGAGCCCAGGGTGGCCAGGCCTGTCCCTTCCCTTCAGGGTCCAGGGAAGCTGGGAGGCTGCCCAAGGTCTGGAAGGAAGCAGAGATTTTTGTCTCTGGAGGAAATTTCCAAAAATAGAAGGCCCCTGGGTCACTGAATTTGACTAATTTAAATCCTGTGGCATCTCCCTAACTTCTCGCCAAGCCCCCCTGGTAGGGGCTGGTTGTTTGCAGCCAGGGCTGGGCTCAGAGGAGAGGGTCAAGCCAGTGACTTGGGGTGTTCTGGGGGGCTCACATTGCCAGTGCAGCCTGGGTGGTGCTGGCCATGCGAGAGGAGTCGGGGTGAGGGTGCCCTCTAAAATGGCAACAGGAAATCCAGGTTGCAGGGAGAGGCTGAGGAGGAGGGGCTGAGGGAGAAAACCCATAGAGCGGAGCACACAGCAGACCTGGGCCCACCTCAGGCCCCGCCTCGGTTTGAGGGTTTGAGCTGCAGGTCTTTGGGTTGCTAATCCTGAGCCTACCCTTTCCAGACTCCTTTAAGGCCCAGCTCCCAGGGGCCATAGAGGAGGTCAGCAGATCAAAGGACAGCATGAATGACTTGATGCCTTTGGCCCCCATTGCTCTGAAGGGGCTGGGGTTGGTGGGGGGACCTGAGCAGATGTCCCCAGCTCCGGTGAGCCTAGGCCCTCTCCACAGATTCTCCTTCCCTCTGAGCTCCAGGAAGGAGGTCGGAGCATCTCCCAGCAGTTCCTGCTCTGACCCTCTGGGCTCCCACTCCAGCCTAACTAAGCTACTTCCTGTGCCAGGGGCAAGTCCCATCTCAAACTCGTGCTTAGGTCCCTCCGGCCAGTTACACAGCATCTTCATGCCTGTTTCCTGAAGAAAGCCTTGACAGTTTACATTGAAACGGAACTGCATGAGTCCCCGAAGACCACATGGCTTCAGCAGGACAGGACTAATGTGCCTGGGCCCCTCTGCAGCCAAGTCCTCTCTGTTGGCCCTGGGCTTCAGTTTTGGAA
This sequence comes from Homo sapiens, assembly GCF_000001405.40. Classification (NCBI taxonomy): domain Eukaryota; kingdom Metazoa; phylum Chordata; class Mammalia; order Primates; family Hominidae; genus Homo; species Homo sapiens. Next base: position 157,014,669 of record NC_000007.14, on the reverse strand, counting down.
ATGCAAGATCTGCCCCCTGCTTCAGCCACCCAGTGCCCTTCCAGGCAACTGCTCCATTTCACATGGAAAAAAAGCAATATCTAAATGATAAATAAATGCATGATACCTGCCTCGCATCTTGTGAATATGTGAATGTACAGGTTTTTTCCCCAGTCCTCACGGGTTCCCAGTTGTGTGTGTAAGTCCAGATGTAAACAGACACAGACTACAACGGCGTTTTCTTTTGTGATGGTTTGTAGAAATCACCATCTCCTTCCCAAGTAGTGGAAGGAAGGGCAGCTGCAGGCACTCTTCAGTTCCTTAACAGGAGGCCTGTAGAAAGCAGGCTCCCGCGCTGGGCAGGGAGGAGCTGTGGTGGGGGCCAGCTGATTAGGGTGCACCAGGCCCTCTCTGCCTGTCTTGAGAAACCAAGAGCTCCAGGGAGAACTCTCCAGGGCTGAGTTCTGCCCCTGGGGCCGCTGGAGAGAAAACTCACCTGGAGACTCAGGTTTGGTAGCACTACTAGGATCAGACCTTTGATCTCTCTTTGTGGCCCTTCCCAAGACCCAAGCCCAGCTCCAGACTGCCCCAAAGCCAGCTGGGCTGGATCAATACAGATACTGGGAACAGGAAGAGACCCAGCAGGCTCCGCCTCACACATTGTAAACCACACAAAGATCCACACTTCCCAGATAGCTCCCTCTCTCCCCCACACCTGCCTCTCTCCATGCAGCTTTACAGAGAACCTCCTTTTTATATTAACATATTCTTAAATATAAGCAGAACATCTGATCATTTTAAGGCCCTATAGCTCCTTAGAGTCCATTTGGTCCAACCCCTGCTTCTGTAGACAAAGAAACAAATCCATCGAGATAAGGAGCTTCAGATTCCTGAAATGGCACCTCAGCCAGAGGGGCGGTCCGGACAGGACGCAGGGCTGCTAGGCTAGGCCTCCTCGGACAGCCTTGCACAGCCCCACAGGTGGTACAGACACCTGAAGGACCTGCACACGTGTTGTCCTGTCTGTGTTTTCAGGGAGGTGTCCTCAGCAGGTCTCAGGCAGAATAGAAACATGAGACAGGGTGTGAAGGGGTTTTGGACCATGGTTATTACAGAACAAAAAGGGGTGAAATTAATTCCTCTAGGAGTTAAAAAAAAAAGCCAGAAAACACCCACTGTGATTTTGTTGAAGGAGATGGCTGATGTCATGAGTCTAGACTACACACCCCATCACCAACTAAAATCACCCTGGCAGTGTGTATTTTTGGTTGGAGAGAGGAACAGCATCTTCTCCAAGGTCCATCCTGGGAGATTTCTTCTGCAGCCACTCCCTTCCCCCAGCTCCCTAAATCATTGACCTCAGGACCAAGCAATCTGCCCCCAGCAGATGGGGGTGATGAGAAGAGAAAGGCAAGTCAGCCTTGGTGCCAAACCCCTGGAGGAGGAGGCCAAGGCTGTGTTCTCTACCCTGGGGAGGCAGAGTCACAGCTAGGGCTTCCTGCCTGGGACAGGTGGCTAAGAATCTCTGGTCTCCTTTACAATCCTTCCCTCCCCAAAAAGAAACAGATGGGATGGGGACTCAGGGCTAGGTGTACCTGAAAGCTTTGAGGGCAGCAGGGTGGGAACAGTGTGGCCTCTGCAATCAGACCTGGTCCCACTCCCAGCTCTAAGGCCAAACTGTCTGCTGGGAACAAGGATCCCAAACTCTCTGAACTTGTACTCTAGAAAATGGAGATGATAGCCCGGGCACGGTCGCTCATGCCTGTAATCCCAGCACTTTGGGAGGCTGAAGTGGGTGGATCACCTGAGGTCGGGAGTTCGAGACCAGCCTGACCAACATGGTGAAACCCCATCTCTACTAAAAACACAAAAATTAGCCTGGCCTGGTGGCACATGCCTGTAATCTCAGCTATTGGGGAGGCTGAGGCAGAAGAATCGCTTGAACCTGGGAGATGGAGGTTGCAGTGAGCCATGATCATGGCATTGCACTCCAGCCCGGGCAACAAGAACAAAACTCCATCTCAAAAAAAAAAAAAAAAAGTGGGGGGCGCCTGGCGCGGTGGCTGACTCCTGTAATCCCAGCACTTTGGGAGGCCGAGGCGCGCGGATCAGGAGGTCAGGCGATCAAGACCATCCTCGCTAACACGGTGAAACCCCGTCTCTACCAAAAATACAAAAAAAAAAAAGAAAGAAAAGAAAATGGAGATACGGAGATGATAAAAATCTTCCTTCTAGTGTCATAGTGAAGATTACGGATGAGAATTGCAGAAAGCTCATAGCACATAGTAGGTGTTCAAGAAATGCGCGTGTTTCCCTCTCTCCAGTGAGAGGTAGAACTGCATTTGTGTCACCACAAAGACATCTAAAGGCACGACAAACTCCATGTGAATGCCTGGGATTTCTTTTTACCAGTGGTCGGCTCTGCAAAGCCAGATCACATTTACTCCAAGTTGCAGTTACTCATCCATTGCCATCCTCCTAACCTTCCAACCAGTCCTGTGCATCTGGGAACTACCCTGTGTTATAATGAAAACGATACCACTCATGGCAACAGAGTCACTGTCATCAACTCTCGCCTAGGTCAAAAGCCTTTTGAGGAGAAGTGGCAAGGTCTCTATATTTGCCTTTTTAAAAATCCCTCTTGTAGCAACCTGGCGTGCTAATTTTGAAGTTTACCTGGCACTGAGTTTCTCTTTGGCTCTCTCCCCTCTCCACAGCCCCTTCCGGTCCTTTATTCACCTCTCACCTGCATAGCAAGCCCTGGAACCTGGAACTCCCTCCCAGTTCTCACGCTTGCTGGGGAAGATAACTGGGTCTAATGGCGCTATTGACAAAGCCTGGTGTTGATGCCGCTTGACTTCCCGACCCCTGTGTGGATTCTTTCAGCTTCAAAAACGCCCTTGGAAGTGGTTTTACTGTAAATATTTGAAGTGTGCGTGTGGGGGAGGGGTGAGACCTGGATGCTCACTCCGTGCCTCGCTCACTCACGGGAAGCCCTTTCCTCTCCACTTCCCAGGAGGCCCCGGCAGCACGAGAGACATAGCCTTTCCCCGCTCCTGCCCGGGGACTGGCCGGGGGTCGCAGCGGCAGGGCTTCCGAAGGATGCCGGGCCCCACGGGTTTTTCAGGGCCGAGGTGTGTGGGCCTTGACTCCCGCAAGCCCATGGGCATCCCTCGGCAGCGAGGAAGAGCCTTGTCACCGAGGACCCGCTCCACTGAGCAGGCACGTGGGCGACGTCTGCAAGCCGACTTGGGTTCTGCAGGCCAGAGCGCCCAGATCTACCGTCTCCGCCTTGACTGGGGCAGGGGCTCCCAGAGAGGATTCGTGGAGGCCAAACTCACACTCACATGCGCGTTTACACCCCCACACCCCCGCACACACACCTGAAAATGCGGGGCCTTCCCATAGCAGATAAGGTTCGACCTGCAGAGCTTTGGCCACGGGGACAAAACCCTCCCCTGCTGCGCCCTGGAGGCCCGAGAGCAGGGAGGGCTTGGGAAACACCACGGTCTTCAGTGCGCTGCCGTCGCCTCGCAGAGCGGCCAGGTCTGCGCAGCGTGGGCGCTCAGGAGCGTGGAACCACCGCGCTCCGCAAGGCAGACGTGGACCCACTCCAGCGCCGACAAGGAGGCCGGAGAGGACGCGCGCAGCTGGCTCCAGGGACCAACCAAGTCCGGAGGGGCCCACGTGTCTCGGGAGCGGGTCTTGGGCCGCCGCGGGGCTCTCCAGGGGCCCGGGGGTTGCCAGTGCCCGCCGTCCGGCTCCGCACCCAGGGGAGGGCGGGCAGAGGCCCCAGGTTGAGCCTCGGAGTATCCACTCCCCGTTGGTGTCCCCGCCCGCCAGCGCCGCGCAACAGCCCGGGCTGCTTAGGACCTCGCGGCGCGGGGGCGGGGCGGCGGGCGGCCGGGACGGTGACAGGTGCGCCCCTCGGCCAATGGCGGAGCCCGCGGCCCTCCCCGGGCCCCCGCTGCGCGCGCCAATCGGAAGCCGCGCTGAGCTTCAAGTGCGCGGAGGGGCGCGGGTCCCCACCACGGCGGCAGCGGCCTCCGCGCGGTCGCCTGAGGGCTGCAGCGCAAAGAACCGGGCTCCCGGGCCCGGACGCGGGGAAGCACTCGCGTGGGAGTTTGTGCGAGCGCGGCCCGGGGCGGGGCCCGCACGGAGGAGGCGCCGGGACCATGGTCACCCTCGGCTGAGTTTCCGGCGGCGACTTTGATTATTGGCAAATAACCACCATAACAATACCGAGCCCCCGGGCTTGCACCGCACGCACTGACTCCGCGAGCCCGCACACGGCCGCGTCGCCCGCCACCGGGCCCTGAGCGCCAGCCCCAAACGAGCCGATGGAAAAATCCAAAAATTTCCGCATCGACGCCCTGCTGGCGGTGGACCCCCCACGAGCCGCCTCTGCGCAGAGCGCGCCGCTGGCCTTGGTCACGTCGCTCGCCGCCGCCGCATCTGGCACCGGAGGTGGCGGCGGCGGCGGCGGGGCGAGCGGCGGGACTAGCGGCAGCTGCAGCCCCGCGTCCTCGGAGCCGCCGGCTGCGCCCGCCGACCGCCTGCGCGCCGAGAGCCCGTCGCCGCCGCGCCTGCTGGCCGCGCACTGCGCGCTGCTGCCCAAGCCGGGCTTCCTGGGCGCGGGCGGCGGCGGCGGCGGCACGGGCGGCGGGCACGGGGGGCCCCACCACCACGCGCATCCGGGCGCAGCGGCCGCTGCCGCCGCCGCCGCCGCCGCCGCCGCCGCTGGGGGCCTGGCGCTGGGGCTGCACCCTGGGGGCGCGCAGGGCGGCGCGGGCCTCCCGGCGCAGGCGGCGCTCTACGGCCACCCGGTCTACGGCTACTCCGCGGCGGCGGCGGCGGCTGCGCTGGCGGGCCAGCACCCGGCGCTCTCCTACTCGTACCCGCAGGTGCAAGGCGCGCACCCCGCGCACCCCGCCGACCCCATCAAGCTGGGCGCCGGCACCTTCCAGCTGGACCAGTGGCTGCGCGCGTCCACCGCGGGCATGATCCTGCCTAAGATGCCCGACTTCAACTGTGAGTACCCTGCGGCCCCCGTGGATGCGCGTGGCGGGAGGGCCTCGCGCATCCTCCACCGGCACCGCCTGCCCCTCTCTGCGCTTGGCTCCCAGCGAGCGGGGGAAGAGCTGCGAAGCCGCCTCGGCTCTGCCCGGGGCCTGCGAGGACTCGCCCGGACCCCCAGGCATGAGACGGGCAGCGAATTATTAAAATGGCCATGCGCAGGCCTTGCCTTCTCTTCCTCTCTTAACGGGAAGGGGCAGTTGGAGGTGTGAGACTGAGATCTAATGATTAACCCGAAGGCTGCAGGAGAAGGAAGTCGCCGGGGGAAGGCGAGCCGAGAGCGCCCTGAATTAGGCAGGCCCGGGAATGGGGGTCAGGGCTTATCACCGGGGAAAGGAACTTGGGCCAGGTCCCCCACTGGGGCGTTAGAGAGACCCGCGGCCCCTCCAGGGAGAGGGAGTGCTTCAGGAGCAGCAAACAAGAGAAATGGGCTTCGGAGGCCCGGGGAGGCAAGGCCAAGGCCCAGGGAACCCCCGGCTCTTACCAGGGCGCTGCCCTCCTCTGGAAGGGCGTTGGATCCGGGGTGCGATGGCCGAGGCAGGTGGCCTGGCTTGAACCAGCTATGGGGGGACTCTCAACAGTAGGTGCCTGCCCTGGAATCCTGGGCGCCCAACAAGGTAACGAATGCCCCTCCAAGGTGGGGCCGAGGGAGCCCCTGTTCTCCCCACCCCAGAGCCGCTGGGCTTCGGGCAGCTTCCTCTCCATCCGGGCGGGACACCTCGCCAGAGGCCTGGGCCCCTCAGGCTTTCCTGGCACACGCGGACTCTCCGGGCTGGGGCTCCGGGGCTCTGGCTCTCTGGGGCTCTGGCTCTCCCCGCTCGCCCCATCGGGGTCAGCTACTTATGAGTCGGGCCGAGCAGATGTATATGGCTCAACGCTTTCAGCCGCCGAACACCCAAACAAAGAGACCCCATTGTTTCTGTCTGAGTGGATTTGTTTAGACTGGGGAGATGCAGGCAGAGCAGGGGAAAAGCAAAAAAGAAAACAGAAATAAACACTCCAGAATTCAGATTCCTTTGCTGGAAGCTGTGGTTGTGACTAAACAGAGAAAATCTAGGACCCCAGAGGCTGGAGAAGTCACAAGAGGGTGAGAAGAATCCCTGCAGAAGGCTGTTTGCCCACAGCCGCCCCAGGCTTTCCTAGCTCAGCTCCAAGAAGGCCCCAGTGGTCACCCATCCCTCACCTGGGAGAGTCAGCCCTACTGACTGGCTGGAAGAGGGAAAGCTGCCCCTCACCTCAGACACGTCTGCGTCTGCGAATCCCCTGCCAGCCTGGGCTTAAACCCAGGGTGCCGACCCAGGGCCCATCCCTTCTGATAGAAAGCCACCAATATGACCTGCATTTCCCAGAGCCAAGGACGCTAAGTTGCCCACGGAGGGGGCTGGCCAGCCCCGGGGGCCCGTGGTCCTAGGCCTCCTAGGGGTGCTTTCTGGAGCTTCGTGGAGCCCAGGGTCACTCAGAAAATTTATTAAAGTGAGACACCTTGCCTATTTCTGATTCCAAATGTTGACCTAGAGTTGGCCAAATTTTAAACACAACCAGTCTTAAGTTCAGAAGAGGTATCTGCACCTGGCAATCCAAAAGGGCAGGCATAACCGTGCCAAAGACGGCGGAATGTGTTCTGAGAAGTCCTCCTCGCTGGTCCGGGGAAAACCTGTTTGGTTTCTTTAATTGGTTGTCTCTGCCTGTTGGATGGCATTTCCCAAATGGTCCCTCCGGAGCCAGTGGTTTAATTAAAGTTCTAATGTATTGTCAAGTTGGGAATTCGGGGCCTTGTTTGACTAAAGCAGGGGGCGTGGGCCATCCTCTAAAGCAAACTGCCCATCCCGGGGGACCTGAGCTCATCCAGGCCTGGGGCTGGCCTCCTTTCTTTCCTTTGCTTTCTTTCTTTTATTGTCCAACACTTGTCAGGCTCCTGGGAAATCAAGGGAAGTCTCGTTTTGAGGTCATAAAATTCTCTGTGATGTAACCGTGCGAAATTATGTAAATAAAGCCGGGCAGGCCTCCTTGAACACACAGAGAACCGGATCCTGCCTGCGCCTCTGCCTGTAATTTGCGTAATGAGAATTGTCCTGAAAAGGCTTCTAGTCTCCTCAGGCCTTGCCCCTGCCGCCCGCACCCTGAGGAGGGGGCATGCCAAGGAAAACATTTGGAAGGTGGGAGGGTCCCTGGTGAATACACAGACTTGGACCCTGGGTTTGGTCCTGTTCCACCTGTCCTCTCTCCCTTCCCTTCCTCCCTTCCTTCCTTCCTTCCTTCCTTCTTTCCTTCTTTCCTTCCTCCCTCCCTCTTTCCCTCTCTCCCTTCCTTCCTTCCTCTTTTTCTCCTCCTCCTCCTCCTTTTCTGTCTTAAGGAGGCAGTGCAGGGAGACCTGGAACAGCAGGACCAGCTCTTCCCAGACCTGTTTGGATCTGAGCCTGAATCTCTAGGAAGGCGCAGTGAGGAGAGGGGGAGAGATTTGGTTCTCATCACTCACTGCTCCTTTATTTTATTATTTTATTATTTTTTATTTATTGAGAGATGGGGTCTTGCTGTGTCACCCAGGGTACAGTGCAGGGGTGCAGTCTCGCTCACTGCAGCCTTCAACTCCTGGGCTTCCCGGAACCTCCCTTCCTGGCCCCCGACTGGCCTCAGTTCTCCTCTTGCCTCTGGGTCAATCCACTGCTACCAAAGCCGGCTCCTGTGGAGAGGAAGCCTCCTGCGATGGGCCCTGTTTAACAGGGACACTCAGACGTCTCCTAGACAAAAAAAAAAAAAAAAATTGGTCTCATTAACTCCAAACTATCCATTTCCACTTGGTGGTCCTGAGTCCGCATTCCTTGGGGAGTGGGCACTGATAGTGAGGGAACAGCCCCGCCCTCTGCAGGGCCAGGCCTTGGCGCTGGGGCCTTGAGTGTAGTGGTACAAGCAGCAACGGGAGGGGCTGGGGCGAGGACCGGAGCCGGCTGTGGGCCTCACTGCCCTTTGGTCCCCAGCCCAGGCGCAGTCGAACCTCCTGGGGAAGTGCCGCCGGCCGCGCACCGCCTTCACCAGCCAGCAGCTGCTGGAGCTGGAGCACCAGTTCAAGCTCAACAAGTACCTGTCGCGGCCCAAGCGCTTCGAGGTGGCCACCTCGCTCATGCTCACCGAGACCCAGGTGCGCGCCCTCCCCGCCCCCGACGCATCCCGGCCTCCCAGGGGACACTGTTACCTTTGCACTTGTGACCCACGGGCGGTCTGAGGCATCTAGCGCTGCGCCTCGACGGTTCAGACGGCGGGCGCACGGGTTCATCTAAGGTGCCCAGAGCGCCGATTCAGTAGCTTCGGGTGGGGCCCAAGAATCAGCACTTAACCACCCCTCCTTTCATTCTGAAGAAGGTGATCCCCAGGCCGCATTCGAGAAATTTTGTTCCAGAAAGAGAGGAGGGAACATCCTGAGATTTACCGCGACGTAGCCAGCTGCCCTGACCCTTCCTCCGCAGACGGAGGGCGCGGGTAGAAAAGTCCCCGGCCTGGGTCGTTGGGGACATAGTCCTAGCTCCCACGGAGCTCCAGCCCAGCTCTGGGGTTTGCTGCTGAGTGGGGGGTTGCGGGGAGGAGGAAGCTACGAGCCCCCTCCCCATTCTGCTTCTAAGTCGTCTCACCCTGAGGCCATTCCAGGGCCGACCCAATGGGGCCCAGGCGCACGCGGCCGGGGGACTCCGGGGACAGGAAGCCCTGGGGTGGCGGTGGCCGGTTTCTCACGCCCGCTTGTGCCCGCAGGTGAAGATTTGGTTCCAGAACCGGCGGATGAAATGGAAACGCAGCAAAAAGGCCAAAGAGCAGGCGGCGCAGGAAGCGGAGAAACAGAAGGGCGGCGGCGGGGGCGCGGGGAAGGGCGGCGCGGAGGAGCCGGGAGCCGAGGAGCTGCTGGGGCCGCCAGCGCCCGGAGACAAGGGCAGCGGACGCCGCCTGCGGGACTTGAGGGACAGTGACCCCGAGGAGGACGAGGACGAGGACGACGAGGACCATTTCCCCTACAGCAACGGCGCCAGCGTCCACGCCGCCTCCTCCGACTGCTCCTCGGAGGACGACTCGCCGCCCCCGCGGCCCAGCCACCAGCCCGCGCCCCAGTAGGAGCCCCGCGGCCCAGCAGGTGCGGCGCGCACGGAGCGCCCCGGCCGGCGGCTTCTCCCGGAGGCCCCGGCGCCCGCACCCACCCGGCCCGGCCCCGAGAGCAGGCTCGACCGCCGCCCCATGGACCCCTCGCCCAGGCCGGGGCTGGAGGGATTCGGCCGCGGCTCCGGTCCTGGGCGCTTCCCTTTTAAGCAAGGGCGCCTCACCTGCTCTTCAAGAAACAGCGAGAGGGAGACCCAGGGGGCTGAAACTTGAACTCTGGTTCTTTTAAAATTAATTTTGGTTGGTGTTGGGGGAGGCGCGAGTGCGTGTGAGAAGAACCGACCCACCCCGCGCAAGGGGAAGCCTCCTGTCTCCCCTTTCCCCGCGTCCGAGAAGGCGGAAACCCACAGTGTTACCTGACTTATGAAACTTGAAACCGCCTCTGGAGCCGCCATTCTGCAGAGTATTTGGAAAAAGAAAAAAGGGTTTATGCTTACGTCTCTGGGGTCGGGGGGATTATGTCACGAGCGTTCAAACTGCTGGAAATCTCAAAACTGTACTGTCTTTATTTTTGTATATTGTATTTATATATAAAAAGAAACGTCTACGTATGCATGCTAAATTATTATTTAGCTTCTCCCATCGCCCACGATGGAATGTAAAATAAATTGGTTTTGTACTGGATCAGCGTGCACGAGTTTTGGGGGATTATGCCCGCGGCATTACAATTTGCTTGTAGAAATGATGGGGAGGGTGTCTACTCGGCGGTTGGCAGCTGAGGGTGAAAATCGGAGTCTCAAGTGGGTGTCAGGACCACCTCCGCGCCTGCTACTGGGGAGTCGCAATGTGAAGTGTTGGCAAAAATACCTGTGGCCAGGTGTCAGCGCATGCCCGGCTGCCTGGTGCACACCTGTCCCGGGACACGTGTCCCTCGGAAGCGGAGCTGTGGACTCTATTTATTTTCCTATTTCCTTGCTAGCTGTTGCTTCGTTGGCACTCCAGAAGTGGAAATACGCTATTTGGACGTTTCAGAAAATAAGCTTAAAACGACTAGGCGTTAGTAGCATGTGGGGTCCCTGTGACCTCAGGCGCTACTGAGGCACATTTCCCGGAACGCACCGAATTGCGCGGTGCTTCTCTCTCTCCTCGACCCCGGCCCTCTCTGTTAGCAGAACCTTCCTTGGCTGGCCAGGATCGGTCTTCTTGGCTCTGTGCAAACAAGTCCGCGAGGACAGCGGCGGACTGCAGCAGCGCTCCACACCGCGGCTGCAGCGGCTCCGGGTTAATCAGCCTCTGCAGCGCGCGCCATCAATCACCGCAGCCAGGCCCAGCGCCATGTGCTGCACACATGCGGGCTCAGCCCGCGCTCTCGTCCGCCCAGGAGCGCAGGCCCGCGGCCCACCCAGCCCGGCGCGACTCCCGGCCCCCTTCCCCCATCGATGACCCAGTGGCCTCTCCTGGCCCCGGAGGAGACGGGCGACGGGGACGCCGCTCCTATCCCTTCTCCCGGGCCTTCCTCCTTCCTTCTGTTTGTCACTTTCTCAGCAGCACCTGCGTGTGCCCTTCTCCTCCCTCCTCCCCTCCCCTCCTCCCAGCGGATAAAATGAGTTCAGAAGGGCCTGGCGTTTCATTTGGGTGATTACCGCGGGGCGAGCGCAGCCACTCCTCTGCCTCAGGGCGCGGGGAGATTAATATCCTCTCTGGCAACTCATTATCACCCCGGGCCCCTTCCATAAAATCAACCTCATCCAAGGCCGGGGCGCGGCTGCTGGGAGTCCGGGCAGAAGCAGCTGCTGGGCGCTGGCGCAGGGGCCGGGCCTCCGCCGCCTGGGGTCCAAAGGTGTTTAGGGGAACTGGGAGAGGGTTTGCCACTGGTGGAGGAGGCAGAGTGCCCAGAGGAAGAGGGTGGGAAAACCAGAGGGAAGGGGGGAAGACAGATGCTTTTTTTTTTTTTTTTTTTTTTTTTTTTAATCTGCAATCCCTACATTTCTTTTTAATTTCTAACACATTGGTGAGGTTCAGCCTGCAGCAATCTCTCCCCTGGCTGGCCCCACATCTGGGGATTATTTTCCCCTTGGGCTCAGCCGGCCCAGCCTCAGCGCCCTCACCAACACTGGGCAGCCAGGGAAGAGTGGGGGCTCGGCCTGGAGCTGGGGTGCCCCAGGCCTCCGCGGAGGGTCTGTCCCTCTACCCCCAGGGGACAGGCGCTTCCTCTGGGACGCGGGGAAGAGCGACATCAAAGGAAGACGCTGTTAATAGGGCCGCCCCTCCCCCGTCCTCCAGCAGAGCCAGGCCCCGGACCTGCGCCGGCCCCTGCGCCTCCAGCAGGCCGCTCAGTCGCCGCGGAATTTATCTCGCTAATAAATTTAATGATCAATTCGTTCTTGTCACAGTAGCTCTTCCCCAAATCAATTATAGCAAATTTAAATATAATCACTGGCTCGTCCTCATCCACTCCGGGCACGGTGAACAATTCATTCTGCCTAATGAACGGTCTCGAGGCCCGGCTCTGCCCGCCTTGCGGGCGCGACCCCCACCCCTGGGCGCCGCGCTCGGGGTCGCTGACTCGGCTCGGCCTGGGGCGGTGGTCCCTCGGGGCCCAGGCCTCCAATCGCACCTGAGCCGCCAGCTGACCCCGCGCATGGGGGAGAAAGTCTTTGCAGCCCTCAAGAATCCGGTTCTCCGGACCTGAAGCCAGGTCTACGCAGGGGGACCCCGGAGGGAGCTGAGGCGGTGTTTTCAGACAGGCCCAGGCTTCCCCCACGGGACATGTCTGCTGTCCTCTAGCTGTCCCGGAGGCCTGCGGATCTCACTGCCTTCAACAGAAGCGAAGGTACGCGGGGGGAGACCCCTGCGGCGGCCGTCACTGCGACCCGGGGCTCTGGGCCCCACCCAAAGCTGACCCTGTCCCCTGGAACCCAGCCTTGCCTCCTTGCCCTACCGAGGCCCCCACCTCTTGGCCACCGTTTTCTTTGCTCCAATGTGGGTTCTCCTCCCTTCTTAGAAAGGGGGGCCTTGCTGTGGGCGAATTCTGCCGGGCGTGCAAACGCATGTGGAGGAAGCCTTTTTTGTGACGGGAGAAAACAGTTCACACACGCCCCCCAGACGGAGGCCCAGGGGGCTCCTTTCCAGCCCCTCCTGGAGCTCCGGCTGCCAGGTGAGAGGCAGCCAGGAGACCCCGGTTAATCCCTGGTGTCAGGGAGTAAAGAAACAGCTCGAAGGGAGAGGAGGTGGACCTGTCCCTTCCCTCATCCGGTGACTTTCCTTCTTTGATACTGAACACAAGGCAACCAAAGCAAAAATAGACAAATGGGACTGCATCAAACTGAAAAACGTACGCGCCACAAAGGACGATCAACAAGAGTGAAAGGCAACCTGGGGATGGGAGATATCATCTGCAACACGCGAATCAGGGAATGGGTTAATGTTCAGATTATGTAACTCTCAGCACTCTACAACAAAACCAAATTAAATGGGCAAATGACTTGAATAGATATGACTCCAAATAAAATTTTGAAACGGCAACACACATATGAAAAGATGCTCAACACCAATAAGCATCAGGGAAATGCAAATCAGAGCCACAGATCCACCTCACACCTGCTAAGATGGCCAATATAAAACAAACAAAAAGCACAGAAAATAGCAAGTGTTGGTGAGAATGTGGAGAAATTGCAGCTGTGGTCAGAATGTAACATGGCATAGCCATTATGTAAAATAGTACAGAATTTCCCTCAAAAAATTAAAAATCAGGCTGGGCGCAGTGGCTTACGCCTGTAATCCCAGAGCTTTGGGAGGCCAAGGCGGGTGGATCACGAGGTCAGGAGTTCAAGACCAGCCTGGCCAAGGTGGTGAAACCCCGTCTCTACTAAAAATACAAAAAATTAGCCGGGCGTGATGGCGGGCGCCTGTAGTAGCAGCTACTTGGGAGCTGGGGCAGAGAAGTGCTTGAACCCTGGAGGCGAAGGTTGCAGTGAGCCGAGAACGTGCCATTGCACTCCAGCCTGGGCGACAGGGCTCAAAAAAAAAAAAAAAAAAAAAAAAAAAGTCAAATTACCATACGATCCAGCAGTCTCAGTTCTGGGTATATATCCAAAAGAATTGGAAAAAACAAAAAGATCTCAAAGAGACATTTGCACACCCGAGTTCATTGCAGCACTCTTCACAATTGCCAAGAGGTGGACGCAGCCTACGTGTCCATCAACAGAGAAATGGATGAGGAAAATGTGGTACACACATACGGTGGAGCGCCATTCAGGCTTTAAAAAGAAGAAAATCCTGTCACATGCTACAACACCCATGAACTCTGAGGACTTTATGCTGAGTGAAATACCCAATTACAAAAGACAAACAGTGGCCCTGCGTGGGGGTGCCCTCCTGCCGTCCCAGCTACTGCGGAGCCCAGGCGGAAGGATGGCTTGAGCCCAGGGGCTCCAGGATGCAGTGAGCTATGATGGCACCATTGCACTCCAGCCTGGGCCAGTGTGAGACCTCATCTCTAAAAAAAAATAGTAATAAATAAGCAAGCAAATGAACAAAAAGACAAATGCCGCAAGATCGTGTGAAATATCAGTTTAGATGAGTCAAACTCTAAGAGAGTAGAATGGGGGTTGCTAGTGGTTCGGAGTGGGGTACTGGGGAGTCGGTGTTTCTTGGGGACAGAGTTTCAGTTTGGGAAGATGAGAAAGTTCTAGCGTCTGTTGCATAATGCACATAGTTAACCCTCCGGTACTAACACGTGAATGGTCACAATGATTGTAAAAATAATTTTGTTGTTTTTTCTTCCTTCCTTTTCCTCTTCCCTCTGCTCTCCCTCTCCTCGCCTCCGACCCCAGCCCCTCCTTGCTGAGCTGCTCCGGAGGGGCGCCCGGGCCTGTTCCTCAGCACCTCTCAGGTTTCCGGGTCAACTGACCCGCGGCCTCCCCCTTCCCTCCCCCACCCCGCCCCCGCCCCCGCCAGCGGAGGGCAGCGCTGAGTGCGCCCCAGGCTTGGAGGGGGCTGCCGGGCGGAACCGTCCGGGGGAGGGGAGTGCGGCGCGGAGGGGCGCTGGGACCCGCGTGGGGCGCGGCGGCGAAGGGGGCGCCCCCCAGCCCCCCGGTATCAAAGTCTTGCGGAGCGCTGTCTCCCTCCTTAAAACTAATCCCGTCGGAGGTGTGACCTCCACCAGGGATGCCGCGGCGCTCCCGACCACAAGGGCAAGTATGTTTTTCAGATTTGGTTTTTATGGTGGGATTAAAGTTTATTTTCCATAATAGGGCACCTAATAAAACTCCTAAAGCCGGCCGGGCCTCCAGCTGGTGGCCCTGGTTTCACACTTTCACTTCGTAAATCACTTTACGACGCGCCAGGTGTGTCTCAAGCTGGACACGACAGGAACGGGCGGCGGCCGCGGGTTTGTCCAGCGCGGGGGTCCCCGGGTTCGCGCCTCCCCCGCTCCGCCCCCCGCGCCCCGCTCCGCCCCCGGGCTCCCCCATCCGCGGCTGCAGGGGACCCTCGGGGAGGAGGCGGGCCCGGCCGAGGCTTCCTGAGGACCCCCCGGCCCCGGGCCCGCCCCCCGGCCCCGCGCCGACCCTACATTCCGCCCGCGCACCTGGCGCCCCTCCCCGAGTACACACCGTGCGGACAATGCGCGCCCCGGGCCGGACAAAGGTGCCCCCGAGACGGCGAGCGAGGCGGGGCGCGGTTTACCCAGCTGGGGGCAGGAACAAAGGCGCGGCCTTATCGCCCGCGGGCCGGGGCGGGCCGGGGTCAGGCCGGGGGCCGCGGGCGGGGCCTCTCCAGCCCGGGACGGGGTCGGGGGCGCCGCTCAGGCCTGGGCTCGGGGTTTGCTGGGTGGGCTCAGGACGCAGTGACCCAGGGGCTCGGCCCGAGGCGTTTCACCCCCGATCGCCGCCCTGAGGGTGTCCGGGTCCGGAAGAAACTGCTGAAGTGGGCCCTGGAAGCGAAAGAACAGGGACTCTTGGAGACTGGAACTGCTGCTTGTGCTTCAGGCTAGAAGTGCACCCGTTTTTTTAAAAAAAAAAAAATTGATATGTATTATTGTAGGTATTTTATTACTCAGAGAAGGTGGAAGAAACAGCCTGCTTTTATGACAAAGCCTGTAGTTTTGTATTTGCCTTTTGTTAACATTGCAGTTCACCTTCCCGCTTAGCAGCCTTTCTGCCAAGGAAAGAAGGAAAGGAAGGAAAGGAAGGAAAAAAAAAAGCGTAAGGATCAGTTCCTGGGCAGGGGACATTGTGAGGAGCATGACAGCGCCCAGCGTCTTTTCTAGAAAGCTCGGACAGGACAGGCACCTGAGAGGAGGCTCCGGCTCTGGCCCATTAAGCCTCAGGCTTAGCTGGCTCCTGCGAACTGCGTCTGTCAACGTCCCTGCTTTAGGCAGGGCCGCACCCAGGAGGCTGAGGGTTCTGGCTCTTCAGAGCAGGGGGGCCATGCCTGTAATAGGAAGCTTGCAGTGTTTCTGTAATAGTAGATAACTCTGTAAAAGAAATGCAAGGTGGGGGGGAGGGGTCCTAACAGCTTTACTACGTCTTGTTATTATCTTTTCTTTAAATATTAATTTGTATGGGTACATAGTAGGTGTATATATGTCTGGGGTACATGAGATGATATGAGAAGCAACTCGCAGTAATCACTTCATGGAGAATGGTGCACTCATGCCCTCCGGCATTTACTCTATGTTACAAACAATCCAATCAGACTCTTAGTTATTTTTCAATGTACAGTTAAATTATTATTGACTATAGTCACCCTGCTGTGCTATCAAATACTAGGTCTTATTCGTTCTTTCTATTTTTTTGTACCCATTAACCCTCCCTACCTACCCAGTGATGTCCCCGCCGCCCACCACCACTCCCCTTCCCAGCTGCTGGTAACCAGCCTTCTATCCTCTATCTCCATGAGTTCCATGGTCTTGACTCTTAGATCCCACAAATGAGCGAGGACATGCAATACAAATTGTGTCTTTTCTTCAGTCTGCAATATGTATGTATTACCTTTTACTACCTGGTCCGTTTATTCTCGTGATTAACTTATTCCAGGTCTTTAGACACACACATGTCATCGGATTAAGCACAGGCTGACCTCGTTTGATTGTGCTTTTTGCTTTCTTGCACTTCACAGAGATTTCATTTTTTTACAAATTGATGGCTTGTGGCAATCCTGCATAAAGTAAATTTGTCGGCGCTGTTTTCCAACAGCATGTGCTCATTTCATGTCTGTGTCACATTTGGTAATTCTTGCAATTACCAAGAATTCTTGCAAGTATCAAATTGTTTCATTATTATTATATCTGTTATGTGATCTATGATCAGTGACCTTTGATGTCACTATTTTAATTGTTTTGAGGTCCCACAAACCTTGCCCATATAAGATGGTGAACGTAATTGATAAATATGTGTGTGTCCTGATTGCCCTACTAACTGGCTATCCTCCATCTCTCTCCCTTTCCTGGGGCCTCCTCGTTCCCTGAGACACAACAATATTGAAATTACGCCATGTAATAACACTGCAATGTCCCCTAAGTTCAAGTGAAAGGAAGAGTAACACATCTCTTACTTTCAATCAAAACCTAGAAATGATTAAGCTTAGTGAGGAAGGCATGTTGAAAACTGAGACAGGCTGAAAGCTAGGCCTCTTGTGTCGGTTAGCCAAGTTGTGAATGCAAAGGAAAAGTTGTTGAAGGAAATTAAAAGTGCTACCCCAGTAAAGATGCAAATAATAAGACAGAAACAGCCTGACTGCTGATGTGGAGAGAGGTTTAGTGCTCTAAATAGTAGATTAAACCAGCCACAATATTCTCTAAATAGAAGATTAAACCAGCCACAATATTCCCTAAACCACAGCCTAATCCAGGGCCAGGCCCTAACTCCAAGGGCCTTCTGGGAGGGCTGAGAGGTGAGGAAGCTGCAGAAGAGCTGGAAGCTGGCAGAGGTTGGTTCATAAGGTTGAAGGAAAGAAGCCGTCTCCATAACATAAAAGTGCAAGGTGAAGCAGCAAGTGCCAATGGAGAAGCTGCTGCAAGTTCTCCAAAAGATCCAGCTAAGGTATTTGATGACGGTGACTTCATACACAGGTTTTCAGTGTCGACAAAACAGCCTTCTATTGGAAGAAGATGCCATCTAAGACCTTCATAGCTGGAGAGGAGAAGTCAGCACCTGGCTTCAAAGCCTCAAAGGACAGGCTGACTCTCTTGTGAGGGGCTAATGCAGCTGATGACCTTAAGTTGAAGCCAGTGCTCATTTAGCATTCCAAAAATCCTAGGGCCCTTAAGAATGATGCTAAATCTACTCTGCCTGTGCTCTGTAAATGGACCAACAAAGCCTGGATGACAGCACATCTGTTTACAGCATGGTTCACTGAATAGTTTAAGCCCAAGTTGAGACCTACTGCTAAGAAAAAAGGCTCCTTTCAAAACATTACTGTTCATTGACAACGCACCTGGTCACCCGAGAGCTCTGATGGAGATGCACAAGGTAGTTAATGTTGTTTTCATGCCTTCTAACACAGACATGAAACATTCATTCTGCAGCCCATGGATCAAGAAGTAAATTTGACTTTCAAGTGTGCTTATTTGAGAAATACATTTTGTGAGGCTATAGGTGCCATAGATAGTGATTCCTCTGATGGATCTGGGTAAAGTAAATTGAAAACCTCCTGGAAAGGATTCACCATCCTAGATGCCATTATGAACATTCATGATTCATGGGAGGAGGTCAAAATATCACAACAGGAGTTTGGAAGAAGCTGATTCCAACTCTCATGGATGACTTTGAGGGGCTCAAGACTGCAGTGGAGGAAGTGACTGCAGATGTGGTGGAAATAGCAAGAGAACTAGAACTAGACATGGATCCTGAAGATGGGACTGAGTTGCTGCAATCTCAGGATAACACATGAACCGATGAGGAGTGGCTTCTGAGGGATGAGCAAAGAAAGTGGCTTATTGAGCTGGAATCTACTCTTGGTAAAGATGCTGTGAACATTGTGGAAATGACAATAAAGGATTTAGAATAGTCCATAAATTTGAGGGTTCGAGAAGATTGACTCCAATGTTGGAAGAAGTTCTGCTGTGGGTAAAATGCTATCAGACAGCATTTCATACTACAGAGAAACCTGGCATGAAAGGAAGAGTCAATCAATGTGACAAACTTCATTGTTGTCTTATTTTAAGAAATTGCAGCCAGGCATGGCGACTCATGCCTGTAATCCCAGCACATTGGGAGGCCGAGGTGAGAGGATCGCTTGAGCCCAGGAGTTTGAGACCAGCCTGGGCAACATATGGAGAGCCTGCTACCAAAAAATTAGCTGGGCATGGTGGCGCATGCCTGTAATCCTAGCTACTCCGGAGGCTGAGGCCAGAGGATTGCTGAAGCCCAGGAGTTCAAGGCTACAGTGAGCTATGATTGTGGTGCTGCTCTGCAGCCTGGGCAACAGAGTGAGACCCTTTATCTAACAAAAGAAAAAAGAAGGAAGGGAGGGGAATGGAGGGGAGGGGGAGGGGCAGGGGGGAAGGGAGAGGGAGTGAGGGAGGAAGGCAGATACATTGCCACAGCCACCCCAACCTTGAGCAACCACCATCTTGATCAGTCAGTAGAAACCACACTGAGGCAAGACTACCAGCGAAATCATTGCAGCTTGCTAAAGGGCCATGATGCTTAGCATTTTTTAGCAATAAAGTGTTTTTTAATTTTAGTGACAGGGTCTTGCTTTGTCACCAAGGCTGGAGTGCAGTGGTGTGATCATGGCTCTCTGTGGCTCACGTGATCCTCCTGCCTCAGCCTCTCAAGTAACTGGGACCACAGGCACATACCACCACACTCGGCTCATTTTTAAAAATTTTGCAGAGACTGGGTCTCGCCATGTTGCCCAGGCTGGTCTTGAACTCCTGGACTCAAGTGATCCTCCTGCTTTGGCCTCCCAGAGTGCTGGGATTATAGGCATGAGCCACTACATCCATCTAGTCCTTTTTTTTTTTTTTTGTGGTAAAACATACATAACAGCATTTATCATTCTTACCATTTGTAAGTGTACAATTCAGTGGTGTCAGATACACTTGAAATGCAAGGTAGCCATCACCCCTAGCTACACCCCAAACTTCTTTGTCATCTCCACACAAACTTTGCACCCATTAACCATGACGTCCCCTGCGCCTGCACCAAGCCCCTGGTCGTCTCCATTTACGAATCTGCCTATTCCAGATATGTTTTGTTTTGTTTTTCCTTTTTTTTTTTTTTTTTTTGAGACAGAATCTCGTTCTGTTGCCCAGGCTGGAGTGCAGTGACGCGATCTCGGCTCACTGCAACCTCCGCCTCCTGGGTTCACGCGATTCTCCTGCCTCAGCCTCCCGAGTAGCTGGGATTACAGGCACACACCACCATGCTTGGCTAATTTTTTGTGTATTTTTAGTAGAGACGGGGTTTCATTATGCTGGCCAGACTGGTCTTGAACTCCTGACCTCGTGATCCGCCCGCCTCAGCCTCCCAAAGTGCTGGGATTACAGGCGTGAGCCACCGCGCCTGGCCTGTTTTGTTTTTTTCTTTTTTTGAGACATGGTCTGACTCTATCGCCCAGGCTGGAGTACAGTGATGCGATGACGACTCACTGCAGCCTCAACCTCCCAGGCTCAAGCAATCCTCCTGCCTCAGCCTCCCGATTAGCTGGGACTACAGATGCATGCCACCATGCCCGGCTAATTTTTTTGCATTTTTTGTAGAGATGGGGTTTTGCTATGTTGCCCAGGCTGGTCTCAAACGCCTAAGCTCAAGCGATCCGCCCGCCTTGGCCTCCCAAAGTGCTGGGACTGCAGGCGTGAGCCACTGTGCCTGGCCAGTTTTTGGTTCTTTTTTTAACTCCCCACAGTATCCAGTGTAGAGATGGCACTGTGCCAGCCCTCCTTCCAAAGAGGCCCCCTGGCCAGAGATTTCACTTTGAAAATAAAGCCAATGCATCAATGCATCAAAACACAAGCAAGTCCTTTGATACATTTAAAGCCAGAAACACAGCCAGGCACGGTGGATCACACCGGTAATCCCAGAACTTTGGAAGGCCAAGGCGGGTGGATCACCTAAAGTCAGGAGTTCAAGACCAGCTTGGCTAACATGGTGAAACCCCATCTCTACTGAAAATACAGAAAATTAGCCAGGCATGGTGGTGCATGCCTGTAGTCCCAGCTACTTGGGAGGCTGAGGCAGGAGAATCGCTTGAACCTGGGAGGCGGAGGTTGCAGTGAGCCAAGATTGCGCCATTGCACTCCAGCCTGGGCAACAAGAGCGAAACTCGGTCTCAACAAACAAATAAATAAAAACCAGAAACACGGGCCAATTTCATCTCGCAGAAATCTTTCCCTTTGTTTTCACAGGTAAAGAAGGCACAGACACCCTCACCTCCTGCACTCTAGGCAGCTTCCAGAATTGACTAAAAATATCCCGAGAGCTTTCCAGGAAGCCGCAGGGAGCCCTCGACCTGTTTGAATCTCTGGCTGCCGGTGGATTGGCGGGTCACTCCCATGTCCCAGCTCCCGCCTGCAGGTGCCTCCAGAGATGCTGCCCTTCCGTGGCACCCCCAGGGCCCCACACCTCAAGATTTCCACGGCCTTCTCCCTTCTATCTTTGTACAACAAAGTAATTTGCTTTTAATGACCGCCGGTGTTTTCCTTCCCAGTTCTATTTGAGCAGATAATGTATCTGAGGCCTCCGCAACAGGGTTAAACCACTGTGACCCTCATAATCAGAGCACAGAAACAAATTCTATTTACTCATAAATGTGGCTGTGTCTCCAGTGTGCAGCTGCCTCCTAATCACAGATGCTGTGATAATATTT
Source organism: Homo sapiens (assembly GCF_000001405.40). NCBI lineage: Eukaryota > Metazoa > Chordata > Mammalia > Primates > Hominidae > Homo > Homo sapiens. The sequence continues at coordinate 156,993,720 of NC_000007.14, read as the reverse complement.
TGCTTTTATCAGACCTCTCACTCACGGGTGACAAAGTGCTTTATTATCCCATTAGGCACGGAGCGCCTCAGCTTGGCAAGGTGTTCCCACTGCGACTTCAATGGCACTTTGGGCTCCAGGCCCTGGGAAGCTCTCCGGGGTGGCAGGCTTGAGGGCACAGAGCTCCTGCCATCCGTGTGCAGAGTCGCTTCCCTCAAAGCCCCCAAGGCCGTAGGAACCAGAGGACATCGATTTGAGGGAAGCAGGGAAGGAAGGGAGCAGCTCCCAGGCGCTCCCCCGTGTCCTGGCCCGACTCCCGGACCTCCTTGAGTCCTGACCACGTGCACAGCCTGCAGCCGCCAGGGCCCAGCTCCCGCCATACCCGGACCCCCTGCTTTGGCCGTGGAATCTGCTTGGGCAGACAGAGCTCATCCGCCGCTGCCTCTCTCCTGACTCCTCAGCCCCAGTGGCTGTTTCTGCTGCTCCAGGTGCTTCCCAAGCACTCAGCTAGGAAGCTAGCGGGTCCTGGAGGCTGCAGCACCCGCCTGTCTCCGCGTGAAGATGGGGGTCCCTGCAGGTCTGGGGGCAGAACAGCTGCTCCAGCTGCCCCTAGGGAGCTGCGGCAACTCAGATTCGTCCAGGCCCTGACTCGGGGCCTGCAGAGGGGAACCCTGGAGTGAAAGACGGCAAAGTGAAAATCCCGCTCTCTCCTGGTGCCTTGCCCGTGATGCCTCAGAGTTCTGAGGAAGACCAGACCCATCCAGAACCTTCTGGGGGAACAGCCCTCTGCCCGTCCGTGTGAGCTATATTTATTTATTTGTTTATTTATTTATTTATTTAGACAGAGTCTCACTCTGTTGCCCAGGCTGGAGTGCAGTGGGGCATGATCTCGGCTCACTGCAGCATCCGCCTCCCAGATTCAAGCGATTCTCCTGCCTCAGCCTCCCGAGTAGCTGGGATTACAGGCACCTGCCACCACGCCCAGCTAATTTTTGTATTTTTAGTAGAGACGGGATTTCACCATGTTGGCCAGGCTGGTCTCGAACTCCTGACCTCAAGTTATCCGCCTGCCTTGGCCTCCCAAAGTGTTGGGATTATAGGCGTGAGCCACCGCACCCAGCCCTCATGTGAACTATTTTAACAGTGTCAACTGTTAAAATAAAAGGAAAAAAGGAACACTCATTCCTTCACACACACAGGGGTGGAGGCACAGTTCCGGAAGTGCATCTTGTGTGATATACCCGCTGTCTCTGAGCTCTGTGTTGAGTGCTCTGTGGGTGCGGCAGGACACCTGGGCCAGTGCAGCACGTCCCCGCAAGCTCCCCAGCCTACACTCCGCTGCCTAGGTGTGAGGCTCGAACACCTCCAAAACTTGATTTATCAGTGTTATTTCCACCATTGCTAAAGTAGGAAACCAGACTCCGTCGGCCCTGTTAAGTCTGATTCAGAAAACAGAGGGCCTTTAAAACCCTTTGTCCCTTGAAGTCAGAAAGGGCGAGAATACTGGCGATCTGAGGGTTGCTCCAGCTGGCTTGGGACCGGACTGACTTGCATTTCCTTCACTAATCAGAATTTTGAAGGCAAGGATAAAATAAATCTCAGATAATCACCTTGCATTTCTGATGAGTTAAATGAGTGTGTTTTACGCCCCGGTTGTATGAGCTTGCTTTTCCACACGCGGTGAGTGCCGGACAAAGACTTCCCGGGAGGTCTAGGTTTGTTGTGCTTTGTTTTTGCATCCTGTCTGATAATTAGGCCTTTGCACACATCTGTTTGGGATTGAGTCTTCCTAGGAAATCAGGGATTTGGCCAAGGCTGGGCAAAATTAAGCAATAATAATAGTAGTAATAGTAATAGAAACAGTAACAGCCTCTGTTTGATGGAGGGTGGCTGTCAGGTGCCTGCCGTGCGGTGCTGGGCTCCGAGATGTTAGGCTGGTCCTCAGAGCCTTGGGTCTTGTCTTGTACTTTGCAAGCTTTGCTTGACTTTCCATTTCAATTTTTTTTTTTTTTTTTTTTAGAATAAAGACACAGGGTCTCACTCTGTTGCCCAGACAGGAATGCAGTCATGTGATCATAGCTCCCTTGCAGCCTCGAACTCCTGGGCTCCAGGGATCCTCCATCTCAGCCTCCTGAGCCTCTGGGACCACAGTTGCATGCCACCATGTCTGGCTAATATTTTTAATTTTTGTGTAGATGCGGGGCGGGTCTCACTTTGCTGCCCAGGCTGATCTCAATCTCCTAGTTTTAAGCACTCCTCCCACCCCAGCCTCCCAAAGTGCTGGGATTCCAGGCATGAGCCACCGTGCCCGGCCAATAAAAAAGAAGCTTGCTTTACTTTCAATGAGGATAGTTCTCCTGGAGACAGCACAGATGTCCTGGATCATCCATCAGCTTTTAAGAATTACAAAATATGTAATCCCAGCACTTTGGGAGGCCGAGACAGGTGGATCACGAGGTCAAGAGATCGAGACCATCCTGGCCAACATGGTGAAACCCCCATCTCTACTAAAAATACAAAAATTAGCTGGGTGTGGTGGTGCGTGCCCGTTAGTCCCAGCTACTCAGGAGGCTGAGGCAGGAGGAGAATCACTTGAACCCAGGAGGCAGAGGTTGCAGTGAGCTGAGATCGCTCCACTGAACTCCAGCCTGGCGACAGAGCAAGACTCTGTCTCAAAAAAAAAAAAAAGAATGACAAAATCGATATTAATGTGGATGTTTGCAACAATATTCACGGCAGAATGGGGAATGAAAAGAAGAATGGATTCAGAGACCCTCCTATGTGCACTTCCATGGGAAGAGACCCAGTCTGCTCAATAAACAGGCACCCGCTCTGTCTCGATGAGAACCAACCCAATGATAGACACAGTCCTACGTCCTTTCAGGGACACAAAACCCGTCATACGTCATAAAATCCCAGGATCGGAGAGCTAGAAGTGCACTTATTCTTATCAATGTGAGGTTGCTGGCAAACCGAGCGGGACTCCTGCCCTCTAACCAAGTTGAAAATATGGGAGAAAAGGAAAAGCTGATGACAGAGACAGGCGCTGTGACTTGGTCGCGGCACCAGCCGGACCCTGTTGGTGTGACCCTGAGGCCCTGAGGCGTCACCAGTGCAGTGTCTCCTATCTCAGCACTTGTCCACAGATTTCACTAGAGCCCGCGACAGCTAGCCGGCCGCCTACCCCGTGCCTCTCCATCAGGAAGAAAGATCAGCGGAGAGAAGAACTGAGAATCATTGTCAGGGGGCCCACCCTGAGGCCAAGAGCTTGAGGCTGTGATTCTGTGGGCTCACAGGCCTGCCTGAACAGTTAGAGAGAAAGGAAATGGTAAGTTGACATGATGGGCCACAGCAGCTCAGAGTGGGTGGTGCCCTGGCTGACGGTCAGGAGGAGGCCAGACAGGTCCGGTGAGCATGGACCCTTCCAGCCCTGTTGACTGACAGGCTGACAGAGGGGCCGTCGCCTAGCTGCCAGGGGACTGCACAAGTGATGCTTAACCTTTCTACTTGCTTTTTAACTAGCGCAGGGACAAGGTAACAAAATAGGACAGGTGGTGTCATAAGAAATGACCCCAGACCTGGCTATGGGGCCACAGCGTAGCTGGAGTGGAGCTTCAAGGTTGTGCAGTTGGCGTTAGAGGCCTGCAAGCCACACCTGGGCCTTCCCGCTGCCTGCCACCCCCCAACAGGCACACAGTGCCACCAGTCCGGGAGGACGAGGGCCCAGGAAGCCTGAGGAGCCCCGCTCACTGGGAAGCCCAGGCCAGCACGGTCTCCCCGCAGGCACTGCCCAGGCCGCGTCCTCTGCACTCGCCACAGTGGACGAGGAGCCCTCGAGAGTCACAGATGAGGTCGGAGCATCGCTTTTCACCAGGCTCGCGGACCCAGGCCCTCCGGGACTACTTCAGTGGCCTAAAGATGAGCAGAGTGATCTCTGCGGGGGAGAGAGGGAGAGGGGCACAGGAAGTCTTATTTTTAATGAAGAATGACGGGACTGGAAGCTGGTCGAGAGGTGCTGTGGTGCCCTGGAGAACGCGCTCATTCCCAGGCTGCAGGCTGAGGCTACCAAGTGAAGCGTGGCCATGTCTGTACTCCAACAATCCCATCAGAACATGCATGGGTATAAATGGCTCCCTACGTAACTGTATATACACGTGTACTGAAAAACCACAGGAAAAGCAAACATGGCCAAATGTTAACTGGCAAACATAATAATAATGTAAGTGGAAGAATTTGCCCTCTTTCTTTGGAAACACTGACAAAATGAAATGAATAATCCATTCTCAATGTTTTTCTTCTTTTTTTGAGACAGAGTTTCGCTCTTGTTGCCCAGACTGAAGTGCAGTAGCGCAACCTTGGCTCACTGCAACCTCCGCCTCCCAGGTTCAAACGATTCTCCTGTCTCAGCCTCCCAAGTAGCTGGGATTACAGGTGTGAGCCACTGCGCCCAGCCCATTCTCAGTGATTTTCTATAGAAAATACCTTAAAAGCTGGTCTTGATCGTTTTTCCTTCCACCAGAGCTGAAGCTGCCCCGGCGTGGGCTTGAGACTTGGCTCTGCTTGGCGAGGCCCAGGCTCATCAGGCCTTACATCAGTGTGAGCCCCGGGCGGGAGCAGCCCTGGTGGCACTGAGTGCACGAGGGATTGACGGCTCCTTCCCCAGAGCAGGAGGGAGGGAAACACCGCGGTGGCCATGGTCAGTCGTGCTCGGAAAGGTCAGCCTTTGCTGGGGAGAGTGAGGAGGGGGCCACGGAAGTCCTGGGGCCAAGCATCGTCATCTGGACATGTCAAGGTCAGCACTGCTTAGCTCTGGCACCCGAGCCCGCCTGGCCTGTGGGACACACAGGGGCCATTGTTTCCCCAAACACACGGCCCCCGAACTCTGAACACCCCCTGCATCCTTAGGACATGTTAAACTGGCCCTGTTCCCTTTCATCATTTTACCACGCAAACATCATTTTTCATCATTGTCCAGCTCTACTCAAGATAAGTGTCACCTTCTGGTGAACTCGGCCCCTGTGCAGCCACACCCCCCATCGGCTTCATCAGTGCAGCCTGTGATGCAACAGTTAAGGCTGAGAACAAGAAAAGCTCCCCATTCCCTGGCCAGTGTTACTGTCACTAGAAAAATCCAAGTTTTATAGCACTTTGATAACACTCTCTACACACAAGCATCCACACAGACATCCGGAGTCCTCCACGCTCAGGGAGGTACAGCGCGGCCCTCCAGAAGCCCACACACTTCAGTTACTGTTCAGTCTCTACGTGATGCTGGCTCCGTGCTGTAGAACTGCCTTCCCTGGGAGGTGTCTGAGTTGACTCTAGATGCTTCCACGGCTGGTCTGTGGCTGCTTTCACAGGGCCTCTCTCCACCCGCTGGACTCACCCGCTGCTCTGTTCTGGGGCCCCTTCCTCTCATACCTCGTTCTCCTCAAGGGACTGCACATTTTGTTGGATCCCTAGGCTGCCACCCAGAGCTGGTGTCTACATCCTTCAGCCCTGACTTCCACGGGTGCCACTAGCCCCAGAAAACGCAACGCGCCTCAGGTTGAAATCCTCCTCCTCTGAAATCTATGAGCCTCCGCCCCCTTCTCAGAGACGTTCCAAGCCTCCACTGCCCCCTCCACCCTCTCGTTTAAGGGCACCACATTCTGGCCCGGCGCGGTGGCTCACCCCTGTAATCCCAGCACTTTGGGAGGCCGAGGTGGGTGGATCACTTGAGGCCAGGAGTTCGAGACCAGCCTGGCCAACATGGTGAAACCCCGTCTCTACTAAAAATACAAAAATTAGCCGGGTGTGGTGGCGAGTGCCTGTAATCCCAGCTACTCGGGAGGCTGAGGCAGGAGAATTGCTTGAACCTGGGAGGCGGAGGTGGCAGTGAGCTGAGATCGCACCACTGCATTCTAGCCTGGGCCACATAAAAATAAATAAATAAATAAAATAATATACAAAAATAAAATAAAATAATAATACAAAATAATAATAAAATAAAATTTCCACTCTTATTTGTGGAAAAGCAAGCTCATACAACCAGGGCATAAAACACACTCATTTAACTCATCAGAAATGCAAGGTGATTATTTGAGATTTATCTTTGCCCTCAAACTTCTGATTAGTGAAGGAAATGCAAGTCAATCCAGTCCCAATAAAATAATAAAATAAAATAATAATAACATTCTGATGAGCATTCATTAGAAGCGTCTCTTGAAATCTCTATTCTCAGGCTCCCACCTTGGCCTGGGCGCTTCCCTCCTGGCCTGGGAGGTCCAAGAGCCACCGAACTGACCTCTTGTCACCAACATTCCCACGTGCCGGACCAGCCGCCATCTCTGTCCAGCAATATTTTGACAACACAGTTTTGATTATGTAACCTCTTTGATGGTTTCCTTCTGTTGAGAAGAGGACTTCACTCCTCACTCCTTCACGGTCAGGTCTCAAGTTCATCTCCTGCCTCTGAGGTGCTTTATCGTGAGGCCACCGGAGGCGCCATCCCAGGCGATCCGCACACAGAGGTCAGCTCTGCCCAGCGTGTGCCCTCAGCTCCTCCCGGAAGAGCCAGTCCCAATGACCCTGCCTCTGGAAAAGCCTTTCCCTATTGCCCTGTCCCTGCTCCAGCAGGAGGAGCTTGACTTCTGCACACTTGTACTGTGGGGCTTCTCAACGCTTCAAGCAGGGCGTCTACACCCCTGCTCCGGAGCTTCACTGCATGGTGGCCCTGAGTGGGTTCCCAGTCAAATACATCAATCCCCACTCTTATTTGGGTCCTCCTTAAAAGAGGCCTTGAGCCGATGTAACTCAGAGGCCCCACCCACACATTCACTGCACAACGTTTTTTTCTTTTTCTTTTCTTTTCTTTTTTTTTTTTTGAGACAGAGTCTCGCTCTGTCACCCAGGCTGGAGTGCAGTGGTGCAATCTTGGCTCACTGCAACCTCCGCCTCCCGGGTTCAAGTGATTCTCCTGCTTCAGCCTCCCGAATAGCTGGGACCACAGGCAGGTGCCACCACACCCAGCTAATTTTCTGTATTTTCAGTGGAGACGGGGTTTCACCGTGTTAGCCAGGATGATCTCGATCTCCTGACCTCGTGGTCCACCTGCCTTGGCCTTGCAAAGTGCTGGGATTACAGGTGTGAGTCACTGCACCTGGCCTGTACAACATTTATTACAGTCAAAAGCGAATTACAGAAAGGGCGAGACTCCAGAGACAGATGTCAGCTGAATCCTAACACGCAGCTAACATTGCAAGCTCAACCCACAGCAACCTTTTTGCCATGAAAGCTCTCATTTTAATGTTGTTCCTCTTAACAGGACTTGACAATAAAGATGGGGCAACCAGAGGAAAAGTGAAGCAAAAGAAAGTTGGCTGGGTGAGGTGGCTCATGCCTGTAATCCCAGCACTTTGGGAGGCTGAGGAGGCAGATCACCTGAGGTCAGGAGTTTGAGACCAGCCCAGGCAACATGGTGAAACCCCATCTCTACTAAAAATATAAAAATTAACTGAGTGATAGTGGTGGACACCTGTAATCCCAGCTACTCAGGAGGCTCAGACAGGAGAATCACTTGAACCCCGGAGGCAGAGGTTGTGGTGAGCCAAGATTGCTCCATTGCACTCCAGCCTGGGCGACAGAGAGAGACTCTGTCTCAAAAAAAAAAAAAAAAGAAAAAAAAAATCATTCCAGAAGCTCCCTGATGAACTAGAATATCAACCAGGGCACTGCATAACCCCAGTGTCATGTTCTGGTCACCTGTCGGCATTCAGTGCAGAAGGCAGAGCCACTCTCGTTATTGCCGCAGAGGCATCTGGCAGGGGAGTGAGACGTGATGAGAGACGCTGGGTCTCCAGGGCAACTTGCAGGACAATTTGCTGGACGGGATGCTCCAGCCGCTGGGCCTGGACTGGCTGGGTGGGAGAATCTGCCCCTCAAGTGAGGCCCCGCCCCCAGTGCCTCTCCAGGCAGCTGGTGCAGCCTGGGCCTGCCACAGAGGAGCTCTGCATGCCCACAACTGTGGGCCAGGCATGGAGGCGGTGGGCACGTCTGCCTCACCTTCCAGATGTGCGTATGCAGCTAACGTGCAGCCCTCACCACATCTGGAGTTCTCCAGTGCCGGGGTCTGAGCACGTCGTGGTCTTCTCCAGCAGCAGATGCAGGAGCAGCAGGGATGTGGGAAGGAGGCGCCGCACCCAGGGGCCCCGTCTGCTGTTCCCACACCAGGGCCCTGCCGTCGTGCAGATGCAGCCTCTCTGCTCTGCCCACCCAGCTGCCACCGATGGACCTGTGCCCAGCCTTCTCCTGGCCCTCCGCCCCAGGGCTCCTGCTCACAGCCTTCACTCTATGCCTCCCTACCTGGGACCCGGCTGCACAGCCGCTTCCTACACCCCTACCCAGAGGGGGCGTCTGACCAGCTTTATGAGACCCTGGCCCCTCTGGGTGCCACTGTTGAATGGAGCTCCTCGGCCACGACTGGCCGGCTGCCTGGAACAGGGTGCTTTGGGGCCCTTCCCCTGTCCCTGGTCCAGTCAGTGCAGCCAGGCCAGAGAACACTAAGCCTGCTGCCTGTGTGAGCAGAGCCAGCGCTGGGGACACCGAGGCTTCCTGGGGTCAGCAGGGTCCCTGACAGGCACTGCCACAGTGGGGAGCATGGGACTGGGGAGAGGTGTGAGTATCCCAGACCTCAGGTACACCAGGCTCACTGTCATGGGATCCCAAGAGAACGATGAACATTAAAACCAGTATATTAACAAGAAGAATATATAAATATAATACAAAAACCAGTATAACTGCTATTCTTTAGGACTGAGGTTCTCAGAGCGCTTCACCTCATTTAATCTCCGCAAAGCCCCTCTGAAATGGTAGACAGAAGTGGTAAACAGCTGGGCCGGGCCATGGGAAACGCCCGTTCTGGACAGCGAGGTCCCCATTAGCCAGCCTTGATCAGCAGCACCTGACACAGAAGGGCCCCGGTTGTTACTCACGTGTAATTGAAACCATAACAAGCCACGCAGCCACTTCTATTGGTAATAAACCACATTCCAAAAGCTGTGGCACAACAGAGGCCCTCATCTGGTTTATTGTGAAACAGGAATATTTGGAATTTAAAAGCCTAGTTGTTCTGGAACGTGTCAGAAGAAGGAAACATTTTCACAGGCAGCACGCAGTAAAACATCATAAATATAACAGATTGTTAAAGATCATTTACAAATTTATGAATAAGGCTAGAGGGAGGACCCAAATGAAATACAAACAGAAACAAACAACGCTCTCTGCGTTTCAGAGAAGGGGAAAAATGAAACTTGGAACAGTCTGTGCTTTCTCTCCACGTCCAATGCCAGGACAGAAGGAGCTACAAACACATCTTGAAGTAATCATGCTTGTTTTTCCAAGTTGTATGGTTTTGGCAATTCTAAAACTACTTTCTGCATATTAGAGGACTGAGCAAATAAGTAAATGTGTTTATCATGCTGAAAGACAGGTTTCTTACAGCTGGGAAAGGCTAGCCACAGCCCTAAATGCTGCGTGAGAATGGGAGTGGTCCGTGACAATTTGGTTTTCAATACAGAGAAGCATGTGTGCAGATGTATTATATATGATACACACACAGTTTATATGTGCAGATATATATGATACACACACAGTTTATATGTGCGGATATATATGATACACACAGTTTATATGTGCAGATGTATTATATATGATACACACAGTTTATATGTGTAGATATATGATACACACACAGTTTATATGTGTGGATATATATGATACACACATTTATATGTGCAGATGTATTATATATGATACACACAGTTTATATGTGCAGATATATATGATACACACACAGCTTATATGTGCAGATATATGATACACAGTTTCTATGTGCAGATGTATTATATATGATAGTTTATATGTGCAGATGTATTATATGATACACACAGTTTATATGTGCAAATATATATGATACAGTTTATATGTGCAGATATACATGACAGTTTATATGTGCAGATGTATTATGATACAGTTTATATGTGCAGATGTATTATATATGATACAGTTTATATGTGCAGATATATGATAGTTTATATGTGCAGATATGATAGTTTATATGTGCAGATATGATAGTTTATATGTGCAGATGTATTATATATGATACAGTTTATATGTGCAGATGTATTATACACAATTTATATGTGCAGATTATATATGATACACACACAGTTTATATGTGCAGATATATGATATAGTTTATATGTGCAGATGTATATATGATAGTTTATATATGCAGATGTATTATATGATAGTTTATATGTGCAGATATATGACACAGTTTATAAGTGCAGATGTATTATATATGATACACAGTTTATATGTGCAGATGTATTATATATGATACAGTTTATATGTGCAGATGTATTATATATGATAGTTTATATGTGCAGATGTATTATATATGATACACAGTTTATATGTGCAGATGTATTATATATGATAGTTTATATGTGCATATATATGACAGTTTATATGTGCAGATATATATGACAGTTTATATGTGCAGTTATATATGATACAGTTTATATGTGCAGATGTATTATATATGATAGTTTATATGTGCAGATATATTATATATGATACAGTTTATATGTGCAGATATATATGATACAGTTTATAAGTGCAGATGTATTATATATGATACACACAGTTTATATGTGCAGATGTATATATGATACACACAGTTTATATGTGCAGATGTATTATATATGACAGTTTATATGTGCAGATATATATGATACAGTTTATATGTGCAGATATATATGATACAGTTTATAAGTGCAGATTATATATGATACAGTTTATATGTGCAGATGTATTATATATGATAGTTTATATGTGCAGATATATATGATACAGTTTATATGTGCAGATATATATGGTACACAGTTTATAAGTGCAGATGTATTATATATGATAGTTTATATGTGCAGATGTATATGATACAGTTTATATGTACAGATGTACTATATATGATACACACAGTTTATATGTGCAGATATATATGATACATAGTTTATATGTGCAGATATATGATAGTTTATATGCGCATATATTATATGATATATACAGTTTATGTGTAGATATGATACAGTTTATATGTGCAGATGTATTATGTATGATACAGTTTATAAGTGCAGATGTATTATATATGATACATACAGTTTGTATGTGCAGATGTATTATATATGATAGTTTATATGTGCATATATATGATATACACAGTTTATATGTACAGATATGATAGTTTATATGTGCAGATGTATTATGTATGATACACAGAGTTTATAAGTGCAGATGTATTATATATGATACATAGTTTGTATGTGCAGATGTATTATATATGATAGTTTATATGTGCAGATATATATGATATAGTTTATATGTGCAGATATGATAGTTTGTATGTGCAGATGTATTATATATGATAGTTTATATGTGCAGATATATATGATATACAGTTTATATGTGCAGATATGATACAGTTTACATGTGCAGATGTATTATATGATACTGTTTATATGTGCAGATATATATGATATACAGTTTATATGTACAGATGATAGTTTATATGTGCAGATGTATTAATATATGATACATACACAGTTTATAAGTGCAGATGTATTATATATGATACATACACAGTTTATATGTGCAGATGTATTATATATGATACACACACAGCTTACGTGTGCAGATATATATGATACACACAGTTTCTTTCCCAGCTCTGTCCACCGAAGGGGCCTAGAAGCAATGCCACCCCAGAAACAACTGGCACACCTGAAATCCATTTCTTGGTTTGTAAATACCATTCTCTATTCCAAGGGAACAGAACTCTTTGGAGAAATGACTATTTCCAGGGAAGAGCAGAGAGAGTACAGGGTGAGCCTTAGAATGTCTAGTGCTGGAAAATAAGGAAATGCTGAACAACGTTGGGGACATGTGAGAGGGCTGGAGGAGCAGCCTGAAGGCTCTCCCCCTGTCCAAATCGGGGGCAATTTGAGCATAAAAATAATTGTAGGAAGAGGCCAGGAAGGTGACAGAATAGGAGGTTCCAGCCCTCATGCCCCCACAGAAACACTGAGAGGTTCTAGCACCCCACAGGGCAAAGAGAGCACACCGAAGAGGCTAAGAAGGTTCAGTTTACCTGTGCTAGTGCTCCTCCAATGAGGCCCCCCTGGGCCTGTGGTTTCTCCCACAGGGGAAACTGAGTGCTGAGTGAGCACCAGCTTCCCCAACCTTATAGGATGCTGCCCAATAGCCCACCTGTGTCTCTCCCCAGAACACTGAGGAATCAGCATGGCTGAGTCACCTGGGGACTGCTAGGAGAAGGGAAGGACATGCCTAGCAACCAACAGCCAGCCATGGATCCCACTAACCAGCTAACACTCCACCAGGAGGCCCGCCCATGAACCCACAGAACAACTTGCCTGTGGGCCCCCCAACCAACTGATCCATGCCCCCAGCACTCCACGTACCCCTGAGCATATGGTGTCTCATGCACCCTCCTCCCAAACAGTACACAGATCTCAACGGCAGATGCAAATCTGAGCAGCCGGCTTGACTCTGCTGGACTGGGAGAAGGTGCCCAACCTTGAATGCTTCAGAGCACTGCATTAGGGAAAATGGGAGGTGCTCAGTGTAGACCCAGCTTTGGAGGATTGAGAGGAGCTTACAACCTAAGACTTCTCTCCCTAAGAGGGAGCAACAGGAGTAGAGTGGGTGTATCTACAGAAAAGATCTGAGCGATCCCTCAAATCCTTAGCTAGGATGACTGATGAAGGTCTTTCTCTCCCAAAGCCAGTCAACAAAGACTGGGGGACAGCCAGGCATGGTAGCTTACACCTGTAATCTCAGCACTTTGGGAGGCTGAGGTGGGAGGATCACTTGAGGCCAGGAGTTTGAGACCACCCTGGGCAACATAGTGAGATCCCATCTCTTAAAAAAAAACATTAAAAAAATTTTAATAAGAAACAAGTAAGACTAAAGGAGGTGACCGCTTCTTCAAATGTGAAGATAGCAGCGCAAGTCTTCAAAAATATATATATACAAAGAATCAAGGAAATATGACACCTTTAAAGCAACAAAATAAAGCTCTAATAGTTGACCCCAAAGAAATGGGGACTTAATGGCCAGGCTCAGTGGCTTACACCTGTAATCCCAACACTTTGGGAGGCCAAGGCAGGCAGATCACAAGGTCAGGAGTTCGAGACCAGCCTGACCAACATGGTGAAACCCCATCTCTACTGAAAACACAAAAATTAGCCGGGCGTGATGGTGCACGCCTGTAATACCAGCTACTCAGGAGGCTGAGGTAGGAGAATCACTTGAACCTGGGAAGTAGAGGTTGCAGTGAGCCGAGATTGCGCCACTGCACTCCAGTCTAGGTGACAGAGCAAGACTCCATCTCAAAAAAAAAAAAAAAAAAAAAAAAAAAAAAAAAAAAAAAAAAAAGAAAAGAAAAGAAAGAAAAAAGGGACTTACAAACTCTCTGACAAAGGATTCAAAAATAATCATCTTTAATTTTTTTTTTTTTTTCTTTGTCGAGACAAGTCTCACTATGTTGCCTAGGCTGGTTTCAAACTCCTGGCGTCAAGCAATCCTCCTGCCTTGGCCTCCCAAAGTGCTGGGATTGCAAGCACAAGCCACCATGCCTGGCCTAAAGTAATCATCTTAAAGAAGCTCAGTGACCTTCAAGAGGACACAGATAGATGACTAAGCGAAATCCAGGAAAACGATACATGAACAAAATGCAAAGTTATAAAGAGGAAGAAACTATAAAAGAGGACCAAACAAATTCTGGAGCTGAAGAATACAATGTCAGACATTGTATTCAATAGAGAGCTTCAATAGAAGATGTGATGAAGTGGAAAAAATAATTAATGAACTCGGCCAGGGGTGGTGGCTCATGCCTATAATCTCAACACTTTTGGGGGGCCAAGGTGGGAGGATCACTTGAGTTCAGAAATTTGAGACCAGCCTGGGCAACATGGCAAAAACCCTGTTTCTACAAAAAGTACAAAAATTAGCTGGGCATGGTGGCACAGCCTTTAGTCCCAGCTATGTGGGAGGCTGAGGTGGGAGAATCATTTGAGCCTGGGAGGTCAAGGGTGCAGTGATCCCCGACTGTGCCACTGCACCCCAGCAAGGGTGAGAGAGTAAGGCCCTGACTTTTAAAAATACAAACTCAAAGATAGATCATTGGAAATTATCCAGGCAGAGTAACAAAAAGAAAAAAAGAATGAAAAAGAGTGAAGAAAGCCTATGGGAATTGGGAATATCATCAAGCAAAACAGTATACATATTCTGGGAGTCCCAGATGAAGCAGAGAAAGGGAAAGGGGCAAAAACCTTATTAAAAAAAAATAATGACAGGAAACTTCCCAAAACTAGAGAAGAAAATGATCATCCAGATCCATGAAGCCCAAAGAACCCCAAATAAATTGAGCATAAAGAAGTCTTCACCAAGACACATTATAATCAAACTGCCAAAAGTCAAAGCTAGAGATAATTTTGACAGCAGCAAGAGAAAAGCAACTCTTTTCAAAAAATCCCCCCTTATCCCTGCATAAGACTATCAGCAGATTTCTCAGCAGAAACTTTGTAGGCCTGAAGAGAGTGGGATATATTCAAAATGCCAAAAGCAAAAGAAAGCCCTGCCAACCAAGAATACTATCCTGGCAAAGCTGTCCCTCAGTAATGAAGGGGAGATCAAAACTTCCCAACACAAACAAAAACTAAGGGAGTTCATCATCAGTAGACCTGTCGTTACAAGAAAGGCTAACAGGGGTTCTTCAATTTGAAACAAAAAGATATTAATTTTTTTTTTGAGATGGAGTCTCGCTCTGTCGCCCAGACTGGAGTGCAGTGGTGCGATCTCGGCTCACTGCAAGCTCCGCCTCCCAGGTTCAGGCCATTCTCCTGCCTCAGCCTCCCAAGTAGCTGGGACTACAGGCGCCCGCCACCACGCCAGGCTAATTTTTTGTATTTTTAGTAGAGACGGGGTTTCACCGTGTTAGCCAGGATGGTCTCGATCTCCTGACCTTGTGATCCGCCCGCCTCGGCCTCCCAAAGTGCTGGGATTACAGGCGTGAGCCACCGCGCCCAGCAAAAGATATTATTTAACAACATAAAAACATATGAAGGTATAAAACTCATTGATAAAGGTAAGTATATGGTCAAAATTCACAATTCTCTAATATTTAATGATTGTGTGTAAATCACTTTTAACTCTAGTATAAAAGTTAAAAGACAAAAGTATCAAAAACAGCTGTAGCTACAATAAGTTGTTAATGGATAGACACACACAAAAATCTAAATTGTGAAATCAATAATATAAAATGCATGTGGGGGTGGAGAGGTAAAAATATATGCAATTCAAGTTATGAGTTTATACAGTTAACCTTTGAACAACGAGGGTTTGAACTTTGTGGGTCTATTTATAAGCTAATTTTCTTCTGCCTCTGCCATCCCTGAGACTGCAAGACAACCCCTCCTCAGACTACTCAATGTGAGGATGATGAGGATGATGACATTTATGATGATCTACTTCTACTTAATGAATAATAAATATATTTTTTTCTTTCTTTCTTTCCTTTCTTTCTTTCTTTTTTTTTTTAGACAGAGTGTCACTCTGTTGCCCAGGCTGGAGTGCAATGGCACCATCTTGGCTCACTGCAACCTCCACCTCCCAGGTTCAAGTGATTCTCCTGCCTCAGCCTCCCGAGTAGCTGGGACTACAGGCGCATGCCACCATGCCTGGCTAATTTTTGTATTTTTAGTAGTGGTGTGGTGGCACATGCCTGTAATCCCAGCTACTCTGGAGGCTGAGGCAGGAGAATCACTTGAACCTTGGAGATGGAAGTTGCAGTGAGCTGAGATCACACACTGCACTCGAGCATGGGTGACAGAGCAAGACTCCATCTCAAAAAAAGGAATGTCACTATATAATGATAAAAGGGCTAATTCATCATGAGGATATAACAATTATAAATATATATCCACCCAATATTGGGGCACCTAAACAGAAAGCAAATATTAACAGAAAAGAGGGAAGAAATAGACAGCAGTGCAATAATAGTAGGGACTTGATTATCCATTTTCAATAACAGACAGATCATCCAGACAGAAAATAGACAGCAGTGCAATAATAGTAGGGACTTGATTATCCATTTTCAATAACAGACAGATCATCCAGACAGAAAATAGACAGCAGTGCAATAACAGTAGGGACTTGATTATCCATTTTCAATAACAGACAGATCATCCAGACCGAAAATCAATAAATCCTAGCCAAAGCAATTAGGTAAGAAAAAAAATCCAAATAGGAAAGGAAGACGTTCTCTGTTTGCAGATGACACGATCTTATATCTAGAAAACCCTAAAGACTCCATAAAAAACCTGCTAATAAACAAATTTAGTACAGTTGAGGATACAAAAATCAGTTGTGTCTCTAAACGTTAACAACAAACTATCCAAAAGAGAAGTTAAGAAAACAAATAAATTTACAATAGCATCAAAAAGAACAAAATACTTAAGTATAAATTTAACTGGGGTGAGGCCAGGCATGGTGGCTCACACATGTAATCCCAGCACTTTGGGAGGCTGAGGCAGGCGGATCACGAGGTCAGGATATCAAGACCATCCTGGCTAACATGGTGAAACCCTGTCTCTACTAGAAATACAAAAAAATTAGCCAGGTGTGGTGGCGGGCGCCTGTAGTCCCAGCTACTCAGGAAGCTGAGGCAGGAGAATGGCGTGAACCCGGGAGGCAGAGCTTGCAGTGAGCCGAGATTGCGCCACTGCACTCCAGCCTGGGCAACAGAGCAAGACTCTGTCTCAAAAAAAAAAAAAAAATTTAACGGAGGTGGAAGATCTGTGTACTAACAACTATATAAAACATTGATTAAAGAAACTAAAGTAGACACAAATAAATGAAAAGATATCATATGTTCATGGATTGGAATAATTAACATTGTTAAAATATCCATACTACTCAGTGATCTAGAGATTCAATGCAACCCCTATCAAAATTCCAATGGCATTTTTCACGTGTATAGAAAAAACAGAAAAAACAGGCCGGGCGCAGTGGCTCACGCCTGTAATCCCAGAACTTTGGGAGGCCAAGGCGGGTGGATCACGAGGTCAAGAGATCAAGACCAGCCTGGCCAACATGGTGAAACCTTGACTCTACTAAAAATACAAAAATTAGCCAGGTGTGGTGGCACGTGCCTGTAGTCCCAGCTACTGGGGAGGCTGAGGCAGGAGAATCGCTTGAACCTGGGAGGTGGAGGTTGCAGTGAGCCGAGATCGTGCCACTGCACTCCAGCCTGGCAACAAACAGACAGCGAGACTTTGTCTCAAAAAAAAAAAAAAATAATAATTAATTAAAAGAAAAAACAACTCTAAAATTCATATGGAACTACAAAAGACCCCAAACAGCCAAAGCAACCTTGAGAAAGAACAAAGCTGAAGGCATCACACTTCTTGATTTTGAACTACAGTTGGCCTGGAGTGGTGGCTCATGCCTGTAATCCCAGCACTTTAGGAGGCTGAGGCGGGTCAATCAGTTGAGGCCAGGAGTTTGAGACCAGCCTGGCCAATGCAGAGAAACACCATCTCTACTAAAAATACAAAAATTAGCTGGGCATGGTGGCAGGCACCTGTATCCCAGCTACTTGGGGGGCCGAGTCACAAGAATCACTTGAACCAGGGAGATGGAGGTTGCAGTGAGCCCAAATTGCGCCGTTATACTCCAGCCTGGGTGAGAGTGAGACTGTCTCAAAAAAACCAAACCAAACCAGAACAACTACAGTCACATGTTGCCAATGACAGCGACACATTCTGGGATATGTGTTGTTAGGCAATTTCATCATTGTTCAAACATCACAGAGTGCACCTGCTACACACTTTGGCTGTATGGCATAGCCTATTACTCCTTGGCTATAAACCCATACAGCATGTTACTGTATTGAATATTCTAAGTACTTATAACAGTGATATTTGTGTGTCTAAACATAGAAAAGGGATTTTTCAGCTCCATTATCTTATGCGTCCACTGTCATATATATAGTCTTTCATTGACCAAAATGTCATTATGTGACACATGACTATACATTACAAAGCTACAGTCATCAAAGCAGTCTGGTACTGGCATAAAAACAGATACATAGACCTGGGGAACAGAACAGAGCCCAGAAATAAACCCACACATACACAGTCAACTAATACTTGACAAGGGCACCAAGAATATGCAGTGAGGAAAGGATAATGTTTTCAATAAACGGTGCTGGGAAAAATGGATCTCCAATGCAAAAGAGTGGAACTGGATCCTTATCTTACACCGTACACAAAAATCAACTCAAATGGATCAAAGGCTTAAATCTTTTAAGACCTGAAATCACAAAACTCCTAGAAGAAAATGTAGGAAAAAAGTTCCTCAACATTGGTCTAGGAAATAACTTTTTGGATGTGAACCCAAAAGCACAGGCAACACAAGCAAAACTAAACAAATGGGGTTACATCAAACTAAAAAGCTTCTGCACGGGAGAGGAAAAAAAAAATGAAAATACAGCCTACCGAGTGGGAGAAAATGGTTGCAAACCATAGATCTAATGAGGGGTCACTATCTAAAATACACTCATACCACTGAATAGCAAAAAAAAAAAAACCAAAAAACAAAAAAAAACAAAACCAAAAACCCACAAATAACAAAACCAAATCAAACCCCCAAAAACCTGATAAAAATTGGGCAAAGGATGCATATAAACATTTCTCCAAAGCAAGCATGCAGATGCCCAACAGTTATATGAGATGTTCAACATCACTAATCATCAGGGAAATGAAAATCAAAACCACAATGAACTATCACCTTGCACCTGTTAGAATGGCTATTACTAAAAACAGAAAAGGTAAGTGTTGGCAAAGGCATGGAGAAAAGGGAACCCACACCGTTTTCCTCACAGGCGGTTGGTGGAAATGTAAATTGGCACAGCCATTATGGAAAGCAGTAGGGAAGCTCCTCAAAAAATTAAAAATAGAACTTCCATATGATCCACTAATCCCACAACTGGGTATACACCTAAAAGAACTAAGTCACCATTTCAAAGAGACATCTGCATTCCCATGTTCGTTTCAGCACTAGTCACAATAGCCAAGATACAGCATCAACCTAATGGATAAAGAAAATATGGTATACGGGGCCGGGTGCGGTGGCTCACGCCTGTAATCCCAGCACTTTGGGAGGCCGGGGCGGGCAGATCACTTGAGGTCGGGAGTTTGAGACCAGCCTGGCCAACATGGTGAAACTCTGACTCTACTAAAAATACAAAAATTAGTCAGGCACGGTGGCGCATGCCTGTAATCTCAGCTACTTGGGAGGCTGAGGTTGGAGAATCACTTGAACCCAGGAGGCCGAAGTTGCAGTGAGCTGAGATTGTGCCACTGCACTCCAGCATGGGAGACAGAGTGAGACTCCATCTCAAAAAAAAAAAAAAAAAAAATGAATGAATGAAGCTGACCTGGCCCGTCGGACACCTGCCACAGTGGGGAGAGGGGGAGGGTGCTGGCATCTTCCAGCTCACTCCTATACACTCTATTCAACCCTATAGGGATGCAGGTGCCTGGGTAATTTGGACACCCACTGACACCAAGCCCATCATCAGTGCAGTTCTTGATACTGAAGCCCCTGAGCACGGTCAATGACAGGACCTTCCCTCCTTCCGTTCTCCAGCTCTCCCACCCTCCCCTGCCAATGCAGGTAGTGCGACAGGGAGCTAAGGCGGTCACCTGACCAAGCTGAAGGAAACCAACCCACCCTAAAGTTAAGGTAAATCTTGGCAGATGTACGCTAAGGCCTAGGCAATTTTTTAAGGAGGCAAAGGTGATTTGAATGTTTGCTTACTTTTGTAAAAGAATAGTATATTTTAGATCTTTATAGAATGAGTTCTGAATTATGAATGCTTTCAAAACATCTATTTTGAAACAATTATACACTTACAGAAAAGTTCCAAGAACACACTTCACCCGCATAAACCTCTCCAAGTTCTCCAGTGGTTAACATTCCACCTCCTGGGCGTTCTCTCTCTCTGGGGGTGGAGAGAATGAATCTTTCTTCCTAAATCATAGAGCTAAGTAGCCTTCTTTAAAAGGTAAAGGAAAGGTATAGACCTCAGTTTACCACCAAAGCTTTTTTTTTTTTTTGAGACAGAGGCTTGTTCTTGTGCCCAGGCTGGAGTGCAATGGCGCAATCTCAGCTCACTGCAACCTCCCCCCACTGGGTTGAAGTGATTCTCCTGCCTCAGCCTCCCGAGTAGCTGGGATTACAGGCACCTGCCACTATGCCTGGCTAATTTTTGTATTTTTAGTAAAGATAGGGTTTTGCCATGTTGGCCAGGCTGGTCTCGAACTCCTGACCTCAGGTGATCCACCTGCCTCGGCCTCCCAAAGTGCTGGCATTATAGGTGTGAGCCACCGTGCCCGGCCAAGCTGGTCTTTCAAAATAAACATTCACTGTTACTCTAAACAAAATATAAAAAATAAATTTTATTTATGCATTTCAATACATTAAAGTTTGTTCCTTATACCTTTAAAAATGATACCCTGAAAGACAGCTGTTTAGTCATTCTATACATTAGCAGTTCTCAACCTGCATTGTAAAGTCCACAAGTTCATACATAACACTGAGCACTAAGCATCCTGCAGTATTTTAAGTGTATTTTCAATTGCACTGTAATAAATTTCAAAAAACCCCCTATATATTTAAAAGCAATTCTGAATTCATAGCTTTTAATCAAGATGTACTCATTTACTATTTATACGAAATTACAATTACTATCTAACAGCCCATATATGTTGGGTTTTTGTTTCTGCTTTTGAGAGTTTCACTCTTGTTCCCAGGCTGGAGTGCAATGGCACGATCTCTGCTCACTGCAACATCCGCCTCCCAGGTTCAAGCGATTCTCCTGCCTCAGCCTCCCGAGTAGCTGGGATTACAGGTGCCTGCCACCATGCCCAGCTAATTTTTATATTTTTCATAGAGACGGGGTTTTGCCATGTTGGCCAGGCTGGTCTCGAACTCCTGACCTCAAGTGATCCACCCGCAACCTCCCAAAGTGCTGGGATTACAGGCGTGAGCCACCGTGCCCAGCCCTGTATGTTGTTAAAATGAACAGACTTACAGGCAATCTGCCATGTACTAAATGCAAACCATAGCTAATAATTTAAGTCATACATATAACTCTCTAGCAAAGAGAGGTATTTTTGTTTTAATAATAAAATATAAAAATGGGATTGTTTATAGAAATTCATCTTTTGCAGAAAAATCAGCTTCAATTCTGTACCTCAAACATGGGTTACTGCATATGGTACATCATGAAATCAGGTGGTGCCACTGTCGTGATAGTTTTTCCCATCTTAGTAGCCGCACCCATAATTAATGCCTACTCACATCAAGTTAGCACCACTCAAATGTGGGCCATTCACAGGCAGCCAGGGATCCTCTTGGTCCGTGAGGTTGGGGGCTTGCATCAGAATGCAAATCTACCGAGGCGTGAAGCACAATTTAGTTCAACTGACATTTTTTCCTTCACAGTAAGACCTTCTGGAGGAAGGAAGCAGTGTGTTGATTTATACCTTAGCCCAAGCTCCTTATTTCACTATCAAGCTACAAGTCCAGTAGAACTGATCTGTTACATCCCAATCACCACCCAGCAAAGACACTCTTGTTAAAAAGCTCCTTAACAAAGGGAAGATTTTCACTTAATTCACTCTTCTCTTAGTACCTGTCACCTTATTTGTCCTCTAAATTCAGAACCTGCTAGAAGACATAGGGTTTGAATCTGGCTTCGGGTCGAATGATGTTGCTGAATGCAGGGTTAGAAGTCTGTAGGGACGACACAGTCTCTGTGCTGCTTTCAGTTACTTTCTGTATTCAGTTGTTCATGTTGCTTGCGCATGCTTCAAAGCTTAAACCATTAGTTTAGGGATATGCACAGATACTGATGACTTCACATCACGATTTCCAAACACAAACTGCCATAGGGTCGAGCTAAAATAAAATTTGAGGCCAGGCACGGGGGCTCACGCCTATAATCCCGGTGTTTGGGAGGCCAAGGTAAGAGGATCACTTGAGGCCAGCCTGTATAACATACGGAGATCTTGTCTCTACTGCTTGTGGTCCTAGCTATCCGCGAGGCTGAGGCAAAAGGACCGCTTCAGTCCAGGAATTTGATGCTGCGGTAACTATGATCGTGCCACTGCACTCTGGCCTGGGTGACAGAGTGAGCCTGTCTCTCTCTTAAAAAGTAAATAAATAGTATCTGAAAGTGCCACAAATGGGGCGTTTTGCCCAGGAGAGGCATCACCAGCACCTGTGCCCATCTGCCCAACGTGACCACTCTGAAGAGGACGGTGACTGCTGGACAGATGAGTTTTGGACATATATAACCTCTCAATGTCTATTCTGTATTCACATCTTAGTGACTTTTTTCAACAATCAAAGGTAAGATTTAAATTGAGTCTGTAGCATTTGAGAGAGAAAAGCAAAATTGAAGGGCTGAGAAAACAATAAACATTTGGGTATCTGCAATACATGCTGTTATCTAGGGACATTTCTGCTTCCTCCCAGAATCAGTTTTCCATACTTAGTGAGTGGGGTGTGTTTGTTTCTCCCACTAGACGGATGTTAATTCTTTGCAGGCAGTAACTATATTTTCTTCATGTTTACATCTCCAAATCCTTGCAAGCAAGTAGCACCTATTAACAGTCAAATAACTACTGTTTGGTGACCTCAGAGTTGTTTAAGATGGTACATTTACAATCTGGAATTGGTGAGGAGATGAATATCCTCAACTGTGTGAGAATGTTACATGAATGATGAAAAGCACCTGTCTGCATTACAGTGTACATAAGGCCATATCCACAGGGCTTATGTCGACTGACTTTGCCAAAGTTAATTGCAACCTAAATACTTAAAACAGTATCAAGAATCACATTTAAGCTGGGCGTGGTGGCTCAAGCCTGTAATCCCAGCACTTTGGGAGGCCGAGATGGGTGTATCACCTGAGGTCAGGAGTTCAAGACCAGCCTTGCCAACATGGTGAAACCCATCTCTACTAAAATACAAAAATTAGCCGGGCGTGGTGGCGTGCGCCTGTAGTCCCAGCTAAAGAGGCTGAGGCAGGAGAATCGCTTGAACCCGGGAGGTAGAGGTTGCAGTGAGCTGAGATTACAGGACACTGCACTCCACTCTGGGTGACAGAGCAAGACTCTGTCTCAAAAAAACAATCACCTTTAAGGGATGGTTTTTGAACTTCTAACCAATATTTTAAAAAGGTAAAAACCTCATCAATTTCTTTATAACTGCACCCTCTAGTGGCCTGTTTTATCTATTAATTTTTTTTTTTTTTTTGACAGTCTCACTGTCAAAAGTCTCACTGTCCAGCCCAGGCTGGAGTACAGTGGTACAATCTTGGCTCACTGCAGCCTCTACCTCCAGGGTCCAAGCAATTCTTGTGCCTCAGCCACCTCAGTAGCTGCTATTACCAGCATGTGCCATCATGCCTGGCTAATTTTTATATTTTTAGTAGAGACAGGGTTTTGCCCAGGCTGGTTTCAAATTCCTGGCCTCAAGTGATCCGCCCACCTTGGCCTCACAAAGTGCTGGGATTACAGGGGTGAGCCATCACGCTCGGCCATATCTATTAAAAAATTTTAAGACAATCATACACACCAGCCTCACTGCTTAGAGAACCCTGTCCAGTGTGCCTGACCCCTTTTCCCTCCCTCCTTCTCCTCTCACCCCCAAGATAGTTATTTGAAAATGGCTTGAAATACAAACAATAAAACCTTAGATCAAAAAAAATCTCAAAATATAATACATTAACAGACAATGATATAGCTCTACCAAACATTCACACGCAGGCAACAGAATAAGCCTTTGGGTTTACCAAGGACATTTTACAGTCAAAGGGCCACCTGCCCTCCTTCCTTCCCTGACTACATTCTCAGGGAAGCTTTTCCTTGCAGACACTTCGTTGCAAGGTCAGCTTTCTCTCTCAGCACGTTGGCTTCGTCGGCGCTTCTGTGGGCCTGTGCGTTCTTTAGCAAGAAGTGGCTGATGAAAAGCTTCAAACCCTCACGTAACACCCCCAGCTTTGGGTTGTCAGATACTCTGGAAAGGAATCGTATAAACACATGTCAGGGCTGAGCTGGCCTCTCCTAGATCTCAATCCTGGGTATCTCGCATAGTGAGACATAACCAGTTTCTTTTAAAAATAAAATTCTCAATTAAGAACTTCTTAACATATTTTATTATTAACAATCATTGTTAGTTTGCTAGCAGACAAGTTTCTATTCCCCAGATCTAATGCATACCAGCTTAAAAATAAAACCGAAAAGATTAAGCTACACGTATAGTACAACCTTGTGTTTGTAAATCAACACAAGTGAAAACAATCTCTTCATTTCTCTTCCATGTCTCGTCGGAAAGGGTGGGGCACATACCTTGTGAAAATTAAACTGAGGTCTTCAACTTCTGTTTCCATTAATAGGATACTTAATACTTTTCGTAAAAAACGGACTCTGGGTTTGTCCAATTCACTGAATTCAACTACCTAATGGTCAGGACATGGAGAAAAATAAAGTTACACTGATTTAGCCAACTTTTTCAATGATTTGTAATATAGTTAATTAGAGTAAAAATTAATCTCCCCCCTTCCCCCACTCTACCCGATTTAAGAAGCTATTTCCAGAGCTAAGAAATGAACACCTGTTGGCAAGGATGTGGGCCTTGGGAATTCCTACACACTGCTGGCAGAGGTGTGGCCGGCCACAGCCACCGTTGAGAACAACTCAGCAGTGTAAGTGGAATTCCCGGGTCATACACCTTATGAATCAGAAATTCAGTATCTAGAACTGAACCATAAATTACCTCCATTCCCAAAAGTACCCATCCCCTAATTAAAACTATATATATATATATATATATATATATATATATATATATATATATAAAATTTACTTCTAGAAGACTAATCCATATATATCTCTGCCCTAGAAAACTATCAAAAAATCAGAAATAAACACGGATCAGTAGGATAAGTAAGTATATAAACTGAGGCATACGTATACAGTAGGATGCTACCCAGAACAGACTCACGGGCGCCAACGTGGACCCACTGCAATCTTAGCTGAATGTCAGCGAGCTAGAGGAGGGGACTAAACGCATGGTGACGGGAATGCTACCCACAGGGAGGTGCGCAGCCAAACACCATCACAGGCGCTTGCGGACCCGAGGACGCGGCGAGACCACAAAAGCATGGTCGAAACACAGAGAAACTCGGAATGAGAGCAGCCCGGAGGGGCAGGGCGGGGGGCATCTCTAAAGCTCTACGCCTGAGGGTGTGCTCCTGCCACGCCTCTCCCGCTCATCGGTGGTAGCATCTGTGCTGTTCCAGGATGAGCGCAATGCCTGGGCGAGCGAAAGGCAAGGCAGGGGAGCGGAGGGGGAGCAACGCCTCCTCCATGAGCTAAGTTATTCCAGTTGTCAGGATTTGGCGTAAGGCTCGGTGCCCTCATTTTCAGTACAGTGGCCAAACTTGGACACCACACAGCAAGGGACGCAGGGTGAACTGGAGCCGGCATGCTGATGAACTGCACACGACACACAGAAACACACGGGAAGCTGTGGCTGCGGCTGTCTTGTGGGTCTGGGCCACTGCAGTCAACGCCCCTCAACTATCTCTGCTTTTCACTTCCCTTTGCCCCCCAGGCGCTCCAGTTTTTTTTTTTGGCTATTCAGAGTCTGTTGGTCCCACCATCCAAGCCTTACAGGCCCACATCTAACCCCAACTCCACCTGGTAAGATGTCTAGGTTTCAGCTGGGCGCACTGGCTCACACCTGTAATATTAGCACTTTGGGAGGCTGAGGAGGGCAGATCACAAGGTCAGGGGTTCCAGACCAGCTTGGCCAACATGGTGAAATCCCGTCTCTATTAAAAATACAAAAATTAGCTGGGCGTGGTGGCATGAGCCTGTAATCCCAGCCACTTGGGAGGCTGAGGCAGGAGAATCGCTTGAATCCCGGAGGCAGAGGTTGCAGAGATTGCACCACTGCACTCCAGCCTGGGTGACAGAGCAACTCCCATCTTGGGGGGGGAAGAAAAAAGATGTCTGTGTTTCATGGTCCACTGCAAAGTCCCAAAACACAGCAGGGCAGGAGAAAGCCTACAGTTTTAAAACACCTTACATCAACGTGAGCAAACTCACCTCACCTCTAAGGAGACCAGGCCCTACTTCATCCGCCCTTCTCCTCACTAACAGTGACCAGTTCAGGATTTTATAATTAGGACCAGCAAATTAACCTCAAGCTCCAAAACACATTCATTCAGATTAGCAAAAGAACTGCAGCGGTGCCTTCATTTACCAGATCAATTTGTAGCACATGTTAGTCTGGCCGTTTTCTGTCCTGGCTAGGATAATGCAAGCACTTTTCAGATGAATCAGAATCGAAGAAAATACGCTGGTAAAACAGGACCTGATTTACCAGGTACTAAACAATTACACTCCCATTTCCATTGCTTTCAATATTTTCACACGTTACACGAACCTTTAAGATGGAAAGGGAAAGCGATTTTGTCTTCAACAAGTGGGCCACCAGATGAACCAAATTAGAGAAATTCGTAGCTGGCAAGTTTTCCAAGTCCCGAAATTTGTCCCATATGCTGAACTGGAAAGTCATCTAGTATCATAGTTAAAAGGAGAAAAAAGGCAAACGGCCACAAATTACTATAATATATCACTAACAACATAACCTAAAGGTATTTTCTTATTATCTTATTTTTAATATTCTAAACATCAAGACTTTTAGTGGTGGCCTCACTGTTCTTGCCTATAGAGCATAGTCCCAAACAGCTTCACAAGAATCTCCTTCTGGTGCAGTTCTTCCCCCCAAATCAGCAGATACTAACAGAACATTCTAAGGAAAAGGCCACAGCAAGGGGCATCAGAACAGACTGGTGCACTGTGAACCGACGAGGTGCTCCTGCTGGCCTGGCCACACTGCCTGCATCTGTGGCAGAAGCAGGTGACATGAGGACATGGTGGACCCTTGACACTCCCCTCTAGCCCTCCCACTTCCGCTCCCAGTGAAGGTGGCCTGGCAGCCAGCGTGGACCAGGTGACGGGGATATCAGGGGCCTCCTGACTTGGGGAACTCCTTTGCAGGTGGGTTGAGCCAGGTAGCCTGTGTAGAAAAAATAGTAGAGCGGACGTAACTGGTGCCTCCGCACTAAGCTACCTGAAATCTCCTTTCATATTCACAGAATTTGCTAGCCAGGAAAGCATAGAAGGGATTGTAAGTTTTCTCTTGAAGGCAGCAATCCATGAGAACGTGAATGATTTCTCTCTCCTGCTGATCCTTAAGTCCAAGCCTAGAAAACAGAACAGCAATGACTGGAACATCACTCGACTTCCAAAGTTTAATGGCTGATACCTTTCAGGGGAACATCTTCCCGCCTGGAAGGGTCTGGTTAGAGGCGAGCCACGTAAAGGAGGTGGAGGCAGCGGCAGACACCAGCTAGGGGCCCAGCCCTGTCACAACCTCTCTGGTCCTCAGGTTCTCCTACAATGTGGCAAAATGTCAGAGGAGACAAGACCATCTAGGGGGTCCCCCGTCGCTGCAAAAGTCGACAGCTGTGCCCGGCTGACAATAAACTGACTCAATCGTGTGTGCCCTTAGAGCTGGTTCCTGCTATGGCGATGACTTCACATTTTCTTACTTTTTTTTTTGAGACAGTCTTGCTCTGTCACCCAGGCTGGAGTGCAGTGGCATGACTTCAGCTCACTACAACCTCCATCTCTCCGGTTCAAGTGATTCTTGTACCTCAGCCTCCCGAGTAGCTGGATTACAGGTGCCACCACCACCCCCAGCTAATTTTTGTGTTTTTAGTAGAGATGGGGTTTTGCCATGTTGGCCAGGCTGCTCTCGAACTCCTGACCTCAGGTGTTCCACCCACCTTGGCCTCCCAAAGTGCTGGGATTACAGGCATGAGCCACGGTGCCTGCCGTCGTTTGTAAAACTTGAGTTAGAGCTCACACACAGTAAAACCTATCCTTTGTAGTGTAGAGTCCTGAGTGTGGATAAGCCCATATGGTCAGGTCACCACCGGCAATGCCGAAACAGAACTCTCCATCACCCGTGAGAACCTGGGGCCGTGAGCCACCCTTGCCGTGGGCCACTGCTAATCTGCTTCTGTCCCTCTAGTTTTGACTCTGCCTCTGTCACACAGATTCAGGGCAAGGTGGCTTCCTGCACGGCAGAATACACTCGAGAGTCACCATGCTCTTGGGGCCTTGGGAGTTTGCCCCTCGTGATGCCAAGTAGTAAGTATCCCTTAGACGGCGTCTCATGGTTTATCCTTTCCCCAACTGAGGGGTATGTGGGCTGCTTCCAGTTTCTGGTGAGATCCGAATACGGCTGAGGCTGCCACCTCTGCACAGAGGCAGACACTCTGTACCTCAGGAGAGGAGCACCAGCTCCACTGCAAACAGCACAGCCCCACGTAGAGCACTCAGGTGAAGGCAGCGCAGGCGGCGAAGGCGGCCCAAAGAACCAACTGAGTTTCAGCTGCATTGATTATCAATTCATGTTGATTAAAAGCTTAGACTCATAACTCATGATTTTGAGGAATAAGAATGGGAAAAACTATTGTTTAATACACGTAGTTTGATAGGCCAAAATTTTCAACACATGAAGTCAACCAGAGGAAAAATAAACGAAGTCCTT
This sequence comes from Homo sapiens, assembly GCF_000001405.40. NCBI lineage: Eukaryota > Metazoa > Chordata > Mammalia > Primates > Hominidae > Homo > Homo sapiens. The sequence continues at coordinate 156,964,914 of NC_000007.14, read as the reverse complement.
CGAGTACAAAGGATAAGCTAGACCCGCTGACTAGAGAATAAGAGTTCTCCTCAAAAGAGCCCTTTTAGAGACCAAGGGTGACTAGGGAGATGGGAGGTTTTCGGCAAAACGGCAAGGCCACAGAGAGGCAAAGGGAACTCAGGACTTCCACTCCAACTAGAAACTCTAGTTTAGAAAATAAAACCCTAATTATCAGAATCCTAAAAGGAACCATGTTCTCCCTGTATTTCATCCTAGTTTGAAGCAAATAAAAGAATATGTATTAACATTACATTGTTTAGAAGTACCTCATAAAACTACACAGGTACATTTAAAGATTTTTTTTTTCTTTTTAAATGAGATGGGGGTCTCAGTATGTTGCCCAGGCTGGTCTTGAACTACTGGGCTAAAGTGATCCTCCTGTCTCAGCCTTCTAAGTAGCTGGGATTACAGGATCTTTAAAATCTTATTACAACTAATTATACAAACTATACCAGGATGTTTTAAATGAAGAATCAGAATAGCTTTATTATGAAGATTTATGTATTTTTAAGCAATTCGTGACAACCAACAGCCACTGACAAGGTCATCAGATACTTTCAGTCAAAACTCCCCAGTCTCCAGCCTGAGCAACATGGCAAGACCCTGTCTCAAAAAAAAAAACCCCAAACCCCCAATCTTTATATATCATAAAATGTTCTAATGAGGAACTACTAGAGGCAAATTAATAGGAACATGACGACTAACCCAGAGATGCACGAATCCAACAGCGTGAGCGGATGGTCATGAGAACAGCCCAGTCCTCCCTAGGCAGCATCAGACTCAGTCGTCCAAAACTCAAAAAGCAAATCAACTTACTTATTTTACAGCATCTCATTAATAGGTCAAAATGTGCACACAAATGCTTACTTCAGAAGCTTTTCAAAAGCATCCAAAAAATCTTCACTTGTCATTATTGTGCAGAATATGTTTCTCCGGATGTCTGTGTTCATCCTCTGCTTCCGGGCGAGTTCTAGGATCTTTGAACTGACCTGGAAGCACGATGAATGGACAAGTCATACGCATGTCTCCATGCAAACTGCCTCCCGAGAGGTGCCAAACTGTACTTCAGTGTCACTGAATAGAACTGTGAGGTCTACGTGGGCGGATGGCACCAAGTCCACTCTCGGGCAACGCCCCTCTGTGCAAGGGGAACACATAGTGAAGCCACAGCCGCTGGGGGAGAAAACACTCATGTGGGAGGCTTCTCAGTCGTGGTTCAACCTCAGGGCAAGCGACGATGAATAAAACAGAGAACCAGTCACTGGCAGAGCCTGGGAAACCGTGACCATGAGTGACACAGAATCTGGGACAGGGAAGGACATGAGGGGATAACGAGGGAAGTCTGGATGAAAAATGGGCTTGAATTTCCACAATGTGAAATCCATAGCCTGTAGCCTAGAATGCACAGCCCGGGGGGCAGCCTGAGGGGTCTCAGCAACGGACTCCTGCCCCGTGAGCGTTCAGGTCCTCATGCGCTCCCCTGCCCCGTGCCATTCAACTTTTAGATCTTTTAAAGTCCAATAAAAAGATACAACAGAAATGGAATAATTATATCACAATGTAATATTAATAGCAATTTCTGTAAGGCCTCCAGATAAACCTTGTACATTTCAGTGACCATTCAAGAACAGTAAGAGAGCTGCTCCAGGTAAAGCCAGGACCACACACCACACAGGGGGGTGCCTCTGCCTGGCAGCCTTGAGCATGGGTGTCCCTACCGTCCCCACAAGCTGCTTCTGCAGGTGCGTATGGTGACTGTTGTCGATCATCGGGGCCCCACTCCAGGCGGACCCCACAATCCACCAGCGACCCGTCTGCTCCGCACTCAAGACACTGTCCCAGGAGACGCGAAGCTGCGTCTCAGAACCTGAGCCGGCGTTGCGGACCTGATGAAGAGAGAAGAGCTAATGAAATGCTTTTAATTGGTTCATATTCCGTCCTTCCATCACCGGTGGCTTTTTGTTTTTGACCATGACATTTCTGGTGCATGAATACTGGAATGGGTCACTGGCAATTGGGACGGTTAGCCTGTTTGGAAAAATGCCAAAACTAGCGGTAAACTCAGTGTTTTGTGTTTGAGAGTCCATCACCCCAAACACGCTGTGTTTGGAAAGCTGTCCCAACAGGAGAGAGTAACAGAGCTGCCTCAGGCTCAGTGGCAGGTGAGCACATGCCTGGAAGAGCCTGGGTCAGCAATGATTTGGACTTGAGATGACAGGGGCTGAAAGACTCACTCCAACAGGGAGGCTGCCCCAGTCTCCATCCTGGCTGCATGTCAGAGAGAGTCAAAGGACCTACGTCATCCCAATTTCCTTGGTCCGGATGGGGACTTGGCCTTCTCTGAAAGCATCGGATGATCCAATGGTGCAGCCCAAGTTTAGCACCCGGGGTGAGGCAAAGAGGACGCTCGCCCAACATGGGCTTCCCCACACACGGACATTCTGCACGAGCACGCCCAGACCACTGGGACAGCCCCTGAGGAAAACCGAGCCGCGTTCACTCTGCCTCTGAGCACTCTCACTCACCAGACACCACCCTGACGTGCAGGTCTGACTATTTCTTGATTTTCATGACAGGCTCATGCCGACACGGAAGCTCTGAGCAAAACAGAATTGAAAGTTCCTTGACTCACCAAAGCTCTCTGCAGTTTCCTCAGCTTCTCCACGGGCTCGGGGTCATAGCCTGGAATTTTGCGCATGTCATTGTTCTTCAGGGCCAACATCGTCTCTAGCATAAACCGAATCTTCAAGAAAAATGAAAAAATGGAAAGTCCATCATTTCAAACAGTCTAAACGGCCCATTCAAGTTGGCAAGAAATCTACCACACCTGATGCACATGGCCGCCACCGCCACGATACAAAGTCAGGACAGCCTTTAGGTAGAGACAGTCTAAACTAGTCTCAGCCGCTTACTCAGGGCTACATAATACTTCAAAATGGAAATGTGTCCCCCAACGTCAAGTGGGAACCCAAACTCCCCAGAGATCTCTTTTCCCTTCTGCTCGCCACACGCCTCACCCTTCCGCACCGTCCACACCTACTCGGCCACCCCGGCCTCTACTACGCTCCTGCTCCCACCCTGGCCCCCCGCGACCTGCTCTGGACATCCTCTCTCCTACCACTGGCCTTGTAATTTTTTTAACTTTAAAACTGGAAGTAATGTCATACAGAAAAGTTGCAAGAACAGCACAAAGAATTCCCACATACCCTCTGAGATGTCCCCAAATGTCAACTTCTTACTGATACAGAATTCACATAGCATAAAACTCACTCATGTAAGGTATATAATTATGTGGCTTTTAATACATTCAGAGTTGTGCAACTATCACCACAATCAATTTCAGAACTTTCTCATCACCCCAGAAGAGAAACTCCAAGCCCATTAACAACCATTCCCCATTTCCCCAACTCCCCAGCCAGCTCCCCAGCCCACTAATGTACTTTCTGTCTCTTCTCCATTTGAAACCACCATTGAGCCCGCTGCTCCCATTCCCTTCTCCAGCCCCCTCCTCTTCAGACTGGCTTCTCCGGGGACCAGGATAAGCCAGTCAGGACCGCCGTCACAATTCAGCCCAAAATGCAAATCCCTTCCTCCTCTTGCTGGTCCTCAGCATCCCACACGGGCGTGAATTCTTCCTGGGGACACTAGTGTTCCCTGGCTCCTGGGACCATCCTCATTTCCTTCTCACCTGCCAGCTCTCCCTCCTGCCTGCAGCTAGACGTCAGTGCTCCTTAACCTGAAGGTCCTCTTCACAGCCCACCTGCTGCCAGGCAAGTCCACCCATTTCCATGGCTCCCAGGACCCCCTCTACGAGAGCAGCCCCATATCCCTTCAGCCCACTCTGTTCACAGCTAACCCAGTCTTTCAAAAATGGAGGTGCCTGTCCTAAATCCTCATCTCCTCCTGCACGGTCCCCTGTGCCCCTGATGGGTGACCCTGAGCCCTCCTTCCCTTCATCCCAATCCACATGAGGTCTGGTCACTTCTGACGCCCATGTCCACACCCACTGCCACGATCCCAACATTTGCCACCACCTACTCCCCAGCTCCTGCAAAACTCCTCCTGACTTCGACCACCTCATGCCTCTTTCTGCCTTGGAGTCAAAGTGACCATCAGAAGGAAAACTCCAACCTGTCATTCACCTGCTGGAACCCTTCAGATGCCTCTAGGATAAAACCCTCAATTCCCTGCAGTAATTAACAAGGGACCAGAGACCTGAACTCTGCCTTTTTCTCTTGTGATGCCCCCTCCAGGCTCTCAAACTAACCCTTTTCGGGTTCTTCCCCAAACGGCTTCCCAGGAACACGCGGTTCCACACATCTCATCATCTGAACGGCACACAATGTGGGAGCTGTGATCAGTCCCTGTTTTACAGAGGGGGAAACTGAGGCTCAGAAGACCCAGGTTATGCTGCTGTCAAGTGGCAGAGCCCAAAGTCCAACCCAGGCTGACCCTAGAGCCCCATGTCCTGTGGCCTCCTCGGTAAGCATTTTTTAACGGATGAATGTTAAATAAATCAGTTTTTAAATTCACAAAATATTTTTCTGGTAAAGGAATAAGGTCCATTCACATATTAAAGCCAGAAAACAGGATGAGACAGAAAAAACAGAAATCACTAGGAAAGCAAGTGTAATATTTACCCCAGATACTGATTTTTAGGTTCTGGCCAGTTTGTGAGCTTTAGGGACTTAGGAAGCAGATCAAGCGTCGCACGCGTACCCTGGTCTGGTCCTGAAACTCGCTGCCTGCCCCGCTGGCTTTGGTCTGGGCTTCAGTGATCAATTCCTTAAGTGATAAAGCATCATCTTTCCTCAATGAAAAACCCACGTTTTTCAGCATTAACAAGATCAGTTCAATATCTTTTTCGGTGAAAGTTCCAATCAGTTTTTTCAAAATGTCGAAGATGAGGAGAGACTGTACCACGTGGAAGTTGTATAAATGGGCAATGACGGTGAACAGGTTGTCACACTCTTTCCCTTCGCTTCCGTATTTATAGATGGCATCGAACTTCCTCACCACTGCCTCCAGAAAGTGGGCACCGACCTGAAAGAACCACACAGAAAAAAGATTATGTTATTCCTAGAAACCTTCCTTTCTCCTTCAACACACAGAACTGGCACTTTCTAAATTAACAAAGTGCCACAAGGCAGGGCATTCCAACAAGGCATCCCTCGGCAACCCAGAGCAGCCGGCCAGAGTGCCCCAGCCTGGACGCAAGGGCACCTTCCTCTTGTTAAAATCAACAACCAAGGGGCACTGTTTGGCCAGCAGCCATTCTGACTCCTTGGAAAAATAAAACTGTTAAAAATGATGTTAAAAACACACCTATGTCTCTCAAAATATTCCACTACTGGCCAGGTGCGGTGGCTCACACCTGCAATCCCAGCAATTTAGGAGGCGGAGGTGGGTGGATCACAAGGTCAGGAGATATCAAGACCATCCTGGCTAACACGGTGAAACCCCGTTTCTACTAAAAATACAAAAAAAAATTAGCCAGGTGTGGTGGTGTGCGCCTGTAAACCCAGCACTTTTGGGAGGCTGAGGTGGGTGGATCACAAGATCAGGAGATCGAGACCATCCTGGCTAACGTGGTGAAACCCCGTGTCTACTAAAAATACAAAAAATTAGCCGGGCGTGGTGGCATATGCCTGTAATCCCAGCTGCTTGGGAGGCTGAGGCAAGAGAATCGCTTGAACCCAGGAGATGGAGGTTGCAGTGAGCTGAGATTGCGCCACTGTACTCCAGCCTGGGCGACAGAGCAAGACTCTGTGTAAAAAAAAAAAAAAAGTTCCACTACCTAACAATATTCATTTCTTAAAAGATTTTTTTGCAGATTTTTACCCCAAATTCATTTCTTACAAGGAAGCAATACGAGTGATTTCTAAAACAGATAAACGCAACACATTCTGAATATCAGAGGTTGCCAAATAGACAGGTACTTAATAATCTCTGGAAGGGCTCCAGGTGGCACGGAGGAGACGCCCTACTTTCCCAGGGCTGAGTCTCTGGCACTAAGGTAGCTTGTGAATACACTCACTTGGCTCAGCCAGTGGTTTGAGGGGCACTGGGCCCTGATGGGGACCAGCAGGTAAACCAGACACTGCCCTGAGGGGCGGAAGTGGGGCCAGGAACTGCCGGGCCTGGTGGAGCTAAGCAAGGCCTAAGTGTTCTCCTTGTGCTGTTCTGGTACATTTTATCCCGAATTCCGTAACTGTGGACTGAAGGATGAGAAGACCTGCATGTGGGTCTGTGTGGTCTTCAGCAAGTTCCTGGAACCCTGTTTTTTCACTGTGTAAAAGAGAGATAATAAAACTTGAAGGCAGAAAACAGTCGTTTTCAGTCTTGCTGGCAACACTACCGTGTCATCATTTTCCGTCAAATCTCAACTTAAGCTGGGACTGGAGGGAGAAGGCGGAAGCAGGGACATGGTGGTGACAAAGAGTGACCCCCACAGCCCAGCCAGGAGACGATGGCCTAAATAACGCAGCTGCGCTGGACCAGGGATGAAGGGCCTGGGTAACACAGCAACGCATGGCAGTGTGTGACACCGGCTGTAAAAGCTGAAGGATCTGTGACTCCCAGGTTTCTGGTCTGGGTAACCAGGAACTACGTGAGGGGCAGCAAGCTAGTGGGGCTGGACAAGACCAGCTCAGGGGTTATTAAGCTTCAACAGGGGCCATCCAGACAGGACTGGATGGAGATCTAAGGGTGTCAGTGAAAATCGCAGGCAAGGCTGAGATCCACCAGACAGTCTTGAGTGTATGGGGAAGTACACAGACATCATTGCTGGACTGCAAAGAAATCAACGCTAGAAGAATCCAGAGAAAGGCAACAGACTGGCGGGAGGCCACAGTGACTTCCTGGAGGCCAGCTCTGATGGACTGGATATACACTTCAGTTTGTAAAGACCTGAGACTTAACCAAGCCAACCTGTAGTTTCCATTCAAGCCCCTTCAATGAAGATAAACTGGAAGACACATTCTATTATGGCAACCATGTTATAGTCAAATATAATTTTTAAAAGTAAATTAGAATTCTGCAGACGTCAATAAAAATTTAGGCATAAAACATATTCATGTATATTTTCTTTTTCTTTTTTTTTTTTTTTTTTTTTTTTTTGAGACGGAGTCTCGCTCTGTCGCCCAGGCTGGAGTGCAGTGGTGCGATCTCGGCTCACTGCAAGCTCCGCCTGCTGGGTTCACGCCATCCTCCTGCCTCAGCCTCCCGAGTAGCAGGGACTATAGGCACCTGCCACCATGCCTGGCTAATTTTTTGTATTTTTAGTAGAAACGGGGTTTCACCATGTTAGCCAGGATGGTCTCAATCTCCTGACCTCATGATCCACCCGCCTCGGCCTCCCAAAGTGCTAGGATTACAGGCGTGAGCCACCACACCCGGCTGTATGTTTTCAATTATGTATATTACATCAAAATTTCTCAAAATTCTAAATCTGAAGTTCCATTTAATGTCTTCAAAATAAAATATAACAGCATAACATTTAAGAATATAAGTAAAATTCACGTTGGTAAAGTTATTCAAGCACATCCTGTACGTTAACTCTGATGTGGAAATTTTAACATGAATCTACATAGATTGGGTTTTTGAGTTTTAAAGGACTTACAGAAGCAATTCAGCAGCTGACACCATCGTCTTTAACACAGAATGTTTTTCTCGGTACAGGACTGAAAGCAGCTGAATGGAGCCAGCACCCTGAAAGCTCATCACACGCTGGCAGAAGTTTCTGTGGATGTCATTAACTAAAGTACTGTAATGACTTCCCTTCGGAACAAGTCATTTCATTGTCCTTCATGCAATTAGCAAAGGTTTAAATGAAAGTAGGCCCAATTATCTCATGTTTTCCAATCAAGTAAATTCCTGATGTGCTGTGGGTGGTCACGGTCTGTGGCTTTTCCTGTAACTCACTGAGATACTGCCTATACTAAGATCATTCTGATGATTAAGTCAGCTGAAGCATACCAGTGTCCTCTAGGAGGACAGGGAGGTACCAAGAAAGTCACAGAATGGCCCTGATTATGGTAATCACAGGGCCCAGGAATGGCACCCAGTGATTCCATCACTTTGTAATGACAAGAAAACAGACTCCCACATGCTCATACATGAAAATGAGGACAGCTCTTAGAAATAAAAAATAACAAGAGGGTTCCCAAAGCAGCTGGTGCAGATTTTCATATCTGAGATGACCCATGTAGCTCAGAAGAGTCCCGCACTCAGATGCTCAGGCCTGTGCCCCTCTCTCCAGCCCTCAGCTTCCTAATGCCCCACAGGCCTTTCAAAAAGCTGCCACCATGCAACTACTGCTAGACATGGAAAAATGTGGATCAGAACATTATCTAGCAACAACAAAGAAATCAGCAGTGGTAGGAAAAGCCAGCCAGAGGAAGAACAGAATTAAAACACGAAAATCTCCTTCTGTACATAAATAATGAGCCTTCAATGAGCGCTTATTGTGGGCCAGCTCTTTCCTATGCCTATTACATGAACTAACTCGTTGACCTTAACGACTGGACACAGGAAGACTCGGAGGCACAAGTTCATCTAAGTGACACAGACCGTGCGCGTTACAGCATGTTTTGTACTCAGGCAGCATCTCCACCCACCCCATGCCGCCTTCAGCACAGAAGCCCCAGTGACAAGAAGGCTACTTCATTTTGGCAAATCCGTGCATCTTTTTTTTTTTTTTGAGACTGAGTCTCGCTCTGTCACCCAGGCTGGAGTGCAGTGACGCGATCTCGGCTCACTGCAAACTCCGCCTGCTGGGTTCACGCCATTCTCCTGCCTCAGTCTCCGGAGTAGCTGGGACTTCAGGCGCCCGCCACCATGCCTGGCTAATTTTTTTTTGTATTTTTAGTAGAGACGGGGTTTCACCTTTTTGGCCAGGCTGGTCTCGATCTCCTGACCTCGTGATCCACCCGCCTCGGCCTCCCAAAGTGCTGGGATTACACGAGTGAGCCACCGCGCCCGGCCGGCAAATATGTGCATCTTAAAGCAAGCTTTGGAGAGCCCCACTTGGTAAGACTCTAAATAACTGTTAAGATTATAATTGAGAGAAAGTAATATAAAAATGAAATGAATGTGACTAGCATTGCAGTAGAAAGCATGCTTGCCTAGGAGCCCAGAAAACAAGTTCTGTGTACTTTTAACAAGACGTGATCTTGGGAATTTCACATAGCGCTTCAGCGGCTTTGCCTGCTGCACTGCAAAGCAAGCTTCAGTAAAGGTCTGCCCTGATCTCACCGGGACACTTTAGGATTAAAGGTGAGGAGGAGACGAAAGTATATAAACGTACACCAGGTAATTAGACTTTTAGGGATGCTGTGCTGCTGTGGCCTATTTTTTGGAGTAGAGCTGTCAGAAGGCAAAAAACTAAGAGAACCACCATTAAAAGAGACTATCATTTAAAGATCCAAATGGGTTAAACACTGCATTTGCATGTAAATACTGTATCACGGGAAAACTAAGCCTCACTGACCCAACCCTCCATTCGTTCACCAACCTCACAACAATCTCCTTTAGTTGGACGGATTTACTTCAACACATCTGAAATCAGCTACCTTGGGGGAACTGGGATACTGACTGGGAGTGTTATGACTTTCCTGTATTCAATTAAGAGAGAACAGGCCCAGAAGAGGGCAGTGACTGTGGAACCAAGGCCATCACCAAAGAGCCTCTCTGACTTTAACCACAAGGGTTGTGGAGCAAGAAGAATACGAAAGGGATGTGGGGGTGGGGTGGACATTTACTTAGCACCTGTCGGGTGCCAGATGCTTTCTGTACACTGTTCAGTTCAATCCCAACAAAAGCCCACTTCACTGATGAGAAAGGGCCATGACACAGAAAGGGCACCAGGTCTCCCTGAACATGTCCAGGCAGTTCCATGCCCCAGTGCTCTCACATCTCCCATCAATACCAACACCTCAGTAGTGAGACCACACCAACCATTATCTTCCAAACATCTGAAATAAATCAGTGTTAAGGGAGAAGTGCAAAGGAAATGAAGGCACGTCTGAGATGTCAGTCGAGAAGAAAATTAACTAACATAAAAGACATGCTAGGCTGGACAGAACAGGGCTGGGCATGGCAGCTCCCGCCTGTAATCCCAACACATTGGGACGCCAAAGCAGGAGGATCACTGGAGCCCAGGAATTTGACACCAGCCTGGGCAACAGAGTGAGACTCCACTTCTGCTCCCACCAAAACAATTAGCCAGGCCTGGTGGTGTGCGCCTGCAGTTCCAGCTACTCTGGAGGATGAGGTGGGAGGATCACTCGAGTCTGCAGCTGTGATCGTGCCACTGCACTCCAGCCTAGACGACAGAGCGAGACCCTGTCTCAAAAAAAAAAAAAAAAAAAAGAATGGACAGAACAAAAAAGCAAAGTTAAGCAAAATCAAGTAATCAAGTACTTCCTGAATGCTCTTTACAACTACATGACATAGACAATAGAGTATTTATTCACAACAAAAAGGAATCGACACAAGAACCACCCACAGCACACAATTACGCACTTATCAAGCCTATCATTAAAATAATCACCATGAGACACTAGTGACAGCCTGGAGAAAAGGTACAACTGTACCTCGATTCCAACTGTGTGGTGAAGGATGCTGACTAAGAGAACATGCTCCATCATCAGTCTGCTGGGCATGGCCGAGGCAGTGACGCAGGCACCCATGAGAGCGGAGGTCAGGGTGTCATTCATGTCCTTTCTGCTGTGGGCCATGTACAGTTCCTCCAGCTGCCCACTGATGGAAGCCATGTTGGGTTCACTCAACCTGCAGAGAATTGTAAAGACAGAGAGCAACAATGTTTCCAATTAGGAATTTTCAGTTCAATTTTAAAAAATTAAAGAGTTATCCATACCAACAATATATTCTATTTTTATGTACACTTTTGACCCCTTAACTATTCTTATCTTGCCCCAATAACCCAGCATATATTATTCATAACCAGATAATATTCTGGAATCCCAAAACAATGTAATTGCTGTCTTTACAAGATGAAATGTGGCCACACTGAGGCATACCCTGGATTAAGTCTACAGAAACATACGTGAGGATACTCCCCTGAATATTCTGACCTGATATCCCATAGGCAGGGTCCAGCCTTAGGACGTGTTGTTAGAAAAAATGCTAACGTTTTATTTCTTAGGTGGCACAAAAATCCTTAGTTCCTAACACTAGAAAAGGCTGCTCTGTTTGAACGGGTAGTGGGGACACTACACACATATGTACGTGGAAGGTTACTCACTGTGAACCTGTGCTAATACTGAACTCGACACTGAAACAGAGGTTTATATAAATTCCCAGGATAACAGGAAACAAAAAGCAATACAAGGGGGAAGGGGGTGGGTGAGGCCATGGAGGGGCAGCAGGGGAGAGATGGTGGTGAGTTTTATCTCAATTGCAGCGGTGGTGACTCGAATCTTCATGTGATAAAACTACAGAACTGCCCCGGTGCGGTGACTCATGCCTGTAATCCCAGCACTTTCGGAGGCTGAGGCGGGCGGATCACCTGAGGTCGGGAGTTTGAGACCAGCCTGACCTACATGGAGAAATCCCGTCTCTACTAAAAATACAAAACTAGTTGGCGTGGTGGCGCATGCCTGTAATCCCAGCTACTCAGGAGGCTGAGGCAGGAGAACTGCTTGAACCTGGGAGGTGGAGGCAGAGGTTGCAGTGAGCCGAGATAGCGCCATTGCACTCCAGCCAGTGCAGCAAGAGCAAAAACTCCATCTCAAAACAAAACAAAACAAAACAAAAAAACCTACACAGAATCACATGCACACACACATCCTCAAAACCAAAGAGCTGATGGGCACGTGTAACTGACAAAGCCCCACCTGTATGGTTTCCAATCAGTTTTTTAAATGTTCTGTTCTTAAAGTGGGTAACAACAAAATGCAGACATGAGCAATGAGTAAGGGGGATGGAAGACCAGGTGAATGTGTTTCTGCAGAGAGGGGACATAAGCCAGTCCTTCCAACACTGTCCTTAGACGGACAAAGAACCTCTGCCCCTTTCCTTCCTGCTTCTCAGAATAACAATGTGAGCATTTGGGCTGCTCTCAAACCCTAAAGGGATTCAAAGTAGCCAACAGTCGGGTATCCTCTCCTTCTCGAGGTATGGGTCTCATGGGTCTCGGTGCATCAAGCCAAGAACAGAAAGGATCCAATCGACTGTCCCCATCACTTCTATTTGAATTGCTGGGATAATTCCTACATTTTAGGAAACAGACAACCTCTCTAAGTGACACAGTGTAACAACACTACAAGGTCACCTGTTAAGTAGACCTTTTACATGTTTCTTCAGCCTTTCTAGTTCTTCCTTTTTCTTGAAGTCCACTGTCTCCTCAGCTTGCCTCACATGAGGTGGGATGTACTTTTCACCACTTCCACAAAGACTCTGCTTGAAAAGAGAAATAAATTACAAAAAATTTACACTGACCAAATCCTGTGTTTTTTCTTTGCCATATGTGTATTTAAATATTAAACTTCCAAGAACTGGTGGAAGCTGCTACTGATCATTGCTGCTTAAATACATCAGATTTATTGAGTGCTTAGTATATGGGTAAACATTCCACTCACCAGGCTGTGCCTGTCACTATTCCCATTAATGCTATTAATAATACATTTCACCATCTCGTTTTCCCCTGTGTAGCTCTTCAGACCCAGCTGTGCACCTCTGGTATCTGCTCAACTCCAACAGAGCCCTATCTACTGCGCTTTTGCTCGGCCTTAACTTACTGCAGGCACAGTAGCATACAAGAACCTAAATTAAACAAACCGCTAATTTTGGAGGGAAAGTGTCCTAAAAACAATTTCAAACTTGTTTAAAAGTAATATCTAAGTTTATATGATAAAAATCAAAACCGGCCGGGCACGGTGGCTCATGTCGGTAATCCCAGCACTTTGGGACGCTGAGGCGGGCGGATCACGAGGTCAGGAGATCAAGACCATCCTGGCTAACACAGTGAAACCCCATCTCTACTGAAAATACAAAAAATTAGCCGGGCATGGTGGTGGGCGCCTGTAGTCCCAGCTACTTGGGAGATGAGGCAGGAGAATGGCATGAACCTGGGAGGCGGAGCTTGCAGTGGGCGGAGACTGCACCACTCTACTCCAGCCTAGACGACAGTGCAAGACTCAGTCTCAAAAAAAAAAAATCAAAACCAACTCACTGCTATTTCCTAAATTATCAAGGGGGGTGGTGGTGTTTGCAAATCATTAAGGACACAAACATTTGCAAGGCACGATCCTCACTGCTAGGTAGTTTAAACCTGGTTCAATAAAGAATATTTGTATACATAGAAGCTGAATATTTACATACATAGAACTAGTGCGATGTGGGGAGAAGGAAATGCAGGCAATTCCACACAGCTGCCTCCAACCATGAGCTACATGCAAAGGAACGCTGAGATAAAATATGCAAGATGACAGCCCATGAATGCCTTGATTGCTACGTCCTAGATTCTGAACTTTTTTTTTTCTTTGAAACAGAGTCTGGCTCTCTCGCCCAGGCTAGAGTGCAGTAGCGCGATCTCGGCTCAGTGCAACCTCTGCCTCCCTGGTTCAAGCCTCAGCTTCCCAAGTAGCTGGGATTACAGGCGCCTGCCACCACGCCCGGCTGTTTTTTGTATTTTTAGTAATGACGGGGTTTCACCACGTTAGCCAGGCTGGTCTCAAACACCTGACCTCAAATGATCTGCCCCGCCTCAGCCTTTATCTTTAATTCAATGTTGGACTTTATCTAAGGGAGTGCTGTAAATTAGCTTCGAGTTTTAGAAAATTCACTCTAAAAGTCGGGCACGGCAGATGTCCTCGGATACTCGAAAGAGGCCTTAACAGATGAGGTAGGGTTAACAGGTTTAGAGACCTGGGCTGGTAAACACAGAATGAAGATGCTGCACTGTGGAAATGGCCCTTAAGTCCCCGGGATAAAAATGTCTCTATATTGCTTTTCTCCTAAACTTTACATTATGAAAATTTAAAAACATGAAAGAAGACCGAATAGAGTAACGTACTCGATTTACTCACATTCAGCTGAAACCATTATCAAGACACCAAGTCTGTGTCATTTCTGCCTCACGCCCCATTCCCTGTCCCGTTATTTTGAAGGAAATCCCAGAGGGCCTAGAGAGTGTTCACACGATACCTTATCCGTTATGTCACCGTCCTCCGAGGAATTTTCACTCTTTTCTTCATCTTCTGCAAAACGGACTCTCTTCCCCCTCCTTTTCTCCTGCGCTCCCTTTTCCTTTTCTTCCCCCTGTTCCTCTTCTGTATCCTCGTCGTCGTCCTCGCTCTGCGCTTCTGCTTCCTGCGCCTTCTTTTCCTTTTCTACGTCTCCCTCCTCCTCCTCCTCACTTTCGTCCTGGGAGTCACTCTCTAAGTCACTTTCGGGGAGTGTCTGTCCGGCATCTTCCTCCTCCTCACCACTGCTGTCGTACAAGCCGCTATTTTTCCCAGACTCCAGGGCTCCCAGAATATAGTCAAGACCGTCGCGTGCAAAGCTCAGCGGCACGGAGCTGCTGCCGTCCTTCTTTTTGCGCTTGTTCAAACCGAGGCAACGCTCCAGCTTTCGGATCTCTCGGTCCTCCTCCTCGTTCGCCGCTAAAAGCGCCCGTTTCCGGGCAGCGGCGGTGGCGGCTGCGGAGGGTCTGGTCTTTGCGGTGGCGGCCGTGGCCTTGGCCTTGACCCGGGACGGCCGCGGCTTCCTGGGAGGCGAGGGGTCCCGACTAGGGGCTGGGCGGGCGCGCTCCTCCGTGTCCTGCCGGTGACCGCTGGCTTCTTCGGCTCCGCTTCGGCCTCCCAGGCCGGGACCCTGTTCGGGGCCCGCCGTCCTCTGCAGCCGGCGTGCTTTCCGCAGGTGCCGCTTCTCCTTCCTCAGTTCCTTACGGCTTTTTCTCCCTCCCGGGCGAAAGCTCACCGGGGCGCCGCGCCCCTCGCAACCCCCGGGAGCCTCGCCTTCCGAAGTCGCGTGCACGAACTCCTCCACCGCTAGCTTCAGCCTCTTCAGGGCCTTCTCCCCACCGCCAGCAGGACCGCGGCGCGGCCCGCGCCCGCCTCTGCGCTTCATGCGGACCACGCGTCCCTGGGAGCCGCCCGGGCCGGCCTCTCCCGCGCTCCTGGACGCCGCCATCTTTCGAAACGCGTGGACGCACGACTTCCGGCCGAGGCGGGACTTCCGGGGAAGAGGCGGCTGCGCGGGGCGGGCGGGCGGCGCCCCCTGCTGGCCGGAGGGCGACAGCGTGCAGAGCTGCGCGGAGCCGGGTGCGGGGGCAGCCGGGCAGGTGGCGCCCGGGGCAGGCGCGCCCGCGGGTGGGCGCCGCGTGGACGTCAGGCTCGCGATGAGCATGGAGGTGCCTTCACATTTAAAAGGGAAATCCGGCCGGGCGCGGTGGCTCACGCCTGTAATCCCAGCACTTTGGGAGGCCGAGACGGGTGGATCACCTGAAGTCAGGAGTTCGAGACCAGCCTGGCCAACCTGGTGAAACCCACCCACCCCCCTACAAAAATTAGCTGAGCGTGGGGGCACGCGCCTGTAATCCCAGCTACTCGGAGGCTGAGGCAGGAGAATCGCTTGAACCACGGAGGCGGAGGTTGCAGTGAGCCGAAATGGCGCCATTGCACTCCAGCCTGGGCGACAGAGCGAGACTCCAAAGGGAAATCCTCGCGTATGATGGAGGGGAGACTCCGCGCGGGTCGGCGCGGTGCCGGAGGTTGGCGGCGGCGACGACGCTGGGATGCGCGGGCCCCAGGTTCGTGTCCGCCCAGGACCCAGGAATGCGACCTTATTTGGAAATAGGGCCTTTGCAGATGTGGTCGAGAGGAGCCCTCGTGGGTTAGGACTGGCCCCAGAGCCAGCGTTCTCCTGAGAAGCAGGCTCTGGATACGGACCAGGGAGACGCCTGTGGCCCCCAGGCGGCCGAGGACCCCTGAGGAGCCGGCCCTGCCCAGGCTGGGTTTGGACGCTGGGCCCCGAGGGCAGAGCGTTTGAGGTTCCTCTTTACTGGGTAACTTGAACCGGGAAGCGAACGCAGAGGCCGCGCAGTTTGCGTCTGGATTTTTGGGAAGCCCGGAGGCGCAGGAGCAGCCTCGCCTAGCAGTGAGCTGGGGGAAGACGGGGCTGCTGCTGTGGGGTTCTCGGCCTGACCAGGGGCCGCTTCTCTTCCCGGACAGCTTCAGAAGCTTCATTTCCACAGAGTTCCCACCCTTGACTTAATTTAATTTAATTTAATTTTTTTTCTTTTTTTTTTCTTGAGACCGAGTCTCACTCTGTTGCCCAGGCCGGAGTGCAATGGCGGACCAAAGTGCTGGGATTACAGGCAAGCCACCGCGCCCGGCCCGTCCTTGACTTTAAAATGATTTAATTTTTGTCAACTTGTCAGCTCAAAATGGCATCTTGTCATTTAGTTCCTGATGAGAGTGGGTGTCTTTGTTCACTGGCCATTTGTATTTCCTCCTCTGTTTATGGCCTTTGTCCATTTTCCTTATAGGTTTTACGAATTTTTTTAAATATAAAATTTATTTAATATAAATTTAAAGTAGAGACAGGGTCTCCCTGTGTTGTCCAGGCAGGTCTCAAACTCCTAAGCTCAAATCCTAAAGTATTGGGATTACAGGTGTGAGCCACCACACCCGGCAAGGAATTCTTTACAAATAAAAAATTTTGAATAATCCTCTGTATCTCCTATGTGCAAATATTTTCCTCTCTCAAATATTTAAGGTACTTTAAAAAAATAAGTAATTTAATTTTTAATAAGCAATATACTCTATGTACAGGGTCCAAAATTCAAAAGGTACAAAAAGATATAAATGAAAAGGTCAATTTCTGTGCTGTGCCTGTCCACAAGCCACCCAGTTCTCCTTCCATGAAGCAGCAATATATCATTCTGAAGTGATCTTCCCAATAGATTCTATACTCAATGAAGCATAAATAGGTGTGTGTGCTGTGTCTCATGAGTGCTAGTTTACAAAACACTGTTCCACATCTTGCTTTTTTCATTTAACAATGTATCTTGTAGACCATCCTGCAGCAGAGGGAGGGACCAATGGACCTTCCCTGCCACCATCATAGCTGCCTGGATTATTGCAAAGGCCTCTGTCTGGTCTCTCCACTTTCATCCCCTCAACCCTTCAGTCTGCTCTCCACATAGCAGCCAAAGGCATGCTTTTAAAATATGAAAATAGGACCACGTGGCTGCGTGCCAGCTCACTCTCCAGGAACGCTGGAGGTCCTGCTGGATCTGCCCTCACCTCATCTCCTGACCCTGTCTCCCCTCTCTCCCGCCGCTTCCCGCCGCTTCCCCCCGCTCCAGCGCAGGCACAGGCTCCTGGTCCTTTCTGATCCCAGCCTTTGCTCAAAAGTCTCAGCGAGTCCATCCTGACAACCCTGTTTGAGGCTGCAGCAGCCTCAAAATCCTGTTTCCTGTCATCCTATTTCCTTGGCACTTCCCTCCCCATTTGACTTATGTGTTTGTTGTCTCCTTCTCACCAGGGCATGACTTCTGGTCTGTGGATTTGTCCCCAGGGTTAGTGGCACTCGGTAAATAGACATGAATGAATGGATGCTTTGTTATTTTTTATTGGCTGCAAAGTCAGTGATGGAGAGGCCGTCCATCATTTAGTGACACAGCCCCTGCTGATAGTTTTTATTCCCACACATTCATACTAAAAATGATGCTACAATGAATAGCTTTCCACACACAGCATTTCATGTGAGAGTACAGTTTAAGGGATATATTCTTAGAAGTGTGTGAATTCTGAAATTGATGGTGTGTATTTTGTAAATTTGATAAATATTGCTTAAGGACCATCCATGGAAGTTGCATCAATGAATGAAAGTTATGAAACTTATCTTTGCCAATTTGATGGAAGAAAAAAATCTCATTAAGTTGAATTTGCATGTTCCTCAGTAAAAGTGGAGCTGACCATCCTTCATATGCTTATGAGCCATTTCCATTTCATTTCTGCAAAATTGCGATTCATATCCTTTGCCCATTTTTCTATGGTTTATGACAGTCTTTTCTTACAGAAGCTCTTTACATATTAAGGAAATTGGCTCTTGTTCATGACATGTTGCAAATATGTATTTTTCTCTAGTTGACTAGTTTCATTTTTATTTTTTTGCCATGGACGATTAAAATTTCTTTTGCATTGTTAAAATTATCAGTCTTTATGACTTCTAAAGTTTTGTATTATACTTTGAAAGCTCTTCCCCACTCAAGGATTTTTTTTTAAAGATTCCCCCCCTTCCTTTTAGAGATGAAGTTCTCTCGATGTTGCCCAGGCTGGAATGCAGTGGCTCTTCACAGGCAGGATCATAGCTTACCATGGCCTCAAACTCCTGGGCTCCAGTGATCCTCCCACTTCAGCCATCCTGCCCAGCTATTTTTATTTTTGTTTTTTAAGGGATGCTATGTTGCCTAGACTGGTCTCAAACTCCTGGCCTCAAGTGATCTTCCCGCCTCAGCCTCCTGAGTATCTGAGATTACAGTCACGAGCCACCATACCTGGCTCCTAAAATACTTAATCTTTGACCAATGTATTTTTTATTTTGATGTATAAAACAAGGTAAGACCAACCTATTTTTTCCCCAGAAAATGCCAATGCCAGTACATTTTAATGAAAAATCTACCTTTTCTCCACCAATTTGAAACACCATCTTGATAATACAGCAGTTTTTAAAATGTATTTGAGCCTATCTCTGGGCTCTCTTTTTCCTAATCTTCCAGCATGTGTATGCCTCGGTGCTCTACTGCTTTAACTATTATGGCTCTATAACGTAGTTTAATATCAGTCTTCTCATTCCTTGTTACTCTTCATTTTCGTAATTGTTTTCTTTAGTGCTTTTGTTTTAAAAAAAACTTTATCTTTATTTTTATATATTTTTTGGAGACAGGGCCTTGCTCTGTTGCCCAGGCTGGAGTGCCATGGCATGATCATAGCTCACTGCAGCCTCGCCCTTCTGGGCTCGAGTGATGCTCCCTTCTCAACTTCCCAAGTAGCTGGGACTACAGGTGCATGCCACCATGCCTGGCTAATTTATTTTATTTTATTTTTTTAGTATAGAGGAGTTCTTGCTATGTTGCCCAGGCTGGTTTCAAACTCCTAAGTGCAAATGGTCCTCCTGCCTCAGCCTCCCAAAGTACAGTGATTACCAGTGACAGCCATTGCACCCAACTTAAAAAGCGAACTTTAGAATTAACGATCATCCATGAAAAATGCTGTTGGTATTTTAACCGGGGTTGTGTTTAATTTGTAGACTAAACTGAGATGAGGTCTGAACTGGTGGAAAGATGAATAGAATATTTATGATGTTAAATCTTCCTCTCTAAGGACAGTATATACCTTCCATTCATTCAGACAGTCTGTGTTCTCTTCATATAGGTTGTGCATACGTTTCTTGCAGAATTTATTCTTAAGTGTCTTATCACTCTGTTTTTGTCAATGGGATCATTACATCTTCTAACATGTATGAAGAGTGTGTGCTCATCCAAAAATCTGGGCCTCTGTTATTAGAGAACATGAAAAGAACAGATATTGGGGACAATCAGCTTTCCCTGTCCCAACCTTCTCCTTTCCAACTTTTATCTGTCTCGTTTTTCTCCGAATTGCCTCGCTAACTCCTGCAGCACAAGTGTCCTGGTGCCCTGGGCTCCCTGTCTTGGAGGAGGAGGAGGGGGAGGGGCGTGTCCTGGAAAAGGCGGGGGATGGGGGGACCCTGACTCAGAGGGGCATTTCTGATGCCTGAGAGGATGTGGGACTTCCCATGGACAATGCGGGAGGAGGTGAGGGCTTCTGAATGAGCCTGGCACATGGCACAGTGAGCTTGCCTGGCTGGAGTGGAGGATGGGCATCGGGCAGAAGGAAAGCCAAGCTGGGCAGCAAGAGCATGTATCCCACCTGCAGTGGACAGAAGCTGTGCAGATGGCTTCCCAAGCCTCGTCCTTCATCCTCACGGCAGCCACCATGTGAGGTGCAGACCACGTCTTCATTGTGCAGGGAAAGGCTCTGAAGCACAGATGGGCACAATTCCGCCTGAAGGCGGGCCCTGGTGTCTGCCCATCTATGGTCTGCGGTGGTCCAGGCTGAGTCTCCAGGGAGCTGGGGGTGTTTGGAGCAGGGAAGGGACCCAGAAGGAAAGGGGGGGTGCTGTGGAGTGACCAGGAAGAATGTGGGCTTTTTCTGTTTCCTGGGAGCTCTGGTGAGGTTTGTAGGTGATGAGCTCCCCCTCTTTTCCGTCCAGGAGCTGCAGGATCTGCCAAGAGAGGCTGGGGAGGTCCTGAGACCCTTCCCTGTCAGAGAAGAAGAGGCAGAGGGTGGCAAGGGCGTAAGCATGGCTTTCTCACCCATTCCCAGGGGACAGGAGGCATCGGGAGAGTGTCCTGCGTGGGGGAACTGTCAGAGGGGAGGATGACATCGTGCCCCCTGCACCTCCAGCCCCCAATAATGTGAGGATGCGCTAAGTTAGGGAAGTGAGGAAAAGGCCCCACTCCTCCTAGCAGATTTCTGAACTGAGGTGAGGTCTGAACTGGTGGAAAGATGAAATTTTGATTTCAGTCTAGCTGGAATTTATTTTAAAAATCTGCAAAGGATGCTGTTCTAAAGCTGAAAAGTGACTGGAAAAGCTCTGAGATGCACCTGGGGTGTTGTCTAGAAGTGGGGAAGGAAGCTCTGGCACAGAAGTTCGGGAAGTGTGGGGAGACAGAAATTCATTTCCCCCCATTCAGAGGGCCAGGCGCAAGTTTCTGCTGAACACTCTCCCGTCTCTTCCAACCTACACCTACAGCCCTGCATCTTCTCACTGAAAACATTTCCATCTTCTGGGTCAACAGCCGCACTTTTTGTGGTGTGTAGAAACGAGATACAGGGGCCCCCAACACCCAGTGTGTTGGGTGCTGTACAGGAGTGAGCGTTGGCGGCAGCCGGGGCTCGGCTCACCGCCTCAGGGTACTGTGTGTACACAGGAGTCAGGAGTAAGTCACTTTCCCAGCCCGTGAGGCATCATTTTAGAGCTGGTTTCTCTACTGTACCAATGTCCCTGTTCTGCCTGGCCTTTGTCTGCAGCCCTGCTCCCTTCCCTGGCTGTCACCATTCCAGGAGCTGCCCTCCTGTGCTCTGCACTGCTCCCATCCACCTGTCCCCGCCCCAGACTGTGGGTGGGAGCCCGACCTGCACTCTGGCTGTGCTGGAACAAAGCGTCAGGGCTTGGTCACCATCAGCCGCTGACCACGGTCTGCTCGGGCTGCTGGGAGACCAGGCTGTGCTGGGGAGTTCCCGGGGATCCTGGCGCCTGCCAGGAACCTGAGCTAGGTAGGTGGGAAGTAGTTGTGAGCAAGACTTACGGCCTCACGGTGATGGGAACAGGAAGGTTCAGCTGCCAGATGCACACAGAGTAGTCAGCAGCGCGGCCCTGGGCTCTCAGGCTTGGGGTGAAACCCTGATCTCCCCATTTCCAGCCACGTGGCCTTGCTCACCTCTCCAGCCTGGGTCTATCTGTGGAATGGGATGCGGTGGTGCCGACGCCACGGGGCTGTTATAAAAATGCTCGTTTCAGCTTGGAACTTACACCGGCCCTCCCCGTGCTCCCTGAGTGGCTGCTGTGCTGGGCCTGAGGGCTGCTTGCTCCTTCCCTCACTGTTCCCAAGCTGTCGGCTGCCCTCTGAGGTCTTCATTTGGGGGCGGTTGTACTGAGACGTCTGCGGACTCAGGCTCCGCGAGGGTGCGTTCTCCTGGGGTCTCAGCTCCTTGGTCTGACGGTGAGTCTTTCAGAGGCTGAAGGGTGACGGGCTCCACAAACACCTCCCCACACTGCTCATCCCGCAGGCTTTGCCACTCGGTTCATGGAGAGGAGCCTGGGGGGAGCCAGGATTCCCGTAGCTCCCAGCCTGAGAGGAGGGTGCCGGCCCGCCGCACCTTCAGCTGGGGCCTGTTTCTGTGTGTCAAGGCCGCCAGGTGAGTCAGCGGAGCGGGAGAGCTCTCCTCCCGCCCAGCCTCACGCCTGCCGCACTGGCTGAGCTCCCCGCGCCGTAGACCAGGGCCTCCCCCGGGGTTGCACCGCTGGTGCTCCCGGAACCCAGGCCCCTCCTTCAGTCCTCCTCCGCGACTCACTGGGGAAAAGGAGCCCGCAGCCTCGCTGCCATCCCGCTCCACAGGAACCCCATGAGTGAAAATCGATTACTTGCGCCGAGTGCTCAGCCGGGGTCTGGCGCACAGAACGGCTCAGTGGTTGGTGGTGAACTCCCTGAGGCCGCTGACCTGCGTGAGTTTTCTGTCTGTGATCGTTCTCTGAGGCCTGGCCGGTGGCCGCTGGGCCATCTGCGCTGGTTCTGATCTCCTGGGGTGGAGGTTTCTTTGCTCTGAAGCCAGGACTTCTAATACTTTGTGGGGGATTTTTCTTTTTTTTTTAGACGGAGTCTCGCTCTGTCGCCCAGGCTGGAGTGCGGTGGCGCGATCTCGGCTCGCTGCAAGCTCCGCCTCCCGGGTTCACGCCATTCTCCCGCCTCAGCCTCCCGAGTAGCTGGGACTACAGGTGCCCGCCACCACACCCGGCTAATTTTTTGTATTTTTAGTAGAGACGGGGTTTCACCGTGTTAGCCAGGATGGTCTCGATCTCCTGACCTCTTGATCCACCCGCCTCGGCCTCCCAAAGTGCTGGGATTACAGGCGTGAGCCACCGCGCCCGGCCTATGTGGGAGATTTTTCAACCGAAGATCCTAACATGAGGGAGGCCTAATGTGAGCATTTTTGGCTGCTCCCCACTTGAAAGACCCCTGCATCTGTGACCCTGCAGATGCCAGCGCACCTTGTCACCCAGTCGTGCCTCTTCACCCAGCGCGCGCCTCGTCACCCAATCGCGCCTCGTCACCCATTCGCGCCTCGTCACCCAATCGCGCCTCGTCACCCAGTCGCGCCTCGTCACCCATTCGCGCCTCGTCACCCAATCGCGCCTCGTCACCCAATCGCGCCTCGTCACCCAGTTGCGCCTCGTCACCCATTCGCGCCTCGTCACCCGGTCGCGCCTCGTCACCCAATTGCGCCTCGTCACCCATTCGCGCCTCACCCAGTCGCGCCTCGTCACCCAACGACACCTCGTCACCCAGCGCACACCTCTTCACCCAGCGTGCGCCTCGTCACCCATTCGCGCCTCATCACCCAGTTGCGCCTCGTCACCCGACACCTCGTCACCCAGCACGCGCCTCGTCACCCAGCATGCACCTCGTCACCCAATCGCGCCTCGTCACCCATTTGCGCCTCGTCACCTGGTCACGCCTCGTCACCCATTCGTCACCCAGTCGCGCCTCGTCACCCAACGACACCTCGTCACCCAGTCGTGCCTCATCACCCAGCACGCGCCTCGTCACCCAGCATGCGCCTCGTCACCCAGTCGCGCCTCGTCACCCAGTCGCACCTCGTCACCCATTCGCGCCTCATCACCCAGTCGCGCCTCATCACCCAGTCGCGCCTCGTCACCCAACGACACCTCGTCACCCAGCGCACACCTCTTCACCCAGCGCACACCTCTTCACCCAGCGTGCTCCTCGTCACCCAATCGCGCCTCGTCACCCATTTGCGCCTCGTCACCCAGTCGCGCCTCGTCACCCAGCACGTGCCTCGTCACCCAGCATGCGCCCTGTCACCCAATCGCGCCTCGTCACCCATTCGCGCCTCGTCACCCAATGACACCTCGTCACCCAGCGCACACCTCTTCACCCAGCGTGCTCCTCGTCACCCAATCGCGCCTCGTCACCCAGTCGCGCCTTGTCACCCAGTCGCGCCTCGTCACCCAATCGCGCCTCGTCACCCATTCGCACCTCGTCACCCAGTCGCGCCTCGTCACCCAATCGCGCCTCGTCACCCATTCGCGCCTCGTCACCCAACGACACCTCGTCACCCAGCGCACACCTCTTCACCCAGCGTGTGCCTCGTCACCCAATCGCGCCTCGTCACCCATTCGCGCCTCGTCACCCGGTCGCGCCTCGTCACCCGGTCGCGCCTCGTCACCCGGTCGCGCCTCATCACCCAGTCGCATGGGAAAGAGTCCTATTTCCACAGTCCTGGGTAAAGGGGCTCGGAGTGGGGAAATGGGAGGCTCTGCCACCTGGCTGGACAGGAGAGGAATGCAAACATGAACCAGCGCATTGATGATGCTGAGGTCGGTTTGTGGGGTGCAGGTGGCACACACTAGGGTCTGAAGGGCAGCAAGAGTGCCGGGCATGAGGAGACCTGCGTGAGACATGCGGCTGGCGAGGTGGCCAGGGCCGGGCGTGAAAGCTCTGCCGATCCGGGAGTGTTTTGTGTTTGTTCTGGGAGCAGCAGGAAGCATGGCCATGTTTTGGGTGGGGCGTGGGTGAGGGTGAGAGAGGGACAGTAACGGCATTGCATTTTCCGCAGGCCACCCTGCAGCCTGCAGGACCTTGCAATCCGGATGGGTGGACAGAAGGCTGTTGTATCCCAGAACGTCCCCCAGCCTGGAAAAAAAGTAGCCACTTGGGGCTCTGATTAGAACAGCTCTTTAAAAATAATAGCCCTGTAATCCCAGCACTTTGGGAGGCTGAGACGAGAGGATGACTTGAGCCCAGGAGTTGGAGACCAGTTTCGGCAACACTGGCAAAACCCCATCTCTAAAAAAATTACAACAATTAACCAGGTGTGGGGGCACATGCCTGTGGTCCCAGCTACTGGGGAGACTGAGGTGGGAGAATCGCTTGAACCTGGGAGATGGAGGTTGTAGCAAGCTGAGATCACGCCACTGCACTCCAGCCTGGGCGACAGAGTGAGACCCTGTCTCAAAAAAAAAGTAATTAAAAGTAATATCATATGTGATTTAAAGTATGACTTGTGGCCAGGCATACTGGCTCACGCCTGTAATCCCAGCAATTTGGGAGGCCAAGGTGGGTGAATCACTTGAGGTTAGGGGTTCGAGACCAGTCTGGCCAACATGGTGAAACCGCAACTCTACTAAAAGTACAAAAATTAGCTGGGCGTGGTGGCGCATGCCTGTAATCCCAGCTACTGGGGAGCCTGAGGTGGGAGAATTGCTTGAACCTGGGAGATGGAGGTTGTAGCAAGCTGAGATCACACCACTGCACTCCAGCCTGGGTGACAGAGTGAGACTCTGTCTCAAATAATAATAATAATAATAATAATAATAATAATAATAATAATAATAAAGTGTAACTTTTGACTCAGGTTCACAATTTTTTTGTTTTAATGCATCAATTTATTGGTCGATTACCTTAACATGTTGAGTTTTTTTTTCTGGTTGCAAAGATAATTCGTGATTATTATAAAAATTGAAATGTTACAATTATGTATATAAAATGTAGAAGGAAAAGTCCACCATAAGTTCTTCCTTCCAGAAATGCATATCTTTCTGGATATGTGATGTGTATATTAACTTGCATTATTATTTTTTTAAACCAATGTAGGATATACTGTTTCTGATGTTCCCGCTTGCTTTTGGTCATCTGGGTCCTGGCTACCTGGCGCAGGGCCCCAGGGTGGCAGCAGCTGTGCACCTGCAGGCTATGAGAAGTGCAGCCCCTCAGGCCCTCCCCAGACCCTGAGGCAGAGTCTACATTCTCACAGCCTCCCTGGATGATTCGCTTGCACACTGGAGTCGGAAAGTCTGGATCCCTCACTCTTTTCAGTGGCTTTATGGATGTGATTTATGTAACCAATCCGGTAATGGGGAATATTTTATTGTTTTCTTTTAACAACGTACATTTTTTTTATACTATTACAAAATGCTATAGTAGGCCAGGTGCAGTGGCTCACGCCTGTAATCCCAGCACTTTGGGAGGCCGAGGTGGGTGGGTCACCTGAGGTCAGGAGTTCGAGATCAGCCTGGCCAATATGATGAAAACCCGTCTCCACTAAAAATACAAAACTTAGCTGGGCGTGGTCGCGCACGCCTGTAGTCCCAGCTACTAGAGAGGCTGAGGCAGGAGAATCGCTTGAACCCGGGAGGCAGAGGTTGCTGTGAGGCGAGACTGTACTACTGCACGCCAGCCTGGGTGACAGAGCGAGACTCCATCTAAAAAAAAATGCTATAGTAAACTTCCCTTTGTGTATTTTGCAGAGTTGTGCAAATTTTACAAGAATTTCCTTCTGGAAATTGCTTAGGGAAAGGTAGGAATATTATTTTTAAATTTAACAGATAATGCCAAATTTCCAACCCAAAAGCTGTGCCGGTTTGCACTCCCAGGGAGAGTAAGCACCCATCCCCCACACCCTCCCTATACCGAGTGGTCTCAGGCGGTTTCGTCTTTTCCCAGTAACATGAGGTCAGCCTCCTGGAGAGGGGAGAAGCCCTGACTCCACCGTCCCCAAGTCCCCAAACTTCCCCTTCTTCAATGTCCCATTCCCCTCCTCAAATCATTCAGTGGCTGCATGTGTACCAGGAGTGCCGGGTTCCTTCATGCTTGGCCTTTAAGGCCATTCTGGACTCCTCCCCGCCCACCCAACACACACATTGACTACTTTTTTTAATTTTTTTTTTGAAGAGACAGGGTCTCACCATGTTGCCCAAGCTGGCCTCAAACTCCTGGGCTCAAGTCTCCCCAGTAGCTGGAACCCCATGCTGCCACAGGGCAGCACTTACATTGGCACCTTACCTGCCCTCTGGCTGGCACCCTCTCTGCCCCTCTGCCTCTGCTCTGCTGGGTGATGGATTCCCTGCTTCCCCAGGCAAGAGGCCTCCTCTGTCCTCCACTCCTGTGCCTGGTGCCCTGATGGGTAACCCTGACAATACGGAACTCTCTGTGCTTACCTCTGTCTCCCACATGAGACTTTGAGTCTAGCCCTCCGATTCCTATTCAACTGACTACTGTTCACATTTCTACCCCAGGGCCTATTTAAACTCCTGACATGCAGTCAGCACTCAGATGTTTGACGGGCAAGTGAGCAAACGAACAAATGAATGAATAAGTGCCTTAGAACACTCAAGGCAGATACACGTGGGCAGAAATGAACTTCCAGAGGCCGCCACAGCCTCAGTCGTTTCCTGTTGCAATATTGTCTATGGAATGGCTGAGCCAAGAACTGAAAGGTTCCGGTTCCTCTCCCCGGAGTTTGGACAGCACCAAGCTGTAGCAGTAGGGTCGTATGCAACACAGAGAAGGCCATTTCTGTGGGAGATGCTTCCAGTGGAACTTTGGAGTCTGGGCTGAGCTTGTCGACAAGGGTCTTGAGCCTGTTGTTTATTAGAATTTGGCTGCAGGGTTAGCTCTTCCTCTGACATGGTTCATCCCATTCATCAGATGAGTAAGGAGTTGTCCCCGGACTATAGACCTGCGCTGACATCTCTTGCACAGTAAAGAAAAGGAAAAATTCATAGTTGTATGTTGTGGTTTTCAGTATCTTTAGTTTACAAGCCAACTGTTTATCACATCAGGACATTGATCTATAAATAAATTTGAAAGCAGTGATACATCTGGGCCTTCGCGGGCCTCCAGTTGAGGCAATGATCTATAAATATGTTTGTCTGTGTCGCTGATCTTTTGTTATTAATGTTGCGGCTTTCATCGTGGTTATCAATCTCACCCTGATTACCAGAGTCTTTGCAAAACACTTTGTTCCCTGACCAGGCCTCGTTGGCCAGTTCTCACGCATTTGACTAACACAGTTATATCCAGTACTGGCTGTATTTCAGACGCATCATTCATTTTCACTAGCTCTTCCCGTTCTTTCTATCCACTTTCCTTCTTTTGAGTACATTTTTCTATTTTCTAGAGGTGCTCCCCTCATTTGTAGCAAATGTTACCAAATGCCCTCAAATTAAGAATTGCTATATTTTTGACGCTTATATACTTTACCTTCTTGATAGAAGTTATGCCTATTGGGGCAGGGCATTGTAGCTCATGCCTATAATCCCAGCACTTTGGGAGGCCAAGGTGGGAGGATCTCTTGAGCCCAGGAGTTTGAGACAAGCCTGGGCAACATAGTGAGACCCCATCTCTACAAAAAATGCAAAAATTAGCCAGGTGTGGTGGCATGGGCCTGTACTCCCAGCTACTCGGGGAGGCTGAGGTGGGAGGATCCATTGAGCCTAGCAAGTGGAGGCTGCAGTGAGCCGAGATCACACCACTGTACTCCAGCCTGGGTAACAGAGCAAGACCCTGCCTCAGGAAAAAAAAAAAATTATGCCTATTTTGTTAGTTGTGTAAGACTTCTCATTATTTTGTTGTGACTTTCTTTGTTTTTGTTGTGTCTATGCCAGGCAGTTTTGTATTCTCGCAGGGTAATCTTACCTGGAGGTGGTTTCCCATTCACATTCTTGCTTGAGAAGATTCACCCTAATGCCTTGTACTTGCTGCCGGGTTAGCCAACATTGGACCGAGGGTGTGTGCTGCTTTTACAGGACTTACAAAACTCTGTCTTTTGGCTGGGCACAGTGGCTCATGCCTGTAATCCGAGCACTTGGGGAGGCCGAGGTGGGAGGATCACTTGAGGCCAAGAGTTTGAGACCAACCTGGCCAACATAGTGAAACTCATCTCCACTAAAAACAGAAAAAAATTAGCTGGGTGTGGTTGCTCCTGCCTATAATCCCAGCTACTTGGGAGGCTGAGGCATGAGAAGGCATGAGAATGGCTTGAACCTGGGAGGTGGAGGTTGTGGTAAGCTGAGATCACACCACCGCACTCCAGCCTGGGCAACAGAGCAAGACCTTAACTCAAAAAAAAAAAAAAACAAAACAACAACAAAAAAACCCTCTATCTTTCTATGCGGCTATGTTACTCAGGCCTAGAGCAAACTAATAGAACTTGAATGTGGCTTTTTCAAATTGCATAAGACACTACTTAGTATCATCACTGGCTAAAGTCACCTCCCCTTTAGTATTACTCAGATCACAAACTAAGTCCAAACATGGTTCTCTCCATACGGAAATCCTGTCAGTGCAACATCCAGGTGTATTTTATGTTTTCTAGATGGAAAAAGTTTTTTCTTATTATGAAAAGTTCAAAATAGGCCAGTCATGGTGGCTCATGCCTGTAATCCCAGTACTTCGGGGGCCAGAGGCAGGAGGATCACTTGAGCCCAGGAGGGAGATGCTGCAATGAGCTGCGATTGCACGCCACTGCCCTCCAACCTGGCCAACGGAGCAAGACCCTGTCTCAAAAAGAAAGAAAAAAACAGTTCAAAATAAAAATGGCAGACCATTTAAAAAGTTGGAAAGAGAGGCCGCAGAAGGTGCTTCCGTGGGTGCCTCCCTGTCTCCGGCTGTGCACGCCTGTGATGCCCAGAGCAAAGGTCTTTCTCTCTGGGTCCCAGGGGGCCAGTGGGGCCAGTCCCGGAACAGCACAACTGGGCATCGAGGATACACAGTCCAGCTTCTTCCCCTCCTCCAGGCCTGGCCCACTCTGAGGGCTGCTGCCCATGGGGTGGCCTCGCCCTTCCACCTCCTCCCTGCAGGCTTTACCTCCCTGTCTCACACCAGCTCAGTGCAGGGCTTCTCAGCTCCACTCCCAGCGAGGTGACTCGCAGGAACATCTTTGTCTCTGTGGGCAAAAGAATCTGACTTACCACGGCAGCTAACAAACAAAACAGCCAAACTCCAATAATAACCAGTGGCTACTCAGAAGCAAAAGCCATGTGGAGTTCTCACTTTGTCTTTCTTTCTTTTTTTTTTTTGAGATTGAGTCTTGCTCTGTCGCCCAGGCTGGAGTGCAGTGGCGCGATCTTGGCTCACTGCAACCTCGGCTTCCTGGGTTCAAGCAATTCTCCTGCTTCAGCCTCCTGAGTAGCTGGGATTACAGACGCATGCCACCACACCCAGCTGATTTTTGTGTTTTTAGTACAGAGAGGGTTTCACCATGTTGGCCAGGCTGGTCTCAAACTCCTGACCTCAGGTGATCCACCTGCTTTGGCCTCCCGAAGTGCTGAAGTGTTGGGATTACAGGTGTGAGCCACCGCGCCTGGCCCTCTCTCTTTCTGAAACCAAGCCGGATTTCTTCTCCTCAGCCTAAGGTTCTTTCTTCAACACACACAGTTTTGGAGAAACAAAGGGGAGGAGGGAATCATCCTCCATTCTTACTGTCTTACTTCTCCTTACCTCAGTGCCCAGGAGGGTGGCTGGTGTGAAGGTGGCAGCTCCCTGAGGATTCCTGCCTTGTGAGGTCGGGAGGCAGGAGTCATGCCCTGAACGCAGAGAGCGGAATTCGCCAGAGGAAAGGGCTGGGTGCCAGATGACATTGCTGCAGGCTTCATGAGGCTCATTCTCCTCCCCTGCAGCCCAGGCCTCCCAGTGCGGGATCCACACCTGTGCCCACCACCACCAGCACAGCCTCCCCAGCCTGGCTCCTGCCCTTGCCATGTGGCCAACGCTTTCTCACACAGCAACCAGGCCGAATCCCATCTCCCTTTTGAAATTGCCCTGGAATCTTGGGCCGGGCGCGGTGGCTCACACCTGTCATCCCAGCACTTTGGGAGGCTGAGGCGGGTGGATCATGAGGCCAGGAGATTGAGACCAGCTTGGCCAACATGGTGAAACCCCGTCTGTATTAAAAATACAAAAATTAGCTGGACATGGTGGCAGGCGCCTATAATCCCAGCTACTTGGGAGGCTGAGGCAGGAGAATCGCTTGAACCTGGGAGGTGGAGGTTGCAGTGAGCCGAGCTGGTGCCATTGCACTCCAGCCTGGGTGACAACAGCAAAATGCTGTCTCAAAAAAAAAAAAAAAAATTGCCCTGAAGAAAATTGCCCTGGAGTCTTTTCTTCCCCATTCTCGATCTCCCTAAGGTTGGAAATTATCTTTTCAGGGCCTGGCATAAGGGCCTTCAGAAAACACGCGGTTGTCCGTTGATTGGAGATGTTTTAAATTTGTACAAAAGGCCAGGCGCGGTGGCTCATGCCTGTAATCCCAGCACTTTGGGAGGCCAAGGCGGGCGGATTGTCTGAGGTCAGGAGTTCGAGACCAGCCTGGCCAACATGGTGAAAACCCCTCTCTACTAAAAATACAAAAATTAGCCACGCATGGTGGCGGGTGCCTGTAATCCCACCTACTTGGGAGGCTGAGGCTCGAGAATTGCTTGAACCCGGGAGGCGGAGGTTGCAGTGAGCCAAGATCCCACCACTGCACTCCAGCCTGGGTGACAGAGCAAGACTTAGTCTCAAAAAAAAAAAAAAAAAAGTAAAAAAATTGCTCAAGTTGGGGATGTCAAGGTTCACATGGGAAATCGTGTCTATTTTTCATTTTAATTATTTGCATTGCAACATTGTAAATTTTGGGGAAAAAGTTTGACAGGTCCTTTCAAAACATTATTTACATGCAGTACCGCGTTTAGTGTTGCACAGTCTGTTGTCTCGTAGTAACCATATTTAGCACATAATGAAGTCGGATAGATTTTAATTGTTCCGTAGCAGTCATCATAAGGATATAACATTTATTGTGTGTTTACCATAAGACAAGCACTATCCTAAGCTTGAAAAAAAATCCACTCATTCAATGCCTCCCAAATCCCAGAAGGCAGCAATTGGTGTGGCATAGAAGTAGAGTTGCAGATTCTGCAAATGGTAGACTCAGTAAGTGCCCACCTAACCAGGAATGCAGTGCAGCAAAGGCTGTTGTGTGGCTTGGGACACGTCAGTTTCCTCACCCATGAAATGAGGGTGTTGGCTGAATTGCCCATCTGTGGAACTAAGCTAGGACTAAAGGGAACCATCTGCAAGAGCTTCATGTAACACAAGTGGTGTCAGTTATGCTGGTTACAAAAGGGCCCCTTTAAAAATACATGTTTGAAGTCGAATGATGAAGAATAATTAAAGTAAAACTAAAAATATATATCACTGTATTCATCCAGCAAGGCTGTTTGTTAGTATTAAGTACTGTCCTTATGTGGGCTTCTGTAATATTTAAACTGCATTTGAAGCCAGGCATTGTGGCACAGGCTTGTAGTTCCAGCTACTCAGGAGGCTGAGTTGGAAGGATCACTTGAGCCCAGGAGTCTGAGGCTACGGTGAGCTATGATCGCACCTCTGCACTCCAGCCTAGGTGACAGACAGATACCCTGTCTCTAAAAAAAAAAAAAAAAAACAGGAAGAAATAGGCCAGGCGCTGTGGCTCACACCTGTAATCCCAGCACTTTGGGAGGCCGAGGTGGGCGGATCACCTGAGGTCAGTAGTTCCAGACCAGCCTGGCCAACATGGTGAAACCCCGTCTCTACTAAAAATACAAAAATTAGCTGGGCATGGTGGTGGGCGCCTGTAATCCCAGCTACTCGGGAGGCTGAGGTGGGAGAATCTCTTGAACCCGGGAGGTGGAGGTTGCAGTGAGCTGATTGTGCCATTACACTCCAGCCTGGGCAATAGAGTGAGACTCCGCCTCAAAAAAAAATTAAGAAATAAAGAATAAAAATAAAAATAAACTGCATTGGAAACACACACAAAAAGACAGAAATAATAACTTCCCAAAGAAAAGCAACATTCGTCGCCTGACAGGCGATTTTGTTAGAGGTTGGATCTGCTGTGGGGACCTGGGAGTAAGTGGACAGAACACGGTGCTTCTCTTATCAGCAGAGAGTAGATCTTTAGCAGCAGTCACGCGGTGCTGAACACTAGCTTTTAAATTAGCTGCATTTTAAATAATATGGCTTAAAAATACACAACAATAAATCAGGAGATCATTGTAAATCACAGTCTCACATTACCAAGCTTCGTCTCTCCCTGGTGCAATGTATGATTAATCTTTCCGTTGCCAGGAAAGCGATGCTTCCTGTTGGAGAGATTGAGTGTGGATCTGAAAGTTCCCTCACCTTGGGTTCACTTGTTAGCACGGCTCCTGACCCAGCTGTCTGCTGCCTGTCTGAGGACAATGGAAACCTGCTGTCTTTCAGAGTGAAATTCTTATTGACATTCAAAGAGTAAACATCTACCAAGATACATTTGCTTATTTTGTCTTCTTCCTGGTGAGTTGGAAATACCTGGATTTTTGCCATAATAAAGGCATTTCTCAATGACAGACACTGTACCATCACTACATAGCAAGTTTTAACCCCCACACTGAGGAGTAAAATCTCCAGCATCCGCCTCTCTGGGGTTGGCTCTCAGGCAGTGGTAATTATCAGGATTTTATCCTAGAAAACAAGGCAAGTCTAACACACCGTTTCTCAATTAAGTTTCCTGAAAACCAATTTATTCTATTTGAGTAAATTATATATTTGATACTGAAATTACAGAAACATTTTACTGTTTCACTAGCGTACACTCACGGGTGCTTTGCAGAACAGCTGGTTGGGAATACTTATTGTAGAACTTTTCACAGCATTTATTGATCTGTCTGGCAAATGAATCCCTAGACAGGAACTGTCTATGGGTGACATTTTACGACCCCAGTATAGATCCAAAGCTTTTAATGTACCTTTCGCCTTTATCATAATGTCACCAAGAAAATCAGAGTGGGTAGGAATAGCCTTCTGACATCAAACGGCATGTTTAACTATGTTAAGATGGCTCTGACCTACTCAGCCTATACAGCTAAAGATTTTGGAATGGTTCTTTGCCAATCTGGTCCTATGGCCTCTAAAATTAAATAAGCAAGAGATGATCCTCCATCTTGATGATACAGGGCCATGGCTGAGTTCTCAGCAGGCCTCAAAGAGCAACTAAACCTACCGGTCAACCATTGTCAACAGAAACAGCAAAGTATTAGTTATGCCAACCAACATCAAAATAGGTATTCTTGTCAGACCAGTCCTGGCATCTAATTGATCATACAAAGCAACCCTGTTTAAGGGCTGAACTCACGATGTTGGTAATGTCAAGAAGTACTGGCCAGGCGAGGTGGCGCACGCCTGTAATCCAAGCACTTTGGGAGGCTGAGGTAGGAGGATTGCTTGAGGTCAGGTTACTTGGAAGCTACACTTAATGGGTTTATATTTTGGAGGGTACCAGATAGAAAACCAAAAAACTAGTTTGCTTCTCAAGAATTTAAAAACAGGGCTTTTGCTTTTAAAGTTATTAAACCTTCTCATGGATGTTGGAGAGCATTGTGATGGAGAGGCTGTAAACTGCACAAACTGATTGTTGTTTTGTTTTGTTTGAGATGGAGTTTTGCTCTTGTCGTCCAGGCTGGAGTGCATTGGCACGATCTCCACTCACTGCAACCTCCTTCTCCCAGGTTCAAGCGATTCTCCTGCCTCAACCTACCGAGTAGCTGGGATTACAGGCGCCTGCCATCATGCCCGGCTAATTTTTGTATTTTTAGTAGAGATGGGGTTTCACCATGTTGACCAGGCTGGTCTCAAACTCCTCACCTCAGGTGATCTTCCTGCCTTGGCCTTCCAAAGGGCTAGGATTACAGGCATGAGCCACTGCACCCAGCCCGTTTTCTTGTTTTGGAGTACAATTGTTCTGACAGTGGCTGTGGTTCCGCATATCTGTACACGTGTTAGAGTTCATAGAACTGTCATCTAAAAAAGTCATTTTTAACTGTATGATGTTTTACAGATAACACTTTAAAAATGCATTTAGGCTGGGTGCGGTGGCTCACACCTGTAATCCCAGCACTTCCCACTGGGAGAAGGGGAGGAAGACGGCCCTGTCCCTGCAGGATCGTGGTCCAGGAATCGGAATGAGCTCCCGGGTCTCTACTGGCTGGTTCTGTTCATGCCCCTGGGGATTAATTAAGCATCCAAGTTGAGATGTCAGATAAACAGTGGAATACAGTGTGTATTTCAGGGGCTTGGCTTGGTCTGGAGATGAAGTCATCAGCAGGTAGATGACGTTTAAAACCCTGAGCAGGAATAAGCTCCCTGTAAGAGGGAGGGCAGACAGAAAACCCGCCCGGGGGAGCCTTGAGGCACTGGGAGCTTTGAGATCAGAGGATGAGGAGGAACCAGGGGTGAGGAGGAACCGTGGTTGGGGAATGCCCAGAAACCATCCTCAGGCTGTTCAGCTTTGCAGAATTTCCTCTCTTCGAGCAGCAGCAGTCACACCGATAGCTGCTATTTGTTGAGCCTTCTCCGTGTGCCAGGCAGGGGTGAGAGCTCTCGATGATGTTCTCATTTGCTCCTCCCAACCATGGTCTGCGATGGATGTCACTGTGCCCCCTGCACAGGTGAGACAGCCAACTCTTTGCCCACATTCTGGAGGAGAGCAGTGGGGTCTGAACTCTGATCTTTTTCTTCTCTTGCCCAAATTCCTATCTAAGGGGCCTGGGGAGTCCATACTATAAACCGTAGTCTTACTGGAAGGGTTTTATTTAATCCTATATAATGTGGTTCACTTTCCACCTGACTCTGGCATAACCTCACATGACAGATAAGGAAGGAAATAAAAATATTTTAACCCAAATATGCTTCCTTGCCAGATCTTGAAATAGCCCTGCAAAGTTGTCTCTTGTGGGGAAAATCCATTCTGTAGAGAACCCCTTTCTGTTTTCCAGACCTTTTTCCTGATCCAGGAGACAATCAACAAACAGTCTGACACGTTTTTATGTCCAATATGAAACATTTACAATCTATTCTCCCTCTGAAGCCTGCTACCTGCGAAGTAAGAACCTTGGTCTCCACAATTCCGTATCTTTTTTTTTTTTTTTTTGAGACGGAGTCTGGCTCTGTCGCCTGGGCTGGAGTGCAGCGGCGCGATCTCGACTCACTGCAACCTCTGCCTCCCAGGTTTAAGCGATTCTCCTGCCTCAGCCTCCCGAGTAGCTGGGACTACAGGTGTGTGCCACCACGCCCGGCTAGTTTTTTGTATTTTTAGTGGAGACAGGGTTTCACCGTGTTAGCCAGGATGGTCTTGATCTCCTGACCTTGTGATCCGCCTGCCTCGACCTCCCAAAGTGCTGGGATTACAGGTGTGAGCCACTGCACCCCTGGCACACAATTGCATGTCTTAATCCAGATATTCCTTTCTATTGATTCCAGGTCTTTAGATAATAACTCAACCAACTGCCCATCAGAAAATCTTTGAATCCACCTATGACCTGGAAGCCCCTGCCCCTTCCAATTGTCCCACCTTTCCAAACCGAACCAACGTACATCTTACATGTATTGGCTGATGTCTTATGTCTCCCTAAAATGTACAAAGCCAAGCTGTAGCCCAACCACCTTGGACATATGTTCTCAGGGTCTCCGGAGGGCTGTGGCCTGGGTCATGGTGTTAGTGGCAGCGAGCCTGCATGGGTCTGCAGCAACCTCAATTCTTTCCTCCTCAGAAGAAAGAATTCAGCTGAGGGGCACAAAGCAGACTGAGAGATTTAGGCACATTTTAGAGCAGGTCTGAAAGTTTGTTGAAACATTTAGAGCAGGAACACAAGGAAGGAAAGTATACTTGGAAGACGGCCAAGTGGGCGACTCGAGAGATCAAGTCCACGGCCTTTGACTTAGGGCCAGGGGTCTTACATCCCTTCTGCTCTGATTCTTCCTGTGGGGTGGGCTGTCCACATGCACAGTGGCCTGCCAGCACTTGGTAGGGGCTGCGTGCATAGTGTGTTTACTGGAGTTGTACACATGCTCCCTTGAGGCATTCTTCCCTTACCAGCCCAGTGTTCCCAGAGGAAGGTCATCCTCCAGCCCGGTGTTCCTAGAGGAAGGTCATCCTCCAGCCCGGCGTTCCTAGAGGAACGTCATCCTCCAGGTTTGCCTCTTAGTGCACATACTTGAGCCACTTGCCCAGCTCCTGAGATCTTATCAGGAAGCAGCTGATCACCAGTTGCAGGTGTTTCTGTCTATTGTGGGGGCTGCTTTTCCTTGGTGCCAGCTGCAACTAATTATTTTAGAGAGACAGTTGACAGCCACATGACCATCACCTGATGGTCACCTGACACTCCTGGCTGGAGGGGGGCCCTCTCCTGTCTGCTCATGTCTGACTTGCTACCAACTGTAAGAATTGGTCACTCATATTTGGCTCACAGGAAATCTCTTCAAATATTTTAGAGTTTGACTCTCTTCATTGACAGTAGTCGGGGTGGAGGACGCCTCCAGGCACAGATCAGG
The DNA here is from genome assembly GCF_000001405.40 of Homo sapiens. Taxonomy (NCBI): domain Eukaryota; kingdom Metazoa; phylum Chordata; class Mammalia; order Primates; family Hominidae; genus Homo; species Homo sapiens. Next base: position 156,927,932 of record NC_000007.14, on the reverse strand, counting down.
CATGGACAGGCCCGCGGCACCACGCTCCCAGGATTGGGGCCGCCTAGGCGACAAGAGCGAGACTCCATCTCAGAAAAAAAAAAAAAAAAGAAAGTCCATAAACACATGTTTTACAAGCCAGTTACACTTTTATGAGAGTCCGTGATTGCCTTTATAATGACTCAAAGCTGGGGGCATGGAGAAGCTGTGCTCTGTGTTTCCCCGGAGCTGTGGATGGGTTTTGCTTTGGGGTGATCGGGACGGCAGTCAGCCATTTCTCTGGGGACCCCTTCATGCCAGAATGCTGAGCAAATGAGAACTGATGACATGTACTCACCATTGTTTTTCCTGTAACCATATATATCCGTTTTTGTCTGTTCTGTTTTGCAACATGTAGATCTGCCTCATTCCTATGAAAGTTGTAAAATCTTCCATTACATGGTTGCATGAGATGTGTTTTTGACCAGCTTGTCTTTAATAGCAATGAGTAGCAACTCACGAGCTGGGCACTTGAATTCCTCTCTCTTGCTGGCTAGCCTCTTCTTCAGTTGGGTATCAATATTAAGCTTATCCCAGAGGTCAGCGTTTCAGATGGTGACTATCTCTGAGCCCTATGATATAAACCTGTCATGAGGAATTGTCATTTGGTTTACTGCAAGGCCTTTGTGAGCCATAGGTTAATATATTAATGAAGACTGTGGCTGTTAGCCTACATTAAATAATGACGGCCAATGATTGGAAGAAAAACATCCTTATGTTCCCCTGCAGAGTGTGAGATTGATGAGAATGGATTACCCTGCCAAGGGAACTCAAAAATATTACAACCTTTTATTCCTCTGTGGCTTGGACGAGTGTGTATTCATTTCTACGCTATTACAAAAAAAGCTCTTACAACGATTCTGAGCTAAAGACACATTAAATCACCACTTTAATTATATCGAAACAGGACTCTGAGATTCTATCACTAATCTAGTTTAATCTTGGCAACTCAAGCTCATCTAATATTTTATTTCTATTCAGGTCATATTAGTCAATTGGGCATTAGCAGCAGTACTTATTTATCTTATCAGTTTATTTTTGGTAAAGTAGTAAATTATGATAGAATTACAATAATTCCTCAGCTTATATTACATCTCACAATCACATACAAGCTTGGCATTTTAAAATGTGGTCTTGGTTCAATATTAACACTTTCATGGTTGTCTCTTCCACTTTTCCAGAAGATTTAAGTGGCTTGGAATATTCTGGATGTGATTTTTCTCTCTGAAATGCTGCTGTTTCGCGTTTTATTTGTGGCATTACCTCTATGTGCAAACAGATACAGAGCGAGCCATATACAGTAGGCCAATGAGCTTGAAAGCCAGGAAGAAAAGGTAGTGGGGGTGGGGTTGGAGGAGTTGGACCCCCAACTACTGACAGGTTTCACCAGGATGGTCTGAGGGAGGCCAGCGGGGCCCAGAGGCTGTGGAGACCCAAGGTGCTTTGCTAATGTCCCCAGAATAGAGTTTCTATTTCAGCAGAAGACCTAACACAAGTGAGTTCAGGGACAGATGCACAATAACCAGGTTCATGGAAGCAGTGATGAGCACACAATGTTGGTTTATTCGACACACAGTGGAATGGTCAGAGGGACAAGGCGGTTGGGTCTCATCCAAGACCAGCCCCTGTGTTGCTGTATGCAGGTCTCTTTATTTTGTTGATTTTTTTTTTTTTTAAGAGTCAGGGTCTCCTCTGTTGCCCAGGCTGGTGTGCAGTGGTGTGATCATAGCTCTCTGCAGCCTTGAACTCCTGGGCTCAAGCAGTCCTCCCTCATCAGCCTCTTGAGTGAGTGGGACCACAGGCACATGCCACCACGCCTGGCTTGTGTGCAGGTCTCTGTGGGAAGCTTGCCCACGAGGCCTTGCCAGGGGCCCCATGGTGCCTGCGTCCACCACAGGCCTTGCCAGGGGCCCCACGGTGCCTGCGTCCACCACAGGCCTTGCCAGGGGCCCCACGGTGCCTGCGTCCACCACAGGCCTTGCCAGGGGCCCCACGGTGCCTGCGTCCACCACCTGCAGCCTCTGGCTCTCCTGTCCCCCACAGGATGAACCATGAGGGCGGGCTCTAAGGAAGACCCGGAGTCCACGAGTGAGCCTGCAGCATGTGCGCAGCGCCTGGGCAGCATTTTCTCTAAGCTTTTATTGACTATAAACCCCTTTTGGGTTCACAATGCATTGATTATTTAGATATAGTAACATATTCAATTAGTTTATAGTTACCTGTTCCAGAGGATTCCTTCATCTCCTCCACCTGGCCTGGGTAATGCAAACCAGAAGGACTCATGAGCAGACATAGACTCACTGCACAGCCAGAGACCACCCCCGCACTCCCAAACCCCTTAGACTCATGGAGGAAGGAAGGTGCTTGCCGAGACCTCTGTGGTCTGTCCTGGGTCTCAGCCCTTCCCACCAGTCAGAGCAGGTTGAATTTTCTCCTGCAAATGCCAGAACAACTTGAGTCCTTTGGATATCTCTTTCCCAATCGGTCAGTATTGATTTTACAGTTTAACTCTGAGAGGGAAATCTTATTTCCTGAATTTCCAAATTCTTAGTGAACGTTCCTACCTCTAACAAGTATCCTTTGTCCACTTTTTAATAAAAATGTTTTTCTTTGCTATGGGTAAGGTTGTTACGAATAAAACTCTAGGTTTAAAACTTGTGCGACCTCAGGCCCCATGGTTATGGTGAATTACAGCAGACACCTTCTATAGCTGGAAAACAACTGATAGACTCATTTTCTTTTTTTTTTCTTTTTTTTTTTTTTTTTTTTGAGATAGAGTCTCGCTCTGTCACCCAGGCTGGAGCACAGTGGCGCGATCTCGGCTCACTGCAAGCTCTGCCTCCCGGGTTCACGCCATTCTCCTGTCTCAGCCTCCTGAGTAGCTGGGACTTCAGGTGCCCAACACCTCACCCGGCTAATTTTTTGTATTTTTAGTAGAGATGGGGTTTCACCGTGTTAGCCAGGATGGTCTGGATCTCCTGACCTCGTGATCCGCCCGCCTCAGCCTCCCAAAGTGCTGGGATTACAGGCGTGAGCCACCGTGCCCGGCCAACTCATTTTATTGCTTAACTTTTTATTATGAAAATGTTACAACATACAAAAGTAGAGAGAATCATGTAATTAGCCCCCACATACCCACCACTCAGCTTAACCAATGTTCAATCCATCCAGCTTCATCCGCACCCCACCCATCCCTCCATCTTTCCCTTTCCTGTTGGATTATTTTGGAGTGAAATCTCTGACACAGAATTTTTTCCCAGAAATAGTTCAGTATGCTACAGATATATGTTGTCGTGACTTTTTTTTTATTGTGGTAATGTACATAATATGAAATTTACCATTTTAACCATTTCAAGTGTATAGTTCAGTGACATCAAATCCATTCTTACTGCTGAGCAATCATCACCACCATTGGTCTCTAGAGCTGTTTTCATCCTGACAACCAAAATGAGCGACTGAGGCATAAGTCTCAGATCATCGGGGTTACTGAGCCAGCTGAGGGCACTCCCAGGAAGAATACCCACCACAGACACATCTGTGGCTGTTTCTTCCAAAGAGGTTCTCAGGAGTATTTCTATAGTTTCCTTAAAAGGTGGGGGGTGGCAATGAGACAAATGATTATATACTTGGGAGACTGTAGTTAGTGCCAAGTAAATCTACATTTCACGCAACATAAGGCAAACATTTGAAGAAAAGGAAGGGCCCAGGGAGGGGTGAAGGAACAATTGATCTCATCTTGTCTTTGTTCTGTACCTGGGCAGATCAGTAATCAACCCACGAAGTTGGGGAGGAGCCTTTTGAAAGGATCCGTTTCTTTCAGCCCTTAGTGAAGAGAGCCTAAGGCCGGGAAGTGAGGGAGAGGGACCAATTCCCAACCCGTCATGGCGTCCAAGTCTTCTCCCCTTCGCCAACACAAGGTCTGTTCAGTCAGCTGGGGGCTTTTTTTTTTTTTTTTTTTTGAGTCGGAGTCTCGCTCTGTCACCCAGCCTGGAGTGCAGTGGCACGATCTCAGCTCACTGCAACCTCTACCTCCTGGGTTCAAGCAATTCTCCTGCCTCAGACTCCCAAGTAGCTGGGATTATAGGTGCCTGCCACAACGCCCAGCTAATTTTTGTATTTTTAGTAGAGACGGGGTTTCACCATGTTGGTCAGGCTGGTCTTGAACTCCTGACCTTGGGTGATCCACCCGCCTTGGCCTCCCAAAGTGCTGGGATTACAGGTGTGAGCCACCGTGCCCGGCCCTATTTTTGTTTCTCAATCTTCTCCATTGAAATTGTCCCCATGTGTAGAGCGCCTTGACATAAGTGACTCCATCTTAGAAAAAGACTCCATCTTACATTTCAAAAGGCACTTTGCCAACAGGGACCAGATATTGTGCCTGATCGATAAAGTCTGCATCCAACCAGATAAGGATGTAACCAAGCACACTCTTCCACTAGCATCCTTGCCAGTGGGCTCCGTGGCCATGAACGAGCGTGACGTAACCAGCTAGACACAGCCATCTCGACAGACCCGGTCTTGCTGTCACTCATGATCACCTGGCGTCGGCCCCAAAGGCTCTGCCACATTAAAGACTTCCGTGCAAGACCACAGCTGCCTGACGCAGACCAGACCAGGCTCTGCCACATTAAAGACTTCCGTGCAAGACCACAGCTGCCTGACGCAGACCAGACCAGGAGATTCTTTCTGTCTTCATTACTGTTTCTGGGCTGGTTTGTGAACCTCCACATTTTTTTTTTTTTTTTTTTTTTTGAGATGGAGTCTCGTTCTGTTGCCCAGGCTGAAATGCAGTGGTGTGATCTTGGCTCACAGCAACCTCTGCCTCCCGGGTTCAAGTGATTCTCTGCCTCAGCCTCCCGAGTAGCTGGGATTACAGGCACCCACCACTATGCCTGGCTAATTTTTGTATTTTTAGTAAAGACGGGGTTTCACCATGTTGGCCAGGCTGGTCTCGAACTCCTGACCTCAGGTGATCCACCTGCCCCGGCCTCCCAAAGTGCTGGGATTACAGGTGTGAGCCACCACGCCTGGCCTGTTAACCCTTTCTTCTATCTCCTTTCTCCTGCTGTTAAATGTTACTTTGTCATGGAATGTTCATCTAGAGCATTTATGCGTTGATTAAGCACACTGCCATTTGGAGGGCTGCTGCTCTGGTCTCCATTTCTGGTTAGTGACCCTGGCCTGTTTTTCTAGTCTCCCACTTTCTGCAGTATCTTCACTTCTTGGTGCCAATTTAGCAGAATCCATTCATTCTTTAGATGGCAGCACATGGTTAAAGAGCAGACAACAGAGGCGGCACTCGAATGTGGATGTGTGCCTGCCCCTTAGAATAGTGGCTTATTAGATAACATCTGAAAAGTCATGGCCGGGCACGGTGGCTCATGCCTGTAATCCCAGCACTTCAGGAGGCCAAGGCAGGCGGATCACCTGAGGTCAGGAGTTCAAGACCAGCCTGGCCAACATGGCGCAATCCTGTCTCTACTAAATATAGAAAATTAGCCAGGCATGGTGGCAGGCACCTGCAATTCCAGCTACTCAGGAAGCTGAGGCAGGAGAATTGCTTGAACCCAGGAGGGAGAGGTTGCAGTGAGCTGAGATCATGCCATTGTACTTCAGTCTGGACAACAGAGTGAGACTCCATCTCAAAAAAAAAAAGAAAGAAAAAAAAAGAAAGAAAAAGAAAAGAAAAGAAAAAGAAAAAAAAAAGAAGGAAAAGTCACAACTGCTAACACAGGTAGTGTCGTTTATCCATGGTGCCATCTTTGTAATCACCTCATCCTATGTAAAATGTAGACTTACTGAGCACTGACAACAGTCTTGCAAGGGGATGAAATGTGTGCACTTGCAGGTTTACCGAATGTGAAATCAGAGGAAGAAGCAGCAGAGGAGTTTTTCAGAACACGCGTTTAAGTACCCACACATTGTAAGCACGGTTCCACCAGGCGTCAGGTCTTTATAATAGCACAAATAATAGCACAAATGACGCAAATTTCAATATGCGTGCTTTTCCAAAATGTAGTATTAGCTTGCCATGCTATAGCTCAGCGTTGGTTTCTTTTGGTAGCCACTCAGTGAGTCCTGCGTGCCGTGGCCTTTTCCTACTTCAAGCGAGGTGCGGAACTTATAGCATGGAGCTTCCTTTACCCTCCCCGCTCATAAATATCACTGTCCTGAGTCTCAGATGGTGCTAACGTTTTTGTTTCAATCAAGTGTGATTTGGAAAACTCATGAGGAAGAGGAAGGTCTCTGGATCCTATTTTTTAAGTCTTTCCTTTTTGCAGCCAGTCGCTCTGCTTAGGTTTAGTGTGAGGATTGTGGCCCGCTTCTGCAGGCCATGCTTCCAGTGACAATTTGATGTTCAGAGCCTTCATGGTGCTATCTTGGGTCTGCTTGGTTTGTCTGGTGCTGCTGGAGCTCCCACGGGTACCTGCTGGTGCCACCCAAGGGGCACAAGGGGCTTTCCCAGGCCAGGCCACCCAGTGCTCCCAGTGGGCCGGGCCTCGAGTGCTGGTTGTGTGGGGCTTCCCTTTCCCGTCACTCTGGTTCCTCTCACTGGGGGAGGGTGGTGTGGTCCTGTGGGCAAAGGATTACCTAGGTGCCGAGGCGAGAGACTGAAGGCACAAACTGTTTCAGTATAATAAAGAAAATAGAATAAGAATAGTTATAACACAAATTAGATATAGAGATGATCATGAACATTATCAATCATTAGTATAAACATTATTAATCATTAGCTTTTACTATTACTCTTTGTTGTATTACTAATACAACCAATAAATAACCGGCGGGTGGGTATATGGTCAGGTGCTGAAGGGATATTGTGAGAAGTGACCTAGAAGGCAAGAGGTGAGCCCTCCGTCACGCCCGCATAAGGACCGCTTGAGGGCTCCTTGGTCAAGCGGTAACGCCAGTGTCTGAGAAGGCACCCGTTACTTAGCAGACCATGAAAGGGAGTCTCCCTTTACTTGGAGGAGTCAAAGAACACTCTGCTCCACCAGCTTCTTGTGGGAGGTTAGATACTATCCAGGCCTGCCCGCAGTCATCTGGAGGCCTAAACCCCTCCCTGTGGTGCTTCAATGGTCATGTTCCTTGTCCACTTTCATGTTCCTCCCATACTCCTGGTTCCTCTTTGAAGTTCGTAGTAGATAGCAGTAGAAGAAATAGTGAAAGTCTTAAAAAGTCTGATCTTTCTTGTAAGTGCATAGAAGAAAACGCTGACGTATGCTGCCTTCCCTCTCTGCTTCGGCTACCTAAAAGGGAAAGGGCTCCCTGTCCCATGATCACGTGACTTGCCTGGCCTTATCAATCACTTGGACGACTCACCCTCCTTACCCTGCCCCCTTGTCTTGCATGCAATAAATATCAGCGCGCCCAGCCATTCGGGGCCACTACCGGTCTCCGCATCTTGGTGGTAGTGGTTCCCCGGGCCCAGCTGTTTTCTCTTTATCTCTGTCTTGTGTCTTTATTTCTTACAATCTCTCATCTCTGCACACGGGGAGAACACTCACTAAGCCCTGTAGGGCTGGACCCTATAGGTCCCCTGGCCCTGGTGTCAGCGAGCTCCCTGGCAATCCCCTCGCCAGTGCTGCCAGGCTTGACTGGTGCTCTTGGCAGAACTCCTGTCTGATCTGAGGGAGGAGTGAGCCTACCTGGGCCACCTTCTGTTCAAGGTTGTGGGTGAGAAGACACCTGGCCCGGGTCACTTGGGCTGTGGGTGGGGAGTTGTAAGGCATCCTGCTACTGGGGTGCTCCTCCAGTCTGGGGTCCCTTACACGTCTGCCTTCCTCTTTCCACTTTTCAGAGTTCCCCTTTGTCTTTCCTGACTGCCTCATCTGCACTTGATTGCACCATCCGATTTCAATTATCTCCATAGCATTGATCAATTACCTGATATTTTAATACTTAACCAATTGTATTTGTCTCTCCTCCTAAAGTATATGCATAAGATAGCTGAGACCTGTAAGAACTGTTCTTGAATCAGGGCTTATGTGTAAGCTTTATTTGCGTCAGTATTCTCAGCTCCTAGAGTAGGGGTGGGCGCAGGGCAGGCCAATCCTGGTGAGGGTGAGCCAAGTGAGTGCGTGAAAACCAAAGGAAAAAACAAGAGTGAATGCAGATGTCTTCACCCCCAAACAACATGTTGAGTCACCCTAATTAGTACACAAAGAGAGAACAATTTACTGGGACAGGCCAGGCGAGTGTGACTGTCTGCCCACGGTACAAACTTGCTTCTCCTCTCATGCCTGAGTACGGGTAGGCATTCATTCACCGATGGAGGAATGTGCCTTTTGACTCTGCAAACACAATGAGGAGAGTGTGAGGGGTCCGGCGCACCTCTGGGGTTTATGCGCTGCCTCTGCCTGAAGCACGGAAGCAGGTGAGCGTGGGCCTGTCGGTGGTCCAAGGCCACAGGACACTGATGGCTGCCGTCGCCCAGCCTGCCCGCGCTGCGCAGAACCAATTCCTGTCTCTGCCCCTTGGCGAGTGACCAGGTTGCCCAGCAGTGTGAATGTGTGAGAGCTGCTAATCTCACCCCGTTTTCTCACTCTCTTTTTGGGAAGAAGAAAACCAAGCTGAATAAACAACTGTCGGCAAACAAGCACCCTGGACCTCCTTTGGCGTGTCCTTGAACAATACTGAATGCCTTTATTAGTCTGTGCGGTTAACACCAGCCTATTTATTTTTGCTAATGAGACAGAAGTGGAAGATTGGGGTTTTTACAACATTAGACATTATGCCAACCAATTTAATTATTGACAGGGATCAAGGATATTCACCCCACATCAAGTCCACTACTTATTATTGTAACATGCCTAAGAGGAATTAACCACATTTGAACTTAATTAGAACATTCATGATTTCAGAATAAAGCCTATCCCTGCTAATTCTCGAATTAATCTGATTTGTACTGGCTAGGATTTCTAATGCTTCTGAAACAAATCTTTCAGAAGTAGAATGGTGCATGGTTTCTTTTCTAACTACAGGAATGCAGTCAGTGACTTCAGAAATGATTCCTCAGTTAATGCCACATGTTTATTTGCATGCTTTTCCTGGTAACTATTATTCATATTTCAGATTAAAGTCTACCCTTAGACTCATATCAGGAGCTAGGCTATGCAGACATCACTATTAGAATTAAATGTACTACCTGAGGGGAGAAGTAAGAGCATCTGCTCCTTCAATGTTTGGATGAATAAAGGCTGATGATGCCAGGGCTGGTTACTAAGATTTGTTGTATTAAATAGAATCACTTTTCCTTGAGGTCTGTAAGCACTCACACACACACACACAAACTCACACTCACACACACACTCACACACTTACCTGAAAGCAGGAGGCTAAGTTTTGAAGTTTCAAACTTTAACTTGTAAAACAGCCAAATGAAAAATTAAAACCCGGCCAAGCGTGGTGGCTCACGCCTGTAATCCCATCACTTTGGGAGGCCGAGGCAGGTGGATCACTTGAGGTCAGGAGTTCGAGACCAGCCTGGCCAATCTGGTAAAACCCCATCTCTACTAAAAATACACAAATTAGCTGGGCATGGTGGCAGGCACCTGTAATCCCAGCTATCACTTGAACCTGGGAGGTGGAGGCTGCAGTGAGCCAAGATCACGCCATTGCACTCCAGCCTGGTCAACAGAGTGAGATGCCGTCTCAAAACAAAAACAAAAACAACAACAAAAAAAACAACCCACCCCCTACATTTTAATGATTAGGATAGAAAGTGAGAGAAGGGTAATTATCCAGTGAATTTAGACACTGTAAACAAAATGTATCATTTAACCTGAATACTTACTCCATCCTTAATTATCTACAGTATAATTCTGACAAAATTGCTATTTGCCTGTATTGCAACTATAGCTTTGTGGTCTTAGGCAATACAATATAAATAATATAACAATGTAACAGGGCTGGGCCCCGTGGCTCATGCCTGTAATCTCAGCACTTTGGGAGGCTGAGGCAGGTGGATCATTTGAGGTCAGGATTTCGAGACCAGCCTGACCAACATGGTGAAACTCTGTCTCTACTGAATAAAAAAAAAATTAGCCGGGCATGGTGGTGCATGCCTGTAATCCCAGCTACTTGGGAGGCTGAGGTAGGAGAATCGCTCAAACCCGGGATGTGGAGGTTGCAGTGAGCCAAGATTGTGCCACTGCACTTCAGCCTGGGCAACGGAGCGAAACTCCATCTCAAAAAAAAAAAAACAAAAAAAAACCCCAAAAAAACAAAACAACAACAACAAAAAAAAAACCAAAACAATGTAACATAACACACTAATATAACACAACATAAAGTCATACAATTCAACATAACATTATAATGTAATATAATGTAATATCTTTAACTGGATCTCTGCTACCTACTCAGATCCTTTCCAAATCTTCCCTAACAGACTGAAGTCAAGCAGTGGCCAAGAGGTACATTGACATCGAGGTGCTCAGCATGATTATAGATTATGCCAAATTCTGAGGTCACAGTTGATGCCATTAACATAGTCTTTACATTGAAAAAACAACACGAAAAACCTTTGACAGATAATAGAGCCATACAATTTTAATAATGTGAATAGTAAACATTAGAGGCAGGCCAAAAAAATGATAACAAATATACTTTTTTCAAATCAGCAGTTTTCACAGTGCCTGCAATAAACATTTATCAAGACAGCCATGTAATAATAATAATAATAACAATAAAACTTCCCTCTATTTAGAATACCAAAACATGTTCTAGGAGCATTCTGAATTCATAAATTGTGGGATGAATGTTTTTCCACATGCTGGCCTGATATAATTCACACAGATATTACTTCTCGCCCTCAGAGCAATCCTTGGCGGTGTGCATTATAGGAATGTCAGGCTGGATTTATATGAAAGAGGATTTCTGTAGGTGGCATTATTGATGGCAAATGGAAGATTCACCAGACATTGGAAATTGGAAGTACTTCTGAAAAACCCCCTTTTCACTTGAAAGGGCTATAAATCTATAAATAATCTTGAATTCACAAGCAAGCCTTTTATGCAATAAGTTGATTGCAAATACATTACTGAAGAGATATATAATTACCTTAAAATCTACCACAGTCGGAAATGTATAGGAGCTCCTAAATTATAATTTAATTTTATAATAGTAAAAGACATAAGTAACATTTTTAGCATTAATTTTTTTGAGTTTTACCTTTTATCTTCATGTATATAAAGACAAAGCAAGACTGTCTATACATTAATATTCCAGACTGTCCCAGGAAGCTCCCAGACTTCCTAGTTATATAAAAAGCTGATTTTGATGAACAAGAGAAAGGGAAGTTTTATCAACCATTTCAGTCTAGGAACCAGCAATCACAGAACTCCCCAGCATTGCAGAGATCATTTCTACGATCGAACAATCATCTCCCTTAAACAAGACCTTCTGGGGCTCAAGGGGACAACCGGGAGCCAGAATGTGTGGACAGGTGCTTTCTAGCTGCATATTAGAGTTTTAATTTGGCTAACTCAAAGGGGTACTGGATATTTATCTCTAAATGTCTCTGTTTCTACATCTATATCTCATCTATCTATAACTATGCATCTATATCCATAACCACAGCAATAAACTTATATCTATAATATCTATATCCATATCTATAATTGATTTTTTTTTGTAGAGATGAGGTCTTACTCTGTTGCCCAGGCTGGTCTTGAACTCCTGGCCTCCCATCTCAGTCTCCCAAAGTGCTGGGATTACAGCCATGAGCCACTACACTCTGCCCCATATCTATAATTATAATTATGTGTTTACATCTATCTCTATCTCTATCTCTATCTATCTCTATCTCTATCTCTAACTGCATCCCTATCTGTATCTGTATCTGTAACTTTCTCTCTCTCTCTCTGTACTGGAGTGGCTACGCAGAGTAGAAAAGAGACCTCTGAGCAGAAAGCAGAGATCTGAAGTTTAGAGCTGGCTCTGCCATTTATTGGCTGTGAAACCTTGGGTATGTTGTTTAACCTTACTGTATTTCAGTTTCCTCCTCTGTTAGAAATGATAATCCTTGCTTATCTTGTTGAGTTATTGTGAATTTAAATAGTGGACAACATGTACTTTGTGGGTTATAGAATACCACATAAAAGTAAAACAAGATTAGTGATAAATTTTTTAGGTCCAATTTGGGAGGTGATAATAAACTGGGGTAAATTCTCATTTTAAGGCTCATCCCCCAGAGAAGGACTGCACTTTGTTATGCTTTGTTCACCTCGAGAGACCCTGTGAAGCATTGAGGAGGGCCCAGGAGCCTCAGTTTTCTCACTTGTAATACTGTCATCGATGACATTGAACAACATAGTCTTGAGATCCTTTCAAGTCTAAATAAGCCCAGGGTTAAAGAAAAATTAATGGGGGGGAGGAGCCAAGATGGCCGAATAGGAACAGCTCCGGTCTACAGCTCCCGGCGTGAGTGACGCAGAAGACGGGTGATTTCCGCATTTCCATCTGAGGTACCGGGTTCCTCTTACTAGGGAGTGCCAGACAGTGGGTGCAGGACAGTGGGTGCACCGCATTGTGCGCGAGCTGAAGCAGGGCGAGGCACTGCCTCACTCAGGATGCGCAAGGGGTCAGGGAATTCCCTTTCCTAGTCAAAGAAAGGGATGACAGACGGCACCTGGAAAATCGGGTCACTCCCACCCTAATACTGTGCTTTTCTGACAGGCTTAGGAAATGGCGCATCAGGAGATTATATCCCGCACCTGGCTCGGAGGGTCCTACGCCCACGGAGTCTCGCTGATTGCTGGCACAGCAGCCTGAGATCAAACTGCAAGGTGGCAGCAAGGCTGGGGGAGGGGCGCCCGCCATTGCCCAGGCTTGCTTAGGTAAACAAAGCAGCCGGGAAGGTCGAACTGGGTGGAGCCCACCACAGCTCAAGGAAGCCTGCCTGCCTCTGTAGGCTCCATCTCTGGGGGCAGGGCACAGACAAACAAAAAGACAGCAGTAACCTCTGCAGACTTAAATGTCCCTGTCTGACAGCTTTGAAGAGAGCAGTGGTTCTCCTAGCACGCAGCTGGAGATCTGAGAACGGGCAGACTGCCTCCTCAAGTGGGTCCCTGATCCCTGACCCCCGAGCAGCCTAACTGGGAGGCACCCCCCAGTAGGGGCAGACTGATACCTCACACGGCCGGGTACTCCTCTGAGACAAAACTTCCAGAGGAACGATCAGACAGCAGCATTCGCGGTTCACGAAAATCCGCTGTTCTGCAGACACCGCTGCTGATACCCAGGCAAACAGGGTCTGGAGTGGACCTCTAGCAAACTCCAACAGACCTGCAGCTGAGGGTCCTGTCTGTTAGAAGGAAAACTAACAAACAGAAAGGACATCCACACCAAAAACCCATCTGTACATCACCATCATCAAAGACCAAAAGTAGATAAAACCACAAAGATGGGGAAAAAACAGAGCAGAAAAACTGGAAACTCTAAAAAGCAGAGTGCCTCTCCTCCTCCAGAGGAACGTAGTTCCTCACCAGCAACAGAACAAAGCTGGACGGAGAATGACTTTGACGAGTTGAGAGAAGAAGGCTTCAGACGATCAAACTACTCTGAGCTACAGGAGGAAATTCAAACCAAAGGCAAAGAAGTTGAAAACTTTGAAAAAAATTTAGACGAATGTATAACTAGAATAACCAATACAGCGAAGTGCTTAAAGGAGCTGATGGAGCTGAAAGCCAAGGCTCGAGAACTACGTGAAGAATGCAGAAGTCTCAGGAGCCAATGTGATCAACTGGAAGAAAGGGTTTCAGTGATGGAAGATGAAATGAATGAAATGAAGTGAGAAGGGAAGTTTAGAGAAAAAAGAATAAAAAGAAATGAACAAAGCCTCCAAGAAATATGGGACTATGTGAAAAGACCAAATCTATGTCTGATTGGTGTACCTGAAAGTGACGGGGAGAATGGAACCAAGTTGGAAAACACTCTGCAGGGTATTATCCAGGAGAACTTCCCTAATCTAGCAAGGCAGGCCAACATTCAGATTCAGGAAGTACAGAGAACACCACAAAGATACTCCTTGAGAAGAGCAACTCCAAGACACATAATTGTCAGATTCACCAAAGTTGAAATGAAGGAAAAAATGTTAAGGGCAGCCAGAGAGAAAGGTCGGCTTACCCACAAAGGGAAGCCCATCAGACTAACAGCTGATCTCTCGGCAGAAACTCTACAAGCCAGAAGAGAGGGGGGCCAATATTCAACATTCTTAAAAAAAAGAATTTTCAACCCAGAATTTCATATCCAGCCAAACTAAGCTTCATAAGTGAAGGAGAAATAAAATACTGTACAGACAAGCAAATGCTGAGAGATTTTGTCACCACCAGGCCTGCCCTACAAGAGCTCCTGAAGGAAGCACTAAACATGGAAACGAACAACCGGTACCAGCCGCTGCAAAATCATGCCAAAATGTAAAGACCATCGAGACTAGGAAGAAACTGCATCAACTAATGAGCAAAATAACCAGCTAACATCATAATGACAGGATCAAATTCACACATAACAATATTAACTTTAAATGTAAATGGACTAAATGCTCCAATTAAAAGACAGACTGGCAAATTGGATAAAGAGTCAAGACCCATCAGTGTGCTGTATTCAGGAAACCCATCTCACCTGCAGAGACACACATAGGCTCAAAATAAAAGGATGGAGGAAGATCTACCAAGCAAATGGAAAACAAAAAAAGGCAGGGGTTGCAATCCTAGTCTCGGATAAAACAGACTTTAAACCAACAAAGATCAAAAGAGACAAAGAAGGCCATTACATAATGGTAAAGGGATCAATTCAACAAGAAGAGCTAACTATCCTAAATATATATGCACCCAATACAGGAGCACCCAGATTCATAAAGCAAGTGCTGAGTGACCTACAAAGAGACTTAGACTCCCACACAATAATAATGGGAGACTTTAACACCCCACTGTCAACATTAGACAGATCAACGAGACAGAATGTTAACAAGGATACCCAGGAATTGAACTCAGCTCTGCACCAAGTGGACCTAATAGACATCTACAGAACTCTCCACCCCAAATCAACGGAATATACATTCTTTTCTGCACCACACCACACCTATTCCAAAATTGACCACATAGTTGGAAGTAAAGCTCTCCTCAGCAAATGTAAAAGAACAGAAATTATAATAAACTGTCTCTCAGACCACAGTGCAATCAAACTAGAACTCAGGATTAAGAAACTCACTCAAAACCGCTCAACTACATGGAAACTGAACAACCTGCTCCTGAATGACTACTGGGGACATAATGAAAAGAAGGCAGAAATAAAGATGGTCTTCAAAACCAACAAGAACAAAGACACAAATACCAGAATCTCTGGGACACATTCAAAGCAGCGTGTAGAGGGAAATTTATAGGACTAAATGCCCACAAGAGAAAGCAGGAAAGATCCAAAATTGACACCCTAACATCACAATTAAAAAAACTAGAAAAGCAACAGCAAACACATTCAAAAGCCAGCAGAAGGCAAGAAATAACTAAAATCAGAGCAGAACTGAAGGAAATAGAGACCAAAAAAACCCTTCAAAAAATTAATGAATCCAGGAGCTGGTTTTTTGAAAGGATCAACAAAATTGATAGACCGCTAGCAAGACGAATAAAGAAAAAAAGAGAGAAGAATCAAATAGATGCAATAACAAATGATAAAGGGGATAGCACCACCAATCCCACAGAAATACAAACTACCATCAGAGAATACTACAAACACCTCTACGCAAATAAACTAGAAAATCTAGAAGAAATGGATAAATTCCTTGACACATACACTCTCCCAAGACTAAACCAGGAAGAAGTTGAATCTCTGAATAGACCAATAACAGAATCTGAAATTGTGGTAATAATCAATAGTTTACCAACCAAAAAGAGTCCAGGACCCGATGGATTCACAGCCGAATTCTACCAGAGGTACAAGGAGGAACTGGTACCATTCCTTCTGAAACTATTCCAATCAATAGAAAAAGAGGGAATCCTCCCTAACTCATTTTATGAGGCCAGCATCATCCTGATACCAAAGACTGGCAGAGACACAACCAAAAAAGAGAATTTTAGACCAATATCCTTGAAGAACATTGATGCAAAAATCCTCAATAAAATACTGGCAAACCGAATCCAGCAGCACATCAAAAAGCTTATCCACCATGATCAAGTGGGCTTCATCCCTGGGATGCAAGGCTGGTTCAATATATGCAAATCAATAAATATAATCCAGCATATAAACAGAACCAAAGACAAAAACCACATGATTATCTCAATAGATGCAGAAAAGGCCTTTGACAAAATTCAACAACACTTCATGCTAAAAACTCTCAAAAAATTAGGTATTGATGGGACGTATCTCAAAGTAATAAGAGCTATCTATGACAAACCCACAGCAAATATCATACTGAATGGGCAAAAACTGGAAGCATTCCCTTTGAAAACTGGCACAAGACAGGGATGCCCTCTCTCACCACTCCTATTCAACATAGTGTTGGAAGTGCTGGCCAGGGCAATTAGGCAGGAGAAAGAAATAAAGGGTATTCAATTAGGAAAAGAGGAAGTCAAATTGTCCCTGTTTGCAGACGACATGATTGTATATCTAGAAAACCCCATTGTCTCAGCCCAAAATCTCCTTAAGCTGATAAGCAACTTCAGCAAAGTCTCAGGATACAAAATCAATGTACAAAAATCACAAGCATTCTTATACACCAATAACAGACAAACAGAGAGCCAAATCATGAGTGAACTCCCATTCACAATTGCTTCAAAGAGAATAAAATACTTAGGAATCCAACTTACAAGGGACATGAAGGACCTCTTCAAGGAGAACTACAAACCACTGCTCAATGAAATAAAAGAGGATACAAACAAATGGAAGAACATTCCATGCTCATGGGTAGGAAGAATCAATATGGTGAACATGGCATACTGCCCAAGGTAATTTATAGATTCAACGCCATCCCCATCAAGCTACCAATGACTTTCTTCACAGAATTGGAAAAAACTACTTTAAAGTTCATATGGAACCAAAAGGACTGCCAAGTCAATCCTAAGCCAAAAAAACAAAGCTGGAGGCATCATGCTACCTGACTTCAAATTATACTACAAGGCTACCGTAACCAAAACAGCATGGTACTGGTACCAAAACAGAGATATAGCTCAATGGAACAGAACAGAGCCCTCAGAAATAATGCCGCATATCTACAACTATCTGATCTTTGACAAACCTGACAAAAACAAGCAATGGGGAAAGGATTCCCTATTTAATAAATGGTGCTGGGAAAACTGGCTAGCCATATGTAGAAAGCTGAAACTGGATCCCTTCCTTACACCTTATACAAAAATTAATTCAAGATGGATTAAAGACTTAAACGTTAGACCTAAAACCATAAAAACCCTAGAAGAAAACCTAGGCATTACCATTCAGGACATAGGCATGGGCAAGGACTTCAATTCTAAAACACCAAAAGCAATGGCAACAAAAGCCAAAATTGACAAATGGGATCTAATTAAACTCAAGAGCTTCTGCACAGCAAAAGAAACTACCATCAGAGTGAACAGGAAACCTACAAAATGGGAGAAAATTTTTGCAACCTACTCATCTGACAAAGGGCTAATATCCAGAATCTACAATGAACTCAAACAAATTTACAAGAAAAAAAAAACAACCCCATCAAAAAGTGGGCAAAGGATATGAACAGATGCCTCTGAAAAGAAGACATTTATGCAGCCAAAAGACACAAGAAAAAATGCTCATCATCACTGGCCATCAGAGAAATGCAAATCAAAACCACAATGAGATACCATCTCACACCAGTTAGAATGGCAATCATTAAAAAGTCAGGTAACAACAGGTGCTGGAGAGGATGTGGAGAAATAGGAACACTTTTGCACTGTTGGTGGGACTGTAAACTAGTTCAACCCTTGTGGAAGTCAGTGTGGCGATTCCTCAGGGATCTAGAACTAGAAATACCATTTGACCCAGCCATCCCATTACTGGGTATATACCCAAAGGACTATAAATCATGCTGCTATAAAGACACATGCACACATATTTTTATTGTGGCACTATTCACAATAGAAAAGACTTGGAACCAACCCAAATGTCCAACAATGATAGACTGGATTAAGAAAATGTGGCACATATACACCATGGAATACTATGCAGCCATAAAAAATGATGAGTTCACGTCCTTTGTAGGGACATGGATGAAATTGGAAATCATCATTCTCAGTAAACTATCAGAAGGACAAAAAACCAAACACCGCATGTTCTCACTCATAGATGGGAACTGAACAATGAGAACACATGGACACAGGAAGGGGAACATCACACTCTGGGGACTGTTGTGGGGTGGGGGGAGGGGGGAGGGATAGCATTAGGAGATATACCTAATGCTAAATGACGAGTTAATGGGTGCAGCACACCAGCATGGCACATGTATACATATGTAACTAACCTGCACATTGTGCACATGTATCCTAAAACTTAAAGTATAATAATAATAAAAAAAATAAAAAATAAAAAAAGAAAAATTAATGTAAAGAAAAATTAAGTGTAAAGTAGGATGAATAACATCACCTCTGGTCCAAAATATCCCATACTCTAATTCATGATGGCACTCAAGACCTGGAGGCCTTTCAAGAAAAGAGATGGCTCCAAGGCCCCAGGAGCAGGGGAGAACGAATCATGATCCGCCTGTGTTCCGTACGGTGCGGTGTGTGACCCGCGCGCGTTCCGCATGGTGGGGTGTGAGATCCGCGCGCGTTCTGCACGGTGGCCCGGCCTGGCGCAGTGAGTCGCCGGCGTTCCGTGTGGCCTCAGCGCCCCCTAGCCCCGCTGGCGCTCAGGCCGCATTGCAGCAACTTCCCAGGAACACATAGGAGCACCTTCCCTCTAGCAGGCAGAGTAAGTATGAGGACAGGTGGAGGTCAGCACGAACTCCAGCCCTTGTCCCCGGGAGAGAGACCCCCAACTACTGTTCATGTGTGTGTGGTGTTTTTTTTTTGTTGTTGTTGTTGTTTTTTAACACTGCAAGCCCAGGCACATACTGCTCACATCAGACAAATGCTGTTGGTAAAGCAAGCAAGCACGCCTGTGCATGGTTATTGCATTGAAGTCTATTTATTTATTTGTTTATGAGACGGAGTCTTGCTCTGTCACCCAGGCTGGAGTGCAGTGGCACGATCTTGGCTCACTACAACCTCTGCCTCTTGGGTTCAAGCGGTTCTCCTGCCTCAGCCTCCCAAGTAACTGGGATTACAGGCACAGGCCACCATGCCCGGCTAATTTGTATTTTTAGTACAGATGGGTTTCGCCATGTTGGCCAGGCTGATCCTGAACTCCTGACCTCAGGTGATCAGCCCCCGCCTCGGCTTCTCAAAGTGCTGGGATTATAGGCGTGAGCCACCGCGCCTGGCCTACATAAGCCATTTCTATGAATCTGTTACTGTGGACTCACAGTCATTGTCTGCAAAAAGTATTTCCTGAGAACCACTGAGAGAAGTATGTTTGGAGCTGCATAGAAGAATCACAGCGCAGGCCGGGCACAGTGGCTCACACCTGTAATCCCAGCACTTTGGGAGGCTGAGGCGGGCAGATCACGAGGTCAGGAGTTCGAGACCAGCCTGACCAACATGGTGAAACCCCATCTCTACTAAAAATACAAAAATTAGCTGGGCATGGTGGCAGGTGCCTGTAATACCAGCTACTCGGGAGGCTAAGGCAGGAGAATCGCTTGAACCCGGAAGGCGGAGGTTGCAGATTGCACCATTGCACTCCAGCCTGGGCGACAGAGCGAGACTCCATCTCAAAAAAAAAAAAAATAAATAAATAAATAAAAATAAAAAATAAAAAGAAATCACAGTGCATGGTCTCTGCCCTTAGAGAATCATGCTACGCTTAGGAAGACAAACCAAATGCGTAAAAAGAGAGGCAAGGATAGGAACTTCTTATTGTGTCATACAGCATATTAAACCACAAAGCAACATGAGGTTCTCAGGCTAATGGTTTGTTTGTGTTTGTCATGGAAACCTTCCGAGAAAGCAAACTCTTAGGAAATTAGGAAGCCATGCACAGACTGAATGATTTTTCTGCATCCTGCCAGGTCACAAAACCTACCATGTCTCCTACCACAATTGGTAAGCAGTTGCCGGATGTGGATTTTTATATCCTAATGATTTGCTAATAAATTTACAAATGAGTGCAGTGTAAAAGCATGTCAGAGCATCCCAACAGCATTCTACATCTTGCTTTTAAAGTTTATGTCATGGAGATTATGGAACTGACTTCCTGTATAGAGTGATTTTATGACACACTCACTTGAAAATTGGTTTTAAAATGCTGTAAAACAGGAACATTAGCAGCAGGATGTTTGGGATGCCGCAGTGTAAGAGTGCATAAAGGTGGCCAAGATGCTTCTGTCAAGGTTTACAAGTTACCTAAATGAGCCCTTCCACCTCAAGTAACGCTTGGCAGAGGCACCTGCTTCGTTCCTGGGAGGATATGGCCAAGAGCCGGGACCTGGTTCTTTTACGGCTGCCCTTTGCTGTGACAGTGAGCCCAGGTGGTGTGTAGGAGGCAAAGCTGCCCTGCAGGCATGACGTGCCATTGGTAGGGAAGATTGTGGAGAAAGGGAGAAAGAGTTCCTAGAGAAACTCTTCAAATACTTTTGTCCACTATCTTGGCTTATAACCCAAGAGCCAAGAGCTGATTAAAAAAAGATGTTGGCCGGGTGCGGTGGCTCACACCTGTAATCCCAACACTTTGGGAGGCCGAGGTGGGCAGATCACTTGAGGTCAGGAATTTGAGACCAAGCCTGGTCAACATGGTGAAACCCCATCTCTACTAAAAATACAAAAATTAGCCTGGCGTGGTGGCAAGCACTTGTAATCCCAGCTACTCGGGAGGCTGAGGTGGGAGAATGGCTTGAACCCAGGAGGTGGAGGTTGCAGTTAGCCGAGATCATGCCACTACACTGCAGCCTGGGAGAGAGAGTGAGACTCTGTCTCAAATAGATAAATAAATAAATAAATAAGTAAGTCACAGGGTGTAGTGGTCCATGCCTGTAATCCCAACACTTCGGGAGGTTGAGGCAGGAAGATCACTTGAGGCCAGGTCTTCGAGACCAGCCTGGACAAAATGGCAAGACCTTGTCTCTATAAAAATAAAAATGAAAAAAACTAGCCAGGCTTGGTGGCATTCACCTATAGTCTCAGCTACTCTGGAAGCTGAGATGGGAGGATTGCTTGAGCCCAGGAGATCAGGGCTGCAGTGAGGTAGCACCGCTGCAGTGCAGCCTGGGCCACAGAGAGAGATGCTGTCGTAATAGTAATAATAATAATAAATAAAAACAGATGTCAGTTCACTTAAATAAAAACATTCCTTGTTTTGGCTACGAAGACTTAAGTGTTGTAAATATGTCAATTCTCCCTAATTCACTTCCAATCAAATACCAAGAGGATGTGGGGGGAGGAGTGGGTAAGGTAATGACAGATGATACAAAATTCATCTGGAAAAATAAACATGTGGGAGTAACCAGGAAACTCTGGCCTGAGGACAAGGGAGATGCTCAGTGGATTCACTCCCAACCTGGACAGCTGCCTTTGCCTCTGTCTGCTCATTTCTGGGTGGGTTGCTCAGGCCTGGAACCCCTGGGCCGCCCAGCAAAGGGCCTGGGCTCTCAGGAGGTACCACTGAGTGTTTTCCAAAGCGCCCAGGGCTGTGGAACACTCCCAGCTGGCCCCACCTCGCCCAAGGGTGCTGCATTTACCCTCAGTGCACTGGGCTGTTCTAGGGCATGGTTCTGGGCTTGCAATCACAGGGGAGGCCTGGATGAAGCCTGTGTTCTCCTGGGTGAATTTCCTGAGGTCTTTACAAACACTGCCTGTCCCCACCTGGCCCAGTGTCACATGAGACAGAAAATACCACCCACTCCTTTCACCACCAGCTCTGACTCTGTCCCTAGCAGGTAGCTCTTGGAATCCTCTGATAACCCTGGGCTGCTGCCATGCCATGGCCTGGGCACAGTGGAGCCTTATCCAAAAGATCTAGCTGCTTCCACCTCATACCAGGGGCCTGCCCCCAACCCCTAAAACTGTACAAGTATGCAAGGAAATACGTGCAAGGATATATGTGACGGCATTGTTAGAAGAGAGCTGCAAAGCAGAACAAAGCTGTAAATAACCTGAACGCCCGCTCACAGAAGATTGGTTCAGTAAATGCAGCACATACTAGTCAGGGGACTACTAAGCAAGAAGCAAAGGAATGGAATGGACCTGTACGTAATGATATGGTCAGACAGCCAAGATATATTATTAAGTAAAAATGTAAGTGGCAAAACAGATCTCAACTGTGTACTTTTAAAAATGCTTATATATGTGTAGAAAATTCTGGAAGAATGGCTAGAAACCCTTAGTCCTGGTTGCATCTAGAGAATAGAACTGAGACTGAAGGGAGAAAGACTAACTTCTTAAGTGTGCCTTCCTCATTGTTTCCATCATTTCCCCTCTAGAAAGTATATTTAAAAGCTGGTGTAGTGGCCAGGCGCGGTGTCTCACGCCTGCAATCCCAGCACTTTGGGAGGCTGAGGCAGGCAGATTACTTGAGGTCAGGAATTCGAGACCAGCTTGGCCAACATGGTGAAACCCCATCTATAGTAAAAATACAAAAAATTAGCTGGGTGTGGTGGCGCATGCCCATAATCCCAGCTATTTGGGAAGCTCAGGTGGGAGAATCACTTGAACCTGGAGGCAGAGGTTGCAGGCACCCGAGATTGTACCACTACCTTCTAGCCTGAGTGACAGAGTGAGACCCTGTCTCAAAAAAAAAAAAAAAAAAAAGAAAAAGAAAAAAGAAAAAAGTAATAGGTGGGGCGTGGTGGCTCACGCCTGTAATCCCAGCACTTTGGGAGGCCGAGGCGGGCAGATCACCTGAGGTCAGGCGTTCCAGACCAGCCTGGCCAACATGGTAAAACCCCATCTCTACTAAAAATACAAAAAATCAGCTGGGCGTGGTGGCAGGTGCCTGTTATCCCAGCTACTCAAGAGGCTGAGGCAGGAGAATCGCTTGAACCTGGGAGGCGGATGTTGCAGTGAGCTGAGATCCCGCCATTGCACTCCAGCCTGGGCAACAAGAGTGAAACTCCATCTCAAAAAAATAAATAAATAAAATAAAAAAATAAAAATAAAAAGCTAAATAAATAAAAATAAAAATAAGAGCTAGTGTAAAAAAGTGTAAGTTCAGCATCCATTCTCTGTTTTTTTAGAGATAGGGTTTGGCTCTGTCGCCTAGGCTGGAGTGCAGTGACACAATCACAGCTCACTGTGGTATTGAACTGCTGGGCTCAAGTCAACCTCCAGCCTCAGTTTCCTGAATGGCTGGGACTACAGGCATGTGCCACCACATCCAGCTATTTTTTTTTTTTAATTTTTATGTTGTAGAGATGGGGTCTCATTATGTTGCCCAGGCTGGCCTGGAACTCCTAGCCTCAAGCGATCCTCCTGCCTTGGCCTTCCAAAGTGCTGGGATTACAGGCATGAGCTACCATGAGCCACTATGCCTAAGGCTGGGTGTGGTGGCTCATACCTGTAATCTCAGCACTTTGGGAGGCTGACGTGGGTGGATCACCTGAGGTCAGGAGTTCAAGACCAGCCTGACCAACATGGTGAAACCCTGTCTCTACTAAAACTACAAGAAAATTAGTCAGACGTAGGGGCAGGTGTCTGTAATCCCAGCTACTTGGGAGGCTGAGGCAGGAGAATCATTTGAACCCGGGTGGCAGAGGTTGCAGTGAGCCTGGCCTCAGCATCCGCTTTTTTTTTTTCAGACGGAATTTTGCTCTTGTTGCCCAGGCCAGAGCGCAATGGTGTGACCTCAGCTCACTGCAAACTCTGCCTCCCGGGTTCAAGCAATTCAGCATCCATTTTTAAAGCCCTTAATTCCCTTTCCTGGAGCAGCACTATCTAAATGTTGGCTTTGGGCCTCTCATTACCAAGCTCACACAAGGTCTCTGGAGACAGAGCCCCACGAGAACCTGCTCCATCTTCTTGGCTTGCAGACCTAGAATTAGGATGGGGGCTTTTCAGACAATGTAGTGCTCACAACAAAACCTATGTCTGCAGTGACCAAAAGAAAACATCCTCTTCTCTCTCTGACTCACCCCCTCTGGGCTCAGCACGTCTTGTTCTCCTCTTTGATCTCGTGCCATGTTGGCCCAGGTTGTTCCTCCGACTGTTGCTTTGCTTCCTGCCATTCTGTGCGCTCGAGTTACAAAGTTAGCCTACTCCAGAGTGGTATCTGAGCCACACCCAGATTAGACGTTTTCATGTCTGGACTACCAAAGGGGGACACAAACCTTTAAGGGGGGACACAAACCTTTAAATGATGTCCGTACAATCTCTTACCTTGGGGTTCAGTGCCGTCTTGCTTTCGTGAAGTCATTTGATACCTTATTGTGTCATCTGAACACAATTCTATCATCTGCTGTAAATGTTAAAGTAAGCCAACAGCACACAAGGTTGATAAGCTTCTGGTCACACAAGACTTTTTCATCTCTCTTTTCTCTCTTTTTCTCCTGCTAGCAGAGTCTTGATCATCTGTTTCTCTACATTTCAATGAGAGTTAGTTAGGGATGGGTGAAATTTGTACCATTAGTCCCAAGATGAAATCTTGTTAAAATCAGAGACTGGGCTGGGCGCGGTGGCTCATGCCTGTAATCCCAGCACTTTGGGAGGCCGGGGCGGGCGGATCACGAGGTCAAGAGATCGAGACCATCCTGGCTAACATGGTGAAACTCCGTCTCTACTAAAAATACAAAAAATTAGCCTGGCATGGTGGCAGGCACCTGTAGTCCCAGCTACGCAGGAGGCTGAGGCAGGAGAATGGCGTGAACCCGGAGGTGGAGGTTGCCGTGAGCTGAGATCACGCCACTGCACTCCAGCCTAGCGACAGAGCGAGACTCCGTCTCAAAAAAAAAAAAAAATAATCAGAGACTGACACGGAAGGTTGAAGTGGTGATAGATTGAAAAAGGCTGAAAGATTCAGGAGGGTGATATTATTTTTATGTGTGGACTTAAATTCCACATGATACCCTGTAATTCTCCTCAAGCTAATTCCAGTTTTGTGTCTACCAATTTCCTCTGATTAGTTCTTGTAAATCTTGATTCATGGATAGGACAGCCACAGAATTTCTTTGCAAAGTAAAGGTCCTGTCTTCCATTTTAAGTATCCTTTTAGTCTTTCATCCCCTGTGTAAAAGTTACAAGTTTGTCATGAATTCCTTAGAAATGTTGGGCCGGGCACGGTGGCTCACACCTGTTATCCCAGCACTTTGGGAGGCCGAGGCCAGCAGATCATGAGGTCAAGAGATCAAGACCATCCTGGCCAACATGGTGAAACCCCGTCTCTACTAAAAATACAAAAAAAAAAAAAATTAGCTGGGCATGCTGGCAGGTGCCTCTAGTCCAAGCTACTCAGGAGGCTGAGACAGGAGAATCACTTGAACCTAGGAGGCGGAGGTTGCAGTGAGCCGAGATCGTGCCACTGCACTCCAGCCTGGCAACAGAGCGAGACTCCATCTCAAAAAAAAAAAATGTTTAAGTATCGCATACATATATAACCCAATTTGTAAATATTAGCATAATCCATGCTTAGATCTTGGTTTTTAGATGATAACAATAATGGTGATGATGACGTTGATACTATTACTAACAGCCAACTTTTACAGTGTCATTGCACTTTGTAGGTTCTGTCATTTATTTATTTATTTATTGAGACATTCTCGCTTTGTCACCCAGGCTGGAATGCAGTGGTGGAAACCCCTTATAAAACCATCCGATCTTGTGAGACTTATTCACTACCACGAGAACTGTATGGGGGACCCCCCTCATGATTCAATTATCCCCCACTGAGTCCCTCCCACAACACATGAGAATAACGGGAGCTATAATTCAAGATGAGATTAGGGTGGGGACACAGCCAAACCGTATCACACCCCTTTCAGAAACCGACAAACATGTGTATGACTAGAAGAACTTCTGATTGGTGTAAAAGTAATCGATGTTTCTGAACTTAATTGTATTTTCATGAATTTAGAACTGTTTTCCTGAGAAAAATTCCTGTTTTCCCTTTAGTAATCCCCTTGATTCGCCTCTGCAGACACGTGGGATGACCAACCACCAGGTGAGAGTCTTGTCCAGTCTCCTCAATTTCCACCTTTTATCATCTGGTTGTTCAACATTAGCCCACAGTGTGAACATCTTCATTTGAGGCTCTTTCTAAAACGGTTGCTGGCTCCCATGGTGTGCTGTAATTACTTAACAACCAGCTCTTCAAGGAGGGGAAGGGGGCCCTGATTTGTTATCATTGACTGATTTCTGTGCTGTAAATACTCCCACTGTGGCCAGTTCTAGCTACCAGATGTACCGATATTGAGGGTGGAGGAGCACACCATTTTACAGCTGACGAAAGCGGCCTCAAGAGTAAAGTATAATAACACAAGCAGGACATGATGGAGTCGGAGCATTTATTACCTTTTAAAAATATAACTTAAGGCTGGGCACGGTGGCTCATGCCTGTAATCCCAGAACTTTGGGAGGCTGAGGTGGGCGGATCACTTGAGGTCAGGAGTTCAAGACCAGCCTGGCCAATATGGTGAAACCCTGTCTCTACCAGTGCACTTCAGCTTGGGCAATAGAGCAAGACTTTGTCTCAAAAAAAAAAAAAAAAAGAAAAGAAAAGAAAAAAAACAGGCCAGGTGCAGTGGCTCACGCCTGTAATCCCAGCGCTTTCAGGGGCTGAGGCAAGACGACTGCTTGAGTCCAGGAGTTCAAGACCAGCCTGGGCAACATGGCAAAACTCTATCTCTACACGAAATATTTTTTAAAAATTAAAAAAAAGAACAGTGCCTGGCAAATACTAAGTGCTCAGAAATATTTGTTATTTTAACTAAAAGATAAAAGCTTGAAAGGCAGAATGGCCTTAAAAATGGTGGTAAAACAAAAATGTTTGAGAAATGAAAGCTGGCATGACACCAGGCTGGAGTGTAACACATGGAATTTGTATTTCAACCCGTTTCCTTCCAACAAAGTGCAGTTGTGACCCTGTGTGGATGAGTCTCCAGTGGAGAGTGAAGCCAGGATGGTGAGGGGACCCGGGGCAAGGAGTGGGTTCAGAAGCTGGGAAGGCACTAAGTTCTCCTCTAGTGGGAATGGGGAACAAGGGGAAGAATGATGGGCTGGAAGTCAGCAAGTCTGGGTTACCCTGGTCACTAACGTGTGTCTCTTTAGGAAAGTCACTAAATTTCTCTGGGACTTAGTTGCAATAGGGCTAGGAGATCCCCAAGGTCCTTTAGGCTTCACACATGTGTGGTTCCTGACTGCTCCATAGACAGTCTTGCTCCTTCTGTGGCATAAAGAGGTTCAGTTGACCATTTGTTCCTTCTCTCGCCTTGCCCCATTTTGGCTCATTTCCCTCCTAAATTGTGTGTGTTGAAATTGGAAGAAAAAGAGTCAAGATAGATAAGTAAAGCTTAGGAAGATGATGTATGACTGAAGATGATGTATCATGAGCCAATAAAAATGACTGGAATCAAGGCTGGACATGATGACTCACGCCTGTAATCCCGGCACTTTGGGAGGCTGAGGTGGGTGGATCACCCGAGGTCAGGAGTTCAAGACCAGCCTGGCCAACATGGTGAAACTCCGTCTCTACTAAAAATACAAAAATGAGCTGGGCATGGTGGCGCACGCCTGTAATCCTAACTACTTGGGAGGTTGAGGCAGGGGAATCGCTTGAACCCGGGAGGTGGAGGTTGCAGTGAGACGAGATCACGCCACTGTACTCCAGCCTGGGTGACACAGAAAGACTCCATCTCAAAATAAACAAAATGATTGGAATCAATGTCTATTTATGATATTACCTTTAGAAAGTGTGCTAAATCTTCTCTCAGTTTGCTTAAGCTCAAGCAGTACCTTGTATAATTGCCTGGAAGGCGTAATGCAGTGCCCTGAGCGATGCTGAGTAGGTAGTAGCTCCCACAGGTAACAGCTGATGAGTTAGAAGCATGAGAGGCCAACCTCTCCCCAAGCCTATTAAGAAGAGAATAAAAACAGGGGTCCCTACTTGTGATGGTTAACGTTATGTGTCAGCTTCACTGGGCCATGGGATGCCCAGATAGCTGGTCAAACAATATTCTGTGTGTGTCTGTGAGGGTGCTTCTGGAGGAGATTAATGTTTGAATTGGTGGCCTGAGTAAAGCAGATGGCCCTTCCAATGTGGGTGGGCATGATCCAATCAGCTGAAGTCCTCAGCAGAACAGAGAGACTGACCCTCCCCTGAGTAGGGGGAGCTCCTCCTGCTTGAGCTGACACATTGGTCTTTTCTTGCCTTTGGCCTCAGACTCAACTATCAGCTCTTGGATCTTGAGCCTGCTGGCTTTCGAATTAGAACTTATACTTTGGTCTCCAGCTTGCCATCTGCAAATCTTAGGACTTCTCAGCCTCCAGAATCATGTGGGCCAATTCCTCATAATACATCTTTCTCCCACCCTCTCTTTCTACACCTCCACCCCCTAATTAGTCCTATTCCTCTGGAGAGCCTTGATGCACCATTCCCGAAACTTGAGGGGCAGAGAGTGAGCTTGGATTCATTTGTATGCTTGGTTGCATACTCCACTCAAGCACATACTCAAGCACACTCAGGACTACAGAAGAATTCAGTGGGGAAGGGGGGTGGGTTGTCAGGGCAGAATCTCCAACAGAGGGACCTGGATGTTTTACTATGTGTCATGCATGGTGATGCAATTGTTTTTGTTTTATTGCATGGCAGAGAGCAATGGAACTGTGAGAAAAGCAGGTGTTAATAAGTCAATGAATCTAGGTTCAAATCTTGATGTACAAACCAGGTCAGGTTGCTTAACCTTTCTGAGCCTCAATGTCTTCAATGGTAATATGGAGCTGACAGCACCTACTTCACTGGGCCACTGTGATGGTTAAATTAAATACTGCATGGGAAGTGCCTGGAATACAGTAGTTATTCCGCAAAAGCTAGCTCCCCACTACCGCCCCCCCCCCCCATTTACATGTATGACTCTTTATTCAGCAAAGGCTTATCAACCTGTTATCATGTGCCCGGCACTGTGCTTGGTGTTGGAAAAATAGTGAACAGGATAAAGTCTTTGCCATGACTAGGGCAGACAAAAAGCCTACCTATGTGTTAATAACTTTTTTTTTTTTTTTTTGAGATGGAGTCTTGCTCTGTCACCCAGGCTGGAGTGCAGTGGCGCGATCTCGGCTCACTGCAAGCTCCGCCTCCTGGGTTCACACCATTCTCCTGCCTCAGCCTCCTGAGCAGCTGGGACTACAGGCGCCCGCCACTACGCCGGGCTAAATTTTTTTTGTATTTTTATTAGAGACGGGGTTTCACCATGTTAGCTGGGATGGTCTCGATCTCCTGACCTCGTAATCCGCCTGTCTCGGCCTCCTAAAGTGCTGGGATGACAGGTGTGAGCCAATGAGCCCAGCCCCTATGTGTTAATAACTTCTATGGTCCTGTCTTGAAGACAGTGCAAGGTGAAGTGAGCCGGCATAGCTGGGCTGGGTTCAGGTGCTACCTCAGCTCAGGATCTAAAACGCCCTCTCTACAGTATTAATCTTTACACTGTGAGTAAGGAGAGAGAGGCGGCTGTGATTCTGGGGAGAGCATCCTGGGCAGAGGGCACAGTACAAAGGCAGTGGGGGGCCCAGCAGAAGACAAGATTGGGGAGGTGGGCAGAGGCTGGTCCTATGGTCTCTGCAGGTCTTGGTTAGGGGTCAGAGTTTGAGCGTAAGTGATATGGGAAGCCTTGGGGTTGGGGAACACAACTAATTTACATACTTATTGCACGGGATGGATGATGGGAGGGAGAAGATGGTGAGGGCCTGGGAAGAGTAGATGCAGGGAGACCAGCCCAGAGGCCACTGAAGGATGAGGCCAGTTGGAACGGGAGAGTGGCAAAGGCGGTGTGGAGGAGTGGCTGAATTCCAGACATATTTTAGTGGTAGAATAAAAAATACTGGCTGATGGATGGGGTGTGCGTTGTTAGGGAAAGTGTGGAATTCAGGATGACTCTCAGGTTTGGCGCTAAGCAACTGATGCTCATGATCGCCTCCTCCCCTCTAACCCATACAAATGCCAACAGAAACGTGGGTTTGCATGGAAAGTTTCCAAGTTAATTTTTTTTTTTTTGAGACGGAGTCTCGCTCTGTTGCCAGGCTGGAGTGCAGTAGCGTGATCTTGGCTCACTGCAACCTCTGCCTCCTGGGTTCAAGCGATTCTCCTGCCTCAGCCTCCCCAGTAGCTGGGACTACAGGCATGTGCCACCATGCCAGGCTAATTTTTGTATTTTTAGTAGAGATGGGGTTTCACCATGTTGGCCAGGATGGTTTCAATCTCTTGACCTCGTGATCTGTCCACCTCGACCTCCTAAAGTGCTGGGATTACATTAGTGAGCCACCACACCCGGCTCCAAGTTAATTTTTAAGACAACAAACACAATATTAGTGCTGGAAGGAACATCAGGCATTGTTAATTGAACAGAGACCTGGAAGGTCACACAGCAATTTACCACAGAACTGGCACCTGGTTTACAGATTCCTTGCTTAGCGTTTAGGCTAACATGCTCCATTTAGCGAGGGGTTAAGTTGAGGTAGAGAACCCATGGTTTAGGCTACCGGGAAGTGGTGCTTCTTGAAAGTTACTTTATTAAATTTTAAATAGATGCTGTTTATGCATGACAGATAATGCGTAGGTATAAAGAATAACAATACAAGATAGGGTTGTGGATCTCCTCCATTCTGGTTTAAGAAATAGAGCATTATCATTCTCTTTGTGGCCCTTGAATGCCTCTCACCAATCCCTTTTCTGACCTCTCTGAGTTTTATCATTCCTTGGCTTTTCTTTATAGTTCTACTGCATGGTTGTATCCCCAAATAGTTGATATGGTTTCGTTCTGTGTCTGCACCCAAATCTCATCTCGAATTGTAGTCACCATGTGTGGAGGGTTTACCACTTCCTGGTAGCCTAAACTGTGGGTTCTCTACCGCAACTTGACCCCTTGCTAAATGGAGCATGTTAGCCTAAACACCAAGCAAGGGGTCTCTAATACCCATATGTCGAGGGAGGAAGGTGATTGGATCATGGGGGTAGTTTGCCACATGCTGTTCTCATGGTACTGAGTTCTCATGAGATCTGATGGTTTTATAAGTGTTTAACAGTTCCTCCTTCTTGCTCTTTCTCCCCCTTTCTCTTCCTCTTTTCCTCCCTCCATCTCCTCTTCCCTCCTCTTTTCCCACCTCCCTGCCCCTCTTCCCCACTTCCTCACTTCCCCCCCACCCTCTCCCGCCTCCCCTGCCACCATGTAAAACATGCCTGCTTCCCCTTCTGCCATGATTGTAAGTTTCCTGAGGCCTCTCAAGCCATGTGGAACTGTGAGTCAATTAAACTTCCTTTGTTTATAAATTACCCAGTCTTGGGTAGTATCTTTGTAGTAGTGTGAGAATGGAATAATACAATAGTATATTGTTTTGTGTGGTTTTGAACTTTACCTAAATGGAGTCACTGTGTGTCTTCTTCTGGTACTTTCTTTTGGTCAACACTTTGTTTTAGAGATTCATCTGTATTGCTGCTTGCAGCTATTGTTCACTAATTTTTCAGAATCGCATTCTGTCCCACGAACATATCAGTTTATTTACCCATTCCACCGTGGATAGACAGCTGGGCTATTTGTAGACTTCTGCTAGTTCAAGTGGCACAGCTGTGGGGATTCTCATTCACATCTCTTGGTGTACATGCTCAAGAGCTTTTCTAGGATACATGGGTAGGAGTGCAACTGCTAGTTGCTTATCTTCAGCTTTACTGGATAATGCCAAATTATTTACAGAGATATCATATTGGTTCACACGACCTCCAGTGGCACAGAATTTCTACTGTTCCACATTCTTGTGACACTCAATATTGTCAAATTAGAAGAATTTTGCCCACCCAATGAAAGTGAAAAGGTACTTCATTTAGGTTTCAATTTGCATGTCCTGGGTATTGTTGAGATGAAACATATTTTTAAATGTTTATTGCCAGCCATGTTCTTCTGATATGAAATGAAACTTCATATCCACACAGCATATCTTGGTGGCCAGGAGGTGTCATCATCACATTTTAAGAACTCTGTGTCTTTTCTCCAAAACTTGTTCTAACTGCAGCCTTCCCCCCCTTTGGTGATGCAACTGTCCTTCTGGCTGCTAAGGCAGATGCCTTGGAGCCCTCCCTGTCTTTCTCTTTTTCTGACCACATCCCCATGTGATAGGAAATCCTGATAGGAAATCCTCCTTTCAAAATGCATTCAGAAACCGACCGCCTCTCACCTCCTCTGCTGCCTCCACCCTGGTCCAGGTCACTAGGCTCTGAATTTCTGCAATAAGTCTTCCTCATTTGCTGTCCAGGCCCTGAGCAGCAGTCAGATCACATCACACCTGTCAATAACCCACAGTGGCTCCTAACCTCTCCCAGAATAAAAGCCAAAGCCGTTACAATGGCCCATGTGGTCTTATACAACAGCGTTTAGGGATGTGGGAAAGAGGGTGTTGGCTGGGGTGATGGAGGTGACCAGGTCACCTATCTTCAGCTGGGCTGGGGCTTATGATGCAGTGGCCAGTGGCCATTGAGGGTCCCTAGGGTCCGTAAGAAAGGGCAAGTCCTAATGTACAAGCACTTTCCTATAGTTTTGTATTTTTCAATGTCCCACTGGCTAGAGCAGGTCACCCAGCCAGGCTGATTCCAGGGCTGGAAAGTAGAGTCCATTTCTTGCTGGGAGGAAGGACAAAGCCAGATGGCAGAGGGTGAGCGTATAGGGAGTGGTGAGTACGTGGCCATTGTTGAAGTTGACTACCCTGGGTTAAGTGTTACAAGTACCAGTGGTGGGTAAACCTCTAGGGATGATTGCATAAAAGAAAATCAAAAGGTCTAGATGGTTGGAGTATTGCATTAAAAAGATGAGGAATACTACATGCATTCACTTTCTGGAATCTGTGTTTAAATGCCATACACTTTAAAATCTAATCTGCTTGCCCTCTGATTTGGAGAGAATTAACCCAGAAATTATCCAGGTTCTTTAGGGCTCCAAGACATTCTAAAAAATAAAGGTGAACGTTGAATTTAACCAGTTGACAGTTGTTCTTGGATTATGATCAATCAGCCTGTGGCAGCAGGGCACATGCTGAGAACAAGCCTCAGGTTCTCTAAGTTCTCCCACCACCACAATGTTCAGCTATAGTGAACTCATAGAAACCGTGTGTCGGGGCCTCCAACTTCGCCAAGCACCATAAGAAGTTTGAGTTGTGAAAAAATTTTCTCTACTCAAAATTGTGAAGAGAAACGGCAAGGTTTAAATTACCACATATTTGTCTTTGAAGAACTTTACAACAACTTCATTGACTGTTAAATTTAGATTCATAAAAATCTAAACAACGGCCGGGCGCGGTGGCTCAGGCCTGTAATCCCAGCACTTTGGGAGGACGAGGTGGGCGGATCACCTGAGGTCAGGAGTTCAAGAACAGCTTGGCCAACGTGGTGAAACCCCGTCTCTACTAAAAATACAAAAATTAGCTGGGCGTGGTGGCGGGCGCCTGTAATCCCAGCTACTCGGGAGGCTGAGGCAGGAGAATCACTTGAACCCAAGAGGCAGAGGTTGTTGTGAGCAGAGATCGCCATTGCACTCCAGCCTGGGCGACAAGAGTGAAACTCTGTCTCAAAAAAAAAAAAAACAAAAACAAAAACTAAATGACATTTGAAAGCAATTTGTAGATTTTCACACTTCCTAAGAATTCTCAAAGATGCCAAAAACAAAAATCGCAGCCACTAGCAATTTAAATGACTTCCTCGTAGCCAAATAAATCCTAAGGTAAAATTATAAACATTCCCTTAAATTCAAATTTTATAACAAAAAGAAAGATAATAGGGAACGGAGGGTGAATTATTGTGTTTGATATATTTGGCGGTGAAAAATACATATATTACGTGCTGTTTAGGGTCCACTGAGAGTCATAAAACTGACCCTAGTGACCGAGCTACCGGAAGGACTTGGCAAGGGTCTAGCGAGCTCGGTTATCTGCGTTTTCCAGGTGGGGCAGCCCAAGACCCTTCTCAGACCCAGAGAAGCTGGGTTTCCGCCCAAAGCCCGGCCCCAAACCACCGATTTCCGACCTTTCAACCTACTTTGGCAGAGCAAGAGTTTCCGCGGGAGACTCCCTGCTTCCCTCTGCCCAGGTCCCCTGAGGCCGAGTGCGGTACTGAGTGCTGAGTAAGGGGTGCCGAGTGCCAAGCACTGAGTAACTGGGGGAGGGGAACCATGCAGCTGTCATAAATAATTAGCTCCTGTGAGGAACAGGAACTCCGAGACTGCGGCCGGGCCAGGTGGGCAGAGGTCGCAGCGCCCTCGCCGCGTTCCCCGTCCCCATCCGACGCCAGGACAGCGCCTCCTTAACTGGGGTAGCCCCTGAGAGCGTGGGCGGAGCCCCGCCCCGCGACCTCAAGGCCCCGCCCCCTCAGCGCCTCCCGGCCCAGCAGCTCGGAAGACCGCGAGGCGCGCTTTTCTGACGCATCGGCGCCTTTCGTCTGACGTATGCCTGCACCGCCCCCTCCCCTCCCTGCCCCGCCCCCGCCCCGCCCCCGACTGCGCGGCGCCCGCCCTCCCTTAGTCAGAGCTGCTCGTCTGAGGCTGCTGAGGCGACGGCCGGTGTCGTGGTCGCGGTACCTGTTCCAACACGGCTCGCGGGCCCGTGCCGGCTCCGGTCCCCGGCGCGGCTGTCCGAGCCCCTGCGGCGGGCGGACGATGGTGTGGCGGAGCACGCGGACGCGGGCGGCGCGGCGGCGGGCATGAAGGAGGATGGAAGGGCAGGACGAGGTGTCGGCGCGGGAGCAGCACTTCCACAGCCAAGTGCGGGAGTCCACGGTGCGTGGGGACCGAGGCAGCCCTGACAGTCCCGCGTGCCCGCCCGGGCCCTCCGTCCCCGCCCCCGGGCCCCCGGTCCCCGGACCCCTCACCTCCGGGCCTCGCCTCGCGCCTCCCGCCCCGGCCTCTGCCGCTCTCCCTCCCCACCCCTCCTCTCCCCTCCCCTCCCCTTCCCTCCCCACCTCTCCTCTCCCCTCCCCTCCCCTTCGCTTCCTCTGCCTGCCCCCCCGCTCCGCTCTTGCCTCCCCTGCCCCCTCGCGCTCCCTCCGTTCGAGCCCCGACCCCGCCCCCGCCCCGCGGCCTCGGTGCTGCCCTTCCCTTCCCGCGGGGAGGGCTGCGGTGCGCGCCGCGCTCTGGGACCCCAGGGGCTTCCTCTCTGGGCGGGTGTGCGGCTCGCGCCTCGGGGTGTGGACGGCGGCCCCGCCAGTGCGCGCCCCCGCGCTCCGCCGCCAGGCCAGGTAGGCAGGTGGATGCGCAGGCGTCCCGGAGAGCCTGGGTGGGCCCGGCGGGTCCGGGAAGGGCCGGGCTGCGCGGAGCCCGCCCGCCTCTCGCGTTTGGACCCGGCCGGTTACCTTGTCCCGGTCAACACCTCCTGCCCTCCTGGCGCCTCACGTTTCCATCCCTCTTTCATCTCCCCCAGCCCCCACGTGGGTTGAGTTCGAAACCTTACCGTTTGGGATGAGAATATTGGTTATTTTTGGGAGTGAGGACCTCAGCAAAAGTCCATTTTGCTATGGAAGCAACTTCTTAGGGAAGCAGCTTCTTTTTTGGCCCATGTTCCATGTGTGCTGTTGGCAGGAGTCAGGAAGCGGACTTGACCTTGGAAAGTCTACTTTGATGTTTTTATCTTTTCATGATGCTCTAGAATGTATTGTAATTGGGTTTATCTGTGTTTTCATAACTGTTGTAAAATATGTCAATTTTTTATGTTTATATTTACGCCTCTCCTAAGTTGTCTACGATTCAGTCACACTTGGTTTGAGGTGAAAAAATTCTGCTTTAGAATTATCTAATTTGTGTACTCACTGATCTTGAAAATTGAGAATCACTTTGGAAGTCATACTTTGAATAAAGAGGACATATAAAGTCTGAGCTGGTGGAATTTGAGTTAGTGGAATTTGGTACACATTTAGTTGTAATTTTTATAATTGAAGCTAAAATACACAGAGATAAGTTCATGTAATCATACATGTACCCTTCAGATCATTTCATACTAAACACGCCTGTGTACTCCTGAATCCACCAGGAGTTTGAGACTGGTCAGCCTGGGCAACATAGTGAATCCCCATCTCTACCATTATAAAAAAATAAATAAATAAACACAATTTTACTAGGATCCCAGAGACTGATTCCTTTCCCTCTTCCAATTACTTTCTCCTCCACCAAGGGTAAACGTTGCCCTGGCTTCTAATATCATAGATTAGTTTTTGCTTAGTTTTGAACTTTATGTAAATGGAATCTTACCGTATATACTCTTCTGTGTCCAGTTTCTTGTACAATGTTTGTGAAATTTCTCCATGTTGTATGTGGTTATAATTCATTCTCGGTGCAGTAGTTGTGTGACTATAGCACAATTTATTTTTCATTTTACTGTTGATGGGCACTTCAGTAGTTTCTAGGTTTTGGCTATGAATATATATATGTGTATATATATGTGTATGTATATATGTGTGTGTGTGTGTGTGTGTGTGTGTATATATATATATATATATATATTTTTTTTTTTTTTTTTTTTTTGTGATGGAGTCTCGCTCTGTCTCCCAGGCTGGAGTGCAGTGGCACAATCTCGGCTCACTGCAACCTCTGCCTCCGGGATTCAAGTGATTCTCCTACCTCAGCCTCCTGAATAGCTGGGATTACAGGCACACACCACCACACCCAGCTAATTTTTCTATTTTTATTAGAGACGGGGTTTCTCCATGCTGGCCAGGCTGGCCTTGAACTCCTGACCTCAGGTGATCCACCTGCCTTGGCCTCCCAAAGTGCTGGGATTACAGGCATGAGCCACCACGCCGGGCTGGCTATGAACTTTTTGTACATAGCTTTTGGTGGACATGTTTGTGCATTTCTGTTGGGGATAGCCCTAGGAATGGAATCCCTAGGTTAAAGAGTGTGCATTTGTTCATCTTTAGTAGATACTTTAAAACAATTTTCCAAAGTGGTTGTACCAGTGTACACTTCCGCCAGTACTGACAGTCTCAGAGGTGTGGTTGTTACTCATCTTTATCAATACTTGATATTTTCTGTCCTTTTTAATTTTAGTCATTCTAGCAAGTGTGTTATAGTGTTCATCATACAAATAATTTTAATTTGCATTTTCCTGATAACTAATGAATTTGAGCACCTGTTTGTTTATTAGCCATTTGGAAATCTTGTGAAGGGTCAAATTTTTTTCCCCATTTAAAAATTAAGTTTATCTTTTTAATATTGATTTGCAAGGTCTTTACAGAATAACTTGTATTATATTGTTATACAGGTGGATATGATTTCTTTGTCAGAAATATATACTGCACATATTTCTTTCCCACTCTGTGGATGCCTTTCACTTTTAATGATATCTTCTGATGAACAGAAATTATTAATTTTAATATAGTTCAATTTATTAAAATTTTTTTGAGTACTTTTAATGTCCCGATTAAGAAATCTCTCCTTACTCTAAGACTGATGTTCTCTTCTTCTTTTCTCTAAATGCTTTATTGAATTACTCTTCTCATTTAAATTTGCAATCTATTTCGAATTTATTTTTTTGTGTCTGGTGCAAGGTAGGAGTCATATTTTTTTCTCCCACAGGAATGTCCAATTGCTTCAGCACTATTTAGGACTTTTGTCACAGATAGGTAACTGTATATTCATAGGGTTTAATTTTGGACTTTATGTGGTTTTATTGGTCTATTTGTCTTTAGTTTTATTATTTTTTAAAATTTGAGACAGGTTCTCCCTCTGTTGACCAGGCTGTCGTGCAGTGGCGCAATCATGGCTCACTGCAGCCTTGACTTCCAAGGCTCAGGCGATCCTCCCACCTCAGCTTCCCAAGTAGCTGGGACTACAGGCTTGAATCATACAGGTGTGCACTAACAGACCCAGCTAATCTTTTAATTTTTTGTAGAGGTGAGGTCTCACCGTGTTGCCCAGACCTGTCTCCTGGGCTCAAGTGATCCTCCTGCTCTTTGGCTTTACTTTTAATTAATTAGATATTCTAGAATTTGGGTTGAGAAAGGGACACATTGTAAAACAGTCCAGAGCTTCGTCTACTCCCCTGAAAACGGTTTTGGTACCGATTATGGAGTTCTTTAGTTCTGACTCTCCTCACCTGTTTCCCTCAACCCAGTACCCCTGGCTGGTTGAGTCTACTCCATCTTCTACAGAACCAGCGCAGACAGTGACCAGGCTCAGGGTTCCCAGTCTTTGGCATTTCTTTCTCAAATGATTTATATTTAGAGTGAATGTAAATACTTTTTCTCTAAGACCTGTTGCCAATTTTTAAAATTATTCAATTCTTTCTGATTTTGCTACATAATGCTATAATTGCTTAACTTTTTTATCATAATAAGATATATATATATAACATGCAATTTACCATATCTAAATATACAGTTCAGTGGCGTTAAATACATTCACATTGTTGTGCAACCACCACCACTATCCATTTCCAGATCTTTTTCATCAACTGAAACTTGATACCCATGAAACAGTAACTCTCCATTCTTCACTCTCTCCAGCTGCTGGTTCTGCCTATATGAATCTGACTATTCCCAGTTGAACCATACAATATTTGTCCTTTTCTATCTGGCTTATTTCACTTAGCATAATGCCTTCAAAGTTCACCTGTGTTGTAGCATGTGTCAAAATTTCTTTTTCTTTCTTTTTTTTTTTTGAGACAGAGTCTTTCTCTGTTGCCCAGGCTAGAGTGCAGTGGCGTGATCTCGGCTCATTGCAACCTCTCCCTCCCTGGTTCAAGCAATTCTCCTGCCTCAGCCTCCCGAGTAGCTGGGATTACAGGCATGCGCCACCGCACTTGGCTAATTTTTGTATTTTTAGTAGAGATGGGTTTCACCATGTTGGCCAGGCTGGTCTTGAACTCCTGACCCCAGGTGATCCACCTGCCTCAGCCTCCCAAAGTGCTGGGATTACAGGTGTGAGCCACTGTGCCTGGCCTCATTTTTTAATTTTTTGTAGAGATGGGGTTTTTGCTATGTTGCCCAGGCTGTTCTTGAACTCCTGGCCTCAAGTGATGCACCCACCCTGGCCTCCCAAAGTGCTGGGATTACAGGCGGGAGCCAACGTGCCTGGCCCAGAATTTGTTCAGGCTGAATAATATTTTCTTTTTGTGTATACTGTATTTTGCTTACCCATTCATTCATCAATTGACCTGAGTTGTTTCTGTTTTTGGCTATTGTGAATAATGCTGCTGTGATCATGGGTATGCAAATATCTATTAGAGTCCCTGCTTTCAATTCAGAAGTAGAATTGCTGGATCATATGATAATTCTATGTTTAATTTTTTTTTTTTTTTTTTTTGAGACAGAGTCTCGCTGTGTTTCCCAGGCTGGAGTGCAGTGACTCAATCTCGGCTCACTGCAAGCTCCGCCCCCCCGGTTCATGCCATTCTCCTGCCTCAGCCTCCCGAGTAGCTGGGACTACAGGCACCCGCCACCACGCCCAGCTAACTTTTTGTATTTTTAGTAGAGACGGGGTTTCACCATGTTAGCCAGGAAGGTCTTGATCTCCTGACCTCGTGATTCGCCCGCCTCAGCCTCCCAAAGTGCTGGGATTACAGGCGTGAGCCACCACGCCCGGCCTCTATGTTTAATTTTTTTGAGGAACTGCCATACCATTTTCCACAGAGGCTGTACCATTTTATATTCCCACTAGCAAGGAGCCAGAGTTTCTGGTTCTTCCGCATCTTCACCAACACACATTGTTTTCTGTTTTTCTTCTTTTTTTTAAAATGGATGTGAAATGGTATCTGATGCTGGATTTGATTTGCATTTCCCTAATTATAAGTGAAGTTCAGCATTGTTTCATGTGCTTATTGACTATATGGACATCTTCTTTGGAGAAATATCTGTTCTTTGCCTGTTTTTGAATTGAGTTGCTTGATTTTTGTTGTTTAGTTTTAGGAGTTCTTTATATATTCTGAATATTAACCCCTTATCAGACATGTGATTTGCAAACACTTCTCGCCCATTCTGTAGGGTTGCCTTTTTACTCTATTGCTAGTGTCCTTTGATGCACAAAAGTTTTTAATTTTGTAGTCCAATTGATCTATTTTTTCATTTGTTGCCTGTGTTTTTTTGTGTCATATCCAAGAATTCATCACCAACTGGCATCATCACCAACTGGCATCATGAAGGTTTTCCTCTAAGAGTTGTATAGTTTTAGCTCTTAGGTTTAGGTCTGATCCATTTTGAATTAATTTTTTTGTACAATATAGTGTTTAACTTTTTTTTTTTTTTTTTTTTTTGAGATGGAGTCTCACTCTGTCGCCAGGTTGGAGTGCAGTGGCACAATCTCAAGGCTCACTGCAACCTCCGCCTCCCGGGTTCAGGCAATTCTCCTGCCTCAGCCTCCCGAGTAGCTGGGACTACAGGCGAGCGTCACCACACCCAGCTAATTTCTGTACTTTTAGTAGAGACGGGGTTTCACCATGTTGGCCAGAATGGTCTCAATCTCTTGACCTCGTGATCTGCCGCCTCGGCCTCCCAAAGTGCTGGGATTACAGGCGTGAGCCACCGCGCCCAGCCTAGTGTTTAACTTTTAAATACTCATGTAATAATTTTGTCTTTTGTATTATGAATATCTCATAGTTCTCTTGTCAGTTGCTTTAGTGATCATATTTGACTTTGGCTATTAGTATCAGGTAGTAATGATTGATT
The DNA here is from genome assembly GCF_000001405.40 of Homo sapiens. Lineage (NCBI taxonomy): Eukaryota > Metazoa > Chordata > Mammalia > Primates > Hominidae > Homo > Homo sapiens. The sequence continues at coordinate 156,887,051 of NC_000007.14, read as the reverse complement.
TCCTTTCTTTTGAGAGCTAGCTATGAAATCCTAAGGCTGCCAGCTAACTGAGTATACCCTCTCTTGGCTAAGGGGACCCCAGGAAACCTTAAAAACTGAATTCCCAACCAGAATGGGATGGGACATCTGACACGCCTCAGTATACCCCCTCCCTTTTGAGGTTTAAACACAGCTGACCAGCATTAATGTTAAAATAGAGATCTGAAGACTGAGAGAACAGACTCTTTGTGGCAATAAAATACCCAACTGTGAACAAAATGTAGGGCCATGCCAGGCAAGGGTTAAGTAAAGCATCCCCTTAAAGAATAAACTGGTTCTAACTGCCTCAAGGTGTTTCTTTTTTTCTAGCGGCTAAACAAGCACTGGCCTCCAGATAAGCAATATTAAGATAACTGCAGCTCACTCACTGCCAGACCCTAAGTGATCCCCACTCTCCTGTTCCACAAGCCATAACTATAGCTTTGATTGGACAAGAGACTGATTTCAGTAACTTTCTCCTGATAAGAGCACTGAGCATGAACTGGTTCTGGCCAGTTTACAGAGGCTGTGCACTTCAGTGCCTTCATGTCCCTGCTTCGCCATCTGACTACAGGGCCTCATTGTAATCCTTTTAGATGTTAAGTCTCCACCCACAAGTGAATATGGATAAGTATGTAACATACATGTTTATTCAGCCTGCATGTGCATGACCTCCCCCACTTTGTGAATATTCATAGCTCCTCCTATAACCTGTTAAATATATAAACTTGGCCAACCCGTTCAGCATAAATCCCTGTTCTATCCTCCCTTGAAGGTCTGTTTCTGTGCTCTGCGGGAGGATGCTTCCCAGCTATCAGGATTGCCACCTTGTAGGCTGTGACTCTTTACAAAATTATTTTTGAGGCAGAGTGTGGTTCCGTCACTCAGGCTGGAATGCTGTGGCACAAACACGGCTTACTGTAGCCTCTATCTCCCAGGCTCAAGAGATCTTCCTACTTGAAGGAAGTCTTTTTTTTTTTTTTTTTCTTTTTTTGAGGCAGAGTCTCACTCTGTCACCCAGGCTGGAGTGCAGTGGCACTATCTCAGCTCACTGCAACCTCTACCTCCTGGGTTCAAGCAATTCTTGTGCCTCAGCCTCTTGAGTAGCTGGGATTACAGGTGCCACCACCATGCCTGGCTAATTTTATTTATTTATTTATGATATGGAGTCTCTGTCACCCAGCCTGGAGTGCAGTGGCACAATCTCGGCTCACGATAACCTCTGCTTCCCGGGTTCAAGTGATTCTCCTGCCTCAGCCTCCCAGTAGCTGGGATTATAGGTGCCTGCCACCATGCCCGGCTAATGTTTTTGAATTTTTAGTAGAGGCAGGGTTTTACCATGTTGGCCAGGCTAGTCTCAAACTCCTGACCTCAAGTGATCCTCCTGCCTTGGCCTCCCAAAGTGCTGGGATTACAGGTGTGAGTCAATGCGTCTGGCCATTTTTGTATGGACGGGTTATTTCCGTGTTACCCAGACTGGTCTTGAACTCTCCTGGCCTCAAGTAATCCTCCTGCCTCAGCTTCCCAAAGTGCTAGAATTAGAGGTGTGAGCCACCATGCCTGGCCTGGCTGCGCAATCTAAATTCTTCCTTATCCTGGGTATGGCTTAAGCTCCCCTCTTGGCTAGAATATTTTTGGAACCAAGTCTGGGGTTGACTGGGACTTTTTTTTTTTTTTCTTTTACACGGAGTCTCGCTCTGTCACCGAGGCTGGAATGCAGTGGAGCGATCCTGGCTCACTGCAACCTCCGCCTTCCAGATTCCAGTGATTATCCTGCCTCAGCCTCCCAAGTAGCTGGGATTACAGGCGCCTGCCACCATGCCTGGCTAATTTTTGTATTTTTAGTAGAGATGGGGTTTTGCCATGTTGGCCAAGCTGGTCTTGAACTCCTGACCTCAGGTGATCCGCCCCTGCCTCGGCCTCGCAAAGTGCTGGGATTACAGGCATGAGCCACCGTGCCCAGCCAGACTGGGACTTACACAACAGAGATTTTAGAACCTTCCCATTTAGTTGGCTCCTTTTAGGCCAAATGGGAGGTGGGGAGATAATGGGGATAGAAGTATCCTTCATCTACTGCCTCTCTAGATGAGTTTACCTGCTGTTTTCTACTGGTGTCTTGCCCTCAACTCTATGGCTTACCCTTTATGCAGGAGATAAAAAACTTTAGTCCTTCCCACTTGGGAATAGTGGTTGGGCAGAAGGTGGGAACCAATCACCAATCTTGTATGTAAGTTCAGAATGCAGTTATCTTGGAGTCTGTAGTCTTCTGACCTTTGTCATTGCCCTCCAGTGAAAGACCTCCAAGAGCACACCTGTAGTTGGACAAATTGGGCTTATTGCATATTTCAGTGAGTTCCATGGGGAACTGTGGGGTGTTTCAGTAACTTTTCAAATGGGATTTGGGCTTCTACTAGGTAGTTTGGGAAGGGTTTAAGGAAGTGAGGCTTTGATCTGTATGGGGTGCTGTTAGGAAGCTGGAAAAATTCTGTAACTGGATAGCTTAAGAAATCTTTTCTAGAAGGAAAGAAGACTGGAATAAAGCTAAAGCTGTAACTGGTAAAGAAGCAACAGTCATTCCTGTTAGCCAGGATAGAGAGTTGGTCATTTCTGTGATTTGGACAATGTTCATGTTTTTTTTTTTGCTTGTGTTCAGGAGTGATTACAGAGTGGTCTTGTTTAGTCTTTATCCATCATGGTCTTGTCTGATATTGATGTTCTCTGAAATTGTTGATGTTCAGCAGAAGAGTCAGTCATCAAGGCCTAGGTGTGTGCCTTGCTCTGAGTTGTTAGCCAGTTTACAGCAACACCAAGGCCCAGCTGTGATATTACCAGGCCAGCTCCCAGATGTCAGGGGCTGCATTTCTTTTTCTCACGTGGTTGTAAAGTCTTCTAGTGGAATGATGTATTAGAAACAAATCCAATAGCCAACATAAGTTGAAGTGATTTTCTAACATAGAAGAGCAAAAAGGAATGGGATAGAGGTATAGAGGTTTCATTTGTATTTGACTTTTCTAAACTGGGTTAAATCAGCTTCCCCTCTGCGGTAGGCAGCATAATGGCCCCTGAAGTTGGTAATCCATGTGGTAATCCCTGGAGCCTGTGGTGTGTTACTTTACATGGGTAAAGGGATTTTGCAGATGTGAGTATGTTAAAGGAGAATTACCCTGAATTATCCAGGTGGGCTCTATGTGGTCACAGGGTCCTTATAGGAGAGGCAGGAGGGTCAGAGTCAGAGGAGATGTGATGACAGAGGCAGAGTTGGAGTGATGCCCTTTGAGGAAGGAGGAGGGACCATGAGCCAAGGAGTGTGGGCGGCCTCCAGAAGCTAGAAACGTCAAGGAAATGAATTCTTTCCTAGAGTCTCCAGAAGGAAGCAACCTTGCTCACGCCTTGATTTTAGCCCAGTGAAACTCAATAAATTTGTGTTGTTTTAAGTCACAAAGTTTGTGTAATTTGGTTACAGCAGCCATAGGAGATTCCTACTCCTTCATCAGGAGGCTTTGACTTTCACTGCTGTCCCTGTATATCTTACCACTCCATAGTTGTGTACTTGAGGTTAAAGGAAACTGGGACATTCTAATTACATTTGAGATAATTTTTCATGTCTTCCTATTCTGTCCTCCTTTTTTTTTTCTGAGATGGAGTCTTGCTCTGTTGCCCAGGCTGGAGTGCAGTGACATGATCTTGGCTCACTGCAGCCTCCGCCTCCCGAGTTCAAGCAATTCTCCTGCCTCAGCCTCCCAAGTAGCTGGGATTACAGGTGTGCACCACCACACCTGGCTAATTTTTGTATTTTCAGTAGAGACAGGTTTCACCTGTTGGCCAGGGTGGTCTTGAACTCCAGACCTCAGGTGATCTGCCTGCCTTGGCTTCCCAAAGTGCTGGGATTACAGGTGTGAGCCACCATGCATGGCCCTGTCCTTCTTTTTTAAACTTGATTGTATTGCAGTAAGAATACCTAATGTGAGATCTACCCTCTTAACAAAAAATTTTTTTTTTCAGTCAGAGTCTCGTACTGTCTGTTGCCCAGGCTAGAGTGCAATAGCGTGATCTCGGCTCACTGCAACCTCCACCTCCCGGGTTCAAGTGATTCTCCTGCTTCAGCCTCCTGAGTAGCTGGGATTACAGGCGTCTGCCACCACGTCCAGCTAATTTATTGTATTTTTAGTAGAGACGGGGTTTCACTGTGTTGGCCAGCTAGTCTCGAACTCCTGACCTCGTGATCTGCCTGCCTCGGCCTCTCAGAGTACTGGGATTACAGGCGTGAGCCACTGCGCCCAGCCCCTCTTAAAGTTTTAAGTGTGCAATTATATTGTTGATTATAGGTACAATGTTGCACAGCAGATTTCTAGAGCTTACTCATTTTGCTTGACTGAAGCTTTATGCCCATTGATTAGTAACTTTCAATTTCCTTCCCTGTCCCTGCCCCTGAGAACCACCATTTACACTCTTTGAGTCTGTGAATTTGACCATTTTAGATACCTTATATAAGTGGGATCATGCAGTATTTGTCTTCTTGTGACTCTCTTTTTTTCACTTAGGTTAGTGTCCTCAAGATTCATCTATGTTGTTGCATTTTGCAGAATTTCCTTTTTTTCCCCCTTGAGATGGAGTCTCACTCTTTTTCCCAGGCTGGAATGTGGTGACTGCAGCCTTGACCTCCTGGGCTCAAATGATCCTCTCACCTCAGCCTCCTAAGTAGCTGGGACTACTGGCACCCACTGCCATGCCTGGCTAATTTTTTGTTTATTTTTTGTAGAGACGATGTCTCACTATGATGCCCAGGCTGGTCTCAAACTCCTGAGCTCAAGTGATCCTCCTGCCTTGGCCTCCCAAAGTGCTGGGATTATAGGCATGAGCCATCATACCTGGCTGAGTGTCCTTTTTTCAAATATTTTTAAAGGTGAATAGTATTCCATTGTATACCACATTTTCATTATCCATCCGTTAATAGACATTTAGGTTGTTTCCACATCTTTGCTATTGTGAATATTGCCTCAGTGGATATAGAAGTGCTAATATCTCTTTGAGATTGTGATGGTGATTCTTAGGATAAATACTCAGAAGGGAGATTGCTGAATCATACGGTAGTTTTGTTTTTAATTTTTTCAGGAACCCACATATTTTCCATAGCAGCTGCATCATTTTGCATTCTCACCAAGTGTGCAAGGGTTCCGATTTCTCTTCAGCCTTGTCAACACTTGTCGTCTTCTTTTTTTTTTTTTAATCATAGCCATCCTAACAGGTGTGAGGTGATATCTCATTGTGGTTTTGATTTACATTGCCCTGATAATTGGTGACATTGAGCATTTTTTCATATACATGTTGGCTGTTTGTATGTCTTTAGAGAAATGCTTTATTCAAGTCCTTAGCCTGTTTTTTAATCAAGTTACTAGTTGTTTTTACTTTCGTGCTGTGGGAGTTTCTTAGATATTTTGGATATTAACCCCTTTTCAGATATACAGTTTGTAGATATTTTCTCTCATTTCCATCACTATGTTGATTGTCTACTTTGCTGTACAGAAACTTTTTAGTTTTATGTATTCCCACTTACATATTTTTGTTGTTATTGCCTGTGCTATTGATGTTATATCCGTGAAATCATTGCCAAGGCCGGTGTTGTGAAGGCTTCCTTCGGTGTTTTTCTCTGAGAGTTTTATAGTTTCATGTTTTACATTTAAGTCTTTAATCCTTTGTAAGTTGATTTTTGTGTATGGTGTAAGAGAAGACTGCATTTTTTGAATGTGAATCTCCAGTTTTCCCAACACCATTTGTTGAGGACATTTTTCTTTCCCCGTTGTGTATTATTTGCAGCCTTGTGTAAGATCAGGTGACTGTACATAAATGGATTTATTTCTGGGCTCTCTGTTCTGTTCCGTTGTTCTATATATCTGTCTTTATGTCAGTACTATACTATTTTGATAACTAGCTTTGTGTAATAATATATTTTGAAATCAGGAGGTGTGATGCCACCAACTTTGTTCTTTCTCCAGATTAATTTGGCTATTTATAGTCTTTTGTCATTCCATAAGACTTTTAGAATTATTTTTTCTATTTCTGTTAAAAAAAAATGCCACTGGGGGTTGGGCGTGGTGGCTCATGCTTGAAGTCCCAGCACTTTGGGAAGCCGAGGCGGGTGGATTGCCTGAGGTCAGGAGTTTGAGACCAGCCTGGCTAACATGGTGAAACCTTGTCTCTACTAAAAATATAAAAATTAGCCGGGCGTGGTGGCGCATGCCTGTAATCCCAGCTACTCGGGAGGCTGAGGCAGGAGAATCACTTGAACCCAGGAGGCAGAGGTTGCAGTGAGCTGAGATTGTGTCACTGCACTCCATCCTTGGTGGCAGAGTGAGACTCCGTCTCAGAAAAAAAAATACCATTGGGATTTTGATAGGGATTGCATTGAGTCTGTAAATTGCTTGGGTATTATGGATATTTTGACAATATTAAATCTTCCAATCCATGAACATAGGGTGTCTTTCCCTTTGTCTGTGCCTTCTTTAATTTCTTTTTTTTTTATTTTTAAATTTTTTGTTTCCATAGGTTTTAGGGAAACAGGTAGTTTTTGGTTACATGAGTTAAGTTCTTTAGTGGTGACTTGTGAGCTTTTGGTGCACCCATCACACAAGCAGTATACACTGAATCCAGTTTGTAGTCTTTTATCCCTCACCCCTTTCCCACCCTTTCCCCCTGAGTCCCCAAAGTCCATGTGTCATTCTTATGCCTTTGCATCATCGTAGCTTAGTTCCCACTTATGAGTGAGAACATGCGATGTTTGGTTTTCCATTCCTAGGTTAATTCACTTAGAATAATAGTCTCCAATCCCATCCAGGTTGTTGTGAATGCCATTATTTCATTCCTTTTTATGGCTGGGTAGTATTCCATAGTTACATATACCACAGTTTCTATATCCACTTGTTAATTGATGGGCATTTGTGTTGGTTCCACATTTTTGCAACTGCACATTGTGCTGCTATAAACGTGTATGCAAGTATCTTTTTTGTATAATGACTTCTTTTCCTCTGGGTAGATACCCAGTAGTGGTATTGCTGGATCAAATGATAGTTCTACTTTTAGTTCTTTAACAAATCTCCACACTGTTTTCCATAGTGGTTGTACCAGTTTACATTCCCACCAGCAGTGTAGAAGTGTTCCCTTTTCACTGCATCCATACCAACATCTATTATTTTTTGTTTGTGATTACAGCCATTCTTGCAGGAGTAAGGTGGTATCACATTGTGGTTTTGATTTGCTTTTCCCTGATCATTAGTAATGTTGAGCATTTTTTCATAGGTTTGTTGGCTATTTGTATATCTTCTTTTGGGAATTGTTTGTTTATGTCCTTAGCCCACTTTTTTTTTTTTTTTTTTGAGACAGAGTCTCGCTCTGTCACCCAGGCTGGAGTGCAGTGGTGCGATCTTGGCTCACTGCAAGCTCCACCTCTCGGGTTCACGCCATTCTCCTGCCTCAGCCCTCCGAGTAGCTGGGACTACAGGCACCTGCCACCACGCCTGGCTAATTTTTTGTGTTTTTAGTAGAGACGGGGTTTCACCATGTTAGCCAGGATGGTCTCGATCTCCTGACCTCGGGATCTGCTCGCCTCGGCCTCCCAAAGTGCTGGGATTACAGGCGTGAGCCACCGTGCCCGGCCAGTTAGCCCACTTTTTGATGGGATTGTTTGTTTTTCTCTTGCTAATTTGAGTCCATTGTGGATTCTGGATATCAGTCCTTTGTCAGATGTATAGATTGTGAAGATTTTCTCCCACTCTGTGGGTTTTCTGTTTACTCTGCTGACTGTTCCTTTTGCCATGCAAAAGCTCTTTAGTTTAATTAAGTCTCAGCTGTTTATCTTTGTTTTTCTTGCATTTGCTTTTGGATTCTTAGTTACAAAATCTTTTCCTAAGCCAGTGTCTAGAAGGGTTTTTCTGATATTATTTTCTAGAATTTTTATAGTTTCAGGTCTTAGATTTAAGTCCTTGATCCATCTTGAGTTGATTTTTATATAAGGTGAGAGATGAGGATCCAGTTTCATTCTCCTACATGTGGCTTGCCAAGTATCTCAGCACTATTTGTTGGTGTCGTTTCCCCACTTTATGTTTTTGTTTGCTTTGTTAAAGATCAGTTGGCTGTATTTGGGTTTATTTCTGGGTTCTCCATTCTGTTCCGTTGGTCTGTGTGCCTATTTTTATACTAGTACCATGCTGTTTCGGAGACTACGGCCTTATAGTATAGTTTGAAATCAGGTAATGTGATACCTCCAGATTTGTTCTTTTTGCTTAGACTTGTTTTGGCTACGCGGGCTCTTTTTTGGTTCCATATGAATTTTAGGATTGTTTTTACTAGTTCTGTGAAGAATGATGGTGGTATTTTGATGGGAATTGTGTTGAATTTGTAGATTGCTTTTGGCAGTATGGTCATTTTCACAATATTGATTCTACCCATCCATGAGCTTGGGATGTGTTTCCATTTGTTTGTGTCATCTATGATTTCAGCAGTATTTTGTAGTTTTCCTTGTAGAGGCCTTTTACCTTCTTGGTTAGGTATATTCCTAAGTGTTTTATTTATTTGTTTTTTTGCAGCTGTTGTAAAAGGGGTTGAGTTCTTGATTTGATTCTCAGCTTGGTCACTGTTGATGTATAGGAGAGCTACTGATTTGTGTACATTAATTTTGTATCCTGAAACTGCTGAATTCATTTATCAGTTTTAGGAGCTACTTGGAGGAGTCTTTAGGGTTTTCTAGGTATACATTCATATCATCAGCAAACAGCAACAGTTTGATTTCCTCTTTACCAATTTGGATGCCCTTTATTTCTTTCTCTTGTCTGATTGCTGTGGCTAGGACTTCCAGTACTATGTTGAATAGAAGTGGTGAGAGTGGGCATCCTTTTCTTGTTCTAGTTCTCAGAGGGAATGCTTTCAACTTCTCTCCATTCAGTATTATATTGGCTGTGGGTTTGTCATAGATGGCTTTTATTACATTGAGATATGTCCCTTGTATGTAGATTTTGCTAAGGGTTTTAATTATAAAGTGATGCTGGATTTTGTTAAATGCTTTTTCTGTGTCTATTTAGATGATCATGTGATTTTTGTTTTTAATTCTGTTCGTGTGGTGTATCACATTTATTGACTTGCGTATTTTTTTTTTTTTTTTTGAGTGGAGTCTCGCTCTGTCGCCCAGGCTGGAGTGCAGTGGCGCGATCTCTGCTCACTGCAAGCTCCGCCTCCCGGGTTCACGCCATTCTCCTGCTTCAGCCTCCCGAGTAGCTGGGACTACAGGCGCCTGCCACCGCGCCCAGCTAATTTTTTGTATTTTTAGTAGAGACGGGGTTTCATCGTGTTAGCCAGAATGGTCTCGATCTCCTGACCTCGTGATCCGCCCACCTCGGCCTCCCAACGTGCTGGGATTACAGGCATGAGCCACCGCGCCCGGCCGACTTGCGTATGTTAAACCATCCCTGCATCTGTGGTATGAAACCCACTTGATCATGGTGTTACCTTTTTGATATGTTTTTGGATTCGGTTAGCTAGTATTTTGTTAAGGATTTTAGCATCTGTCTTCATCAAGGATATTGGTCTGTAGTTTGTTTTATTGGTCATGTCCTTTCCTGGTTTGGTATTAGGATGATACTGGCTTCATAGAATGATTTAGGGAGGATTTTCTCTTTATCTTGTGGAATAGTGTCGATAGGATTGGTACCAATTCTTCTTTGTCTGGTAGAATTCAGCTATAAATCCATCTGGTCCTGGACTTTTTTTTTTTGGTAATTTTTAAAATTACCATTTTAATCTTGCTGCTTGTTACTGGTCTATTTGGGGTACCTAATTCTTCCTGATTTAAGCTAGGAGGGTTGTATCTTTCCAGGAATTTATTCATCTCTTCTAGGTTTTCTAGTTTATGTGTCTAAAGGTGTTTATAATAGCCTCGAATCCTCTCTTATTTTCTTGGTTAATCTTGCTAATGGTGTATCAGTTTTATTTATCTTTTCGAAGAACTAGCTTTTTGTTTCATTTTTCTTTTGTATTTTTTTTGTTTGTTTGTTTCAGTTTCATTTAGTTCTGCTCTGATCTTGGCTATTTCTTTCTTCTGCTGGGTTTGGGTTTGGTTTGTTCTTGTTTCTCTAGTTCCTTGAGGTGTGACCTTAGATTGTCTATTTGTGCTCTTTCAGACTTTTTGATGTAAGCATTTAGGGCTATGAACTTTCCTCTTAGCACCGCCTTTGCTGTCTCCCAGAGGTTTTGATAGGTTGTGTCACTATTATCATTTGGTTTGAAGAATTTTAAAATTTCCATCTTGATTTCATTGTTGACCCAATGATCACTCAGGAGCAGGTTATTTAATTTCCATGTATTTGTCTGGTTTTGAAGGTTCTTTTTGGAGTTGATTTCTAGTTTTATTCCACTGTGGTCAGGGAGAGTACTTGGTATAATTTCAATTTTCTTAAATTTATTAAGACTTGTTTTGTGTCCTATCATACGGTCTGTCTTGGAGAAAGTTCCATGCTCTGATGAATAGAATATATATTCAGCGGTTGTTGGGTAGAATGTTCTGTAAATATCTGTTAAGTCCATTTGTTCCAGGGTATAGTTTAAATCCATTGTTTCTTTGTTGACTTTCTGTCTTGATGACCTGTTTAGTGCTGTCAGTGGAGTACTGAAATACCCCACTATTATTGTGTTGCTGTCTGTCTTATTTCTTAGGTCTAGTGGTAATTGTTTTGTAAATTTGGGAGCTCCAGTGTTAGGTGCATATATATTTATGATTGTGATACTTTCCTTTTGGACAAGGCCTTTTATCATTATATAATGTCCCTCTTTGTCTTTTTTAACTGCTCTTGCTTTGAAGTCTGTTTTGTCTGATATAAGAATAGCTACTACTGCTCACTTCTGGTGTCCATTTGCATGGAATGTCTTTTTCCACCTTTACCTTAAGTTTATGTGAGTCCTTATGTGTTAGGTGAGTCTCTTGAAGGCAGCAGATAGTTGGTGAATTCTTATCCATTCCGCAATTCTGTATCTTTTAAGTGGAGCATTTAGGCCATTTACATCCAATGTTAATATTGAGATTTGAGGTACTATTCCATTCATCGTGCTATTGGTTGCCTATATACCTTGTTTTTTTTTTTTTTTAATTGTATTTTTGTTTTATATGCCCTGTGAGAATTATGCTTTAAAGAGGTTCTGTTTTAATGTGTTTCCAGGATTTGTTTCAAGATTTACAGCTACTTTAGCAGTTCTGGTAGTTCTGGCTTGGTAGTGGCAAATTCTCTCAGCATTTGTTTGTCTGAAAAAGACTGTATCTTTCCTTCATTTATGAAGCATAGTTTCACTGGATACAAAATTTTTGGCTGATAATTGTTTTGTTTAAGGAGGCTGAAGATAGGGCCCCAGTCCCTTCTAGCTTGTAGGGTTTCTGCTGAGAAATCTGCAGTTACTCTGGTTTTTCTTTGTAGGTTACCTGGTGCTTTTGCCTCACAGCTCTTAACATTCTTTCCTTCATCTTGACTTTTGATAAGTTGATGACAATGTGCCTAGGAGATGATCTTTTTACGATTAATTTCCCAAGTGTTCTTTGAGCTTCTTGTATTTGGACGTCTAGGTCTCTAGCAAGGCCCGGGAAATTTTCCTCAGTTATTCCTCCAAATATGTTTTCCAAACTTTTAGATTTCTCTCCTTCCTCAGGAATGGCAGTTATTCTTAGATTTGGTCACTTAACGTAATCCCAAACTTCTTGGAGGCGTTGTTCATTTTTTCTTACTTTTTTCTTTCTCTTATTCATTTTTCTTTGTCTTTGTTGGCTTGGGTTAATTCAAAAAGCTTCTCTTCAAGGTCTGAAGTTCTTTCTTCTGCTTATTTGAGTCTATTGCTGAGACTTTCCAGAAAATTTTGCATTTCTCTAAGTGTGTCCTTTATTTCCTGAAGCTTTGATTGTTTTTTATTTATGCTGTCTGTTTCACTGAAGATTTCTTTCCTCATTTCTTGTATCATTTTTTTGATTGTCTTAAATTGGACTTCACCTTTCTCTGGTACCTCCTTGATTAGCTTAATAACTGATCTTCTGAATTATTTTTCAGGTAAATCAGGGATTTCTTCTTGGTTTGGATCCATTGCTGGTTAGCCAGTGTGATATTTTTTGGAGGTGTTAAAAAACTTTTTCTTTGTCGTATTAATGGAATTGTTTTTCTGGTTCCTTTTCATTTGGGTAGGCTATGTCAGAGGGAAGGTCTAGGGCTCAAGGCTGCTGTACAGATTCTTTTGTCTCCCGGGGTGTTCCACAGATGTAGTACTCTCCCCCTTTTTCTAAGGATGTGGCTTCCTGAGGGCCGAGCTGCAGTGATTGTTATCTCTCTTTTGGATGTAGCCACTCAGGAGGTCTACCAGGCAGGGCTGGTACTGGGGTTGTCTGCACAGAGTCCTGTGATGTGAACCGTCTGCAGGTCTCTCAGCTGTCGATAACTGCACAGCATTTGTGAGAGGTGACAGTGTGCTGGCGGTCCTCGGGGCCCTCGCTTGCTCTTGGCGCCTCCCCTGCCTGGGCTCCCACTTTGGTGGCATTTGAGGAGCCCTTCGGCCCCCCGCTGCACTGTGGGAGCCCCTTTCTGGGTGGGCCGAGGCTGGAGCCCACTCCCTCGCTTGCGGGGAGGTGTGGAGGGAGAGGCACGAGCGGGAGCCGGGGCTGCGTGTGGCGCTTGCGGGCCAGCTGGAGTTCCGGGTGGGCGTGGGCTTGGTGGGCCCCGCACTCGGAGCAGCCAGCCGGCCCTGCTGGCCCCGGGCAATGAGGGACTTAGCACCCAGGCCAGTGGCTGCGGAGGGTGTGCTGGGTCTCCAGCGGTGCCGGCCCACTGGCGCTGTGCTCAATTTCTTGTCCGGCCTTAGCTGCCTTCCCGCGGGTGGGGCTCGGGACCTGCAGCCCACCATGCCTGAGCCTCCCACCCACTCCATGGGCTCCTGTGCGGCCTGAGCCTCCCCGACGAGCACCACCCCCTGCTCCACGGCGCCCAGTCCCATCGACCACCCAAGGGCTGAGGAGTACGAGCGCATGGCGCGGGACTGGCAGGCAGCTCCACCTGCAGCCCTAGTGCGGAATCCACTGGGTGAAGCCAGCTGGGCTCCTGAGTCTGGTGGGGATGTGGAGAGTCTTTATGTCTAGCTCAGGGATTGTAAATACACCAGTCAGCACCCTGTGTTTAGCTCAAGGTTTGTGAGTGCACCAATCGACACTCTGTATCTAGCTGCTCTGGTGGGGCCTTGGAGAACCTTTATGTCTAGCTCAGGGATTGTAAATACACCAATCAGCACCCTGTGTTTAGCTCAAGGTTTGTGAATGCACCAATCGACACTCTGTATCTAGCTGCTCTGGTGGGGCCTTGGAGAACCTGTGTGTGGAAACTCTGTATCTAACTAATCTGATGGGGACGTGGAGAACCTTTGTATCTAGCTCAGGGATTGTAAACGCACCAATCAGCACCCTGACAAAACAGGCCACTGGGCTCTACGAATCAGCAGGATGTGGGTGGGGCCAGATAAGAGAATAAAAGCAGGCTGCCCGAGCCAGCATTGGCAACCCGCTCGGGTCACCTTCCACACTGTGGAAGCTTTGTTCTTTCGCTCTTTGCAATAAATCTTGCTACTGCTAACTCTTTGGGTCCACGCTGCTTTTATGAGCTGTAACACTCACCGCGAAGATCTGCAGCTTCACTCCTGAGCCCAGCGAGACCAGGAGCCCACCGGGAGGAATGAACAACTCCAGACGCGCTGCCTTAAGAGCTGTAACACTCACCGCGAAGGTCTGCAGCTTCACTCCTGAGCCAGCGAGACCACGAACCCACCAGAAGGAAGAAACTCTGAACACATCTGAACATCAGAAGGGACAGACTCCAGACGCGCCACCTTAAGAGCTGTAACACTCACCGCAAGAGTCCGCGGCTTCATTCTTGAAGTCAGTGAGACCAAGAACCCACTAATTCCGGACACATTTTGGCGACCACGAAGGGACAGACTCCAGACGTGCCAACGCGCCACCTTAAGAGCTGTAACACTCACCGTGAGGGTCCGCGGCTTCATTCTTGAAGTCAGTGAGACCAAGAACCCACCAATTCCGGACACATTTGGACTGCCTCCTGGGTCCTGCAGGAGCAATCTGCTTCTTTCAGAGCGTCTTTCGGTTCTCTAGGCTTTCCTGCAGTAGTTCCGGAGCAAAGGTTCACGATGTGAGTCTCCACACACTACTCTGTCTGAGTGGGAGCTGCAATCTAGTCCTGCCTCCCATCTGCCGTTTTTCCTCCAAATGTAGCTTTCTTTAATTTCTTTCATCAATGTTTTATGGTTTTCAGGATACAGGTCTTTCACCTCCTTAATTAAGTTTATTCTTAGGTTGTTTTTTTTTTTTGAGACGGAGTTTTGCTCTTGTTACCCAGGCTGGAGTCCAATGATGCGATCTCGGCTCACTGCAGCCTCCGCCTCCCTGGTTCAAGCGATTCTTCTGCCTCAGCCTCCCAAGTAGCTGGGATTATAGGCATGCGCCACCACGCCCAGCTAAATTTTTATTTTTAGTAGAGATGGGGTTTCTCCACGTTGGTCTGGGTGGTCTCGAACTCCTGACCTCAGGTGATCCGTCTGCTTGGGCCTCCCAAAGTGCTGGGATTACAGGCATGAGCTACCATGCCTGGCCTATTCTTAGGTATTTTCTTCTTTTTTTGTGCTATTGTAAATGAGATTGTTTTACTAATTTCCTTTTTAGATAGTTTATTAGTGGATGTTGATTTTTCTATCCTGCAACTTTATTGAATTTATTAGTTTTTTTTTCTTTATAATTCAGTCTCCATGGAGACTGTCAAAAATTGCCAGTGCTCACTGCATTACAAGTCATCATGGCAGGGTATCAGGAAAAGTTTTCCATCAGCAGTAATCACACCTCAGATAAACCTGACTGGCTACGATACTGCCAGTGTTCAAAGCTAAATTTATTGGTTCTAACAGTTTTAAAAAACTGTTAAATGGTTTTTTATATCTAAGATTATGTCTTATGCAAATGGACAGTTTTACCTCTTCCTTTCCGATTTGAATGCGTTTTATTTCTTTTTCTTGCCTAATTGCTTTAGGTAGGACTTCTAGTACTATGTTGAATAAAAGTAAGTAAGAGTGGACATCTCTGCCTTGTGCCTGATCTCAGTGGGAAACCTTTCAGTTTTTCACAATTAAGTAGGATAGCTGTGGGCTTTTCATATATGGCCTTTATTACATTGAGATAATTTCCATTTGTTTGTAGTTTGTTGACAGTTTTTACCATGAAAGGGTGCTGAATTTTTCAGGTGATTTTTCTGCCTATTGAGATGATCATAGGATTGTTATCTTTTTATTTTGTTATTGTGGTGTACCACAGTAACTGATTTTCATATATTGAACCATTCTTGCATCCTAGGCATAAATCCCACTTAGTCATGGTTTATGATCCTTTTAATGTGCTGTTGGATTCAGTGAGCAACTATTTCATTGAGGATTTTCGTATCTGTATTCTTCAGGGATATTGTCCTGTTGTTTTCTCTTCTTATGGCTTCTTTGTCTGGCTTTGGTATCAGGGAAATGCTGGCTTTGTAAAATGTGTTTGAAAGTGTTCTCTCCACCTCAGTTTTTTGAAGGAGTTTGAGACAGATTGGTGCTAATTGCTCCTTAAGTGTTTGGTAGCATTCATCAATGAAACCATCTGGTCCTGGGCTTTTCTCTTTTGGGAGGTTTTTGATTACTGATTCAGTCTGCATACTTCTTATAGGTTTGTTCAGACTTTCTACTTCTTCATGATTTAGTCTTGTTGGTAGGGTGTTATGTTTCTAGGAATTTATTCATTTCTTCTAGATTATCCAGTTTGTTGGCATATGGCTGTTTTTAGTAGTCTCATGATCCTTTTTATTTTGGAGGCATCAGTTGTAATGTCTCTTTCCTTTCTTATTTGAGTCTTCTCTTTTTTTCTTAGTCTAGCTAAGGGTTTTTCAGTTTTAAATCTTTTCAAAAAACCAACTCTTAGTTTTGTTGTTTTTTCCCTATTTTTCTATTTTTTATTTTATTTATTTCTGCTCTAATCTTTGTTACTTCTTCCTTCTGGCAACTTTGGGCTTAGTTTTCTAGTTCCTTGAGCTGTAAAGTGAGGTTATTTGAGACTTTTCTTGTTTTTAATGTCAGCATTTATTGTTATGAGCTTCATTCTTACTGCTGCTTTTGTTTCATCCCATAAGTTTTGGTATATTGTGTTTTTGTTATTTGTCTTGAGATTTTTTTTTTTTTTTGTGACAGAGTCTCGCTCTGTCGCCCAGGTTGTGCCGCGATCTCGGCTCACTGCAAGCTCTGCCTCCTGGGTTCACACCAGTCTCCTGCCTCAGCCTCCCGAGTAGCTGGGATTACAGGCGCCTGCTGCCACGCCTGGCTAATTTTTTGTATTTTTAGTAGAGATGGGGTTTCACCGTGTTAGCCAGGGTGGTCTCGATCTCCTGACCTCATGATCCACCTGCCCTGGCCTCCCAAAGTGCTGGGATTACAGGCGTGAGCCACTGCGCCCGGCATCTTGAGATATTTTCTAATTTCCTTTTTTTCTTTTTCAATCCAGTGGGTGTTCAGAATGTGGTGTTTACTTTTCATGTATTTGTAAATTTTTCAGTTTTCATTCTTTTATAGTCAGAAAATACACTTAGTATGATTTCAGCCTTCTTAAATTTGCTAAGGCTTGTTTTGTTACCTATCTTGTGTTCTCTCCTGGAGAAGTATTCCTGTTTGCTTGAGAAGAATGTGTAGTTTGCTGCCATTGAGGAGAATGTTCTGTATATATCATTAGATTCATTTGGTCTACAGTGTTATTGAAGTCTTCTGTTTTCTTATTGATCTTCTGTCTGGATGTTTTGTTCAGTATTGAAAATGGGGTATTGAAGTCTCCAATCGTTATTCTACCGTTTATTTCTCCCTTTAGTTCTGTCAGTGTTTGCTTTATATATTTATGTACTCTGATGTTGGTTGCATGTATACTTATAATTGTCATATCTCCCTGGTGGATTGATCCTTTTATCATTGTCAAATGTCTTTTATTTAAATTTTGTTTTTTTCTTTTATTTCTGTCCTTTGTAAACAAAAACTTGTCCTTTTTTATAATGAGAAATGATGAATGTCTTGTGTTTCATGTGACGGTTTTTCCCAATGTAAGTATAGCTATCTCTGCTCTTTCTTGATTACTATTTGCATGGAATATCTAATTATCTCTTTACTTTCAGCCTATGTGTGTCCTTAAATCTGAAGAGAGTTTCTTGTAATAGCATATAGTTGGATCTTTTTTGTTTTTAAATCTATTCAGGCTTTTACTAGAGTTTAATCTATTTACATTTAAAGTGATTATTGATAGGGAAGAATTTTACTACTGCCATTTTGTTGTTTTTTGTTAGTCTTATAGTTTTTTTGGTTGTCTTACCCTTTCTTGCTGTCTACCTTTGGGTTTTGCTGATTTTTTGTATTTGTAGGCTTTGATTATTTTCTGTTTTTTCCTTTGGGTAACTTCTGTAGGTATTTTATGTTCTTTCCTTCTTAAATTACAGTTGAAAGTATATCACCTGAGAGGTTAGACATCCAAAGGATGTTCTGGTCTTGCAGCATGATTTCTGGTGTTAGTCTTCCTTTTGTTTCCAAGCAAAAGTTATGCAATAAGACAGAATATAAAGTCTCCGAGAGCCTTAAGCTTTTTTTTTCTTCTTCACGTCTGTAGTAGATATTTGTAGATACTAATTCTTGATGATCTTAGGGTTTTGAATATTATATCCAAATATAATAGTACAGGTTAATTTCCTGAACACCTTGGTAGTAAGATAATTTAAGAAACTTAAGGCATGATGGGAAAAATAGACATGAGAGTCTGATGTTCAGAATTTATCTTTGAAAGCCCTTAGAAATGTTTTAACACTTAATAAAATAATTTTTAGAAAGAACACCACGTAAAGAAAATATGTTCTGATTTTACACTGTTAATATCTATTAATAGCATGATTTTTAACATTTATCTTTATATTGTGCAATGCCAGTTTTTACTTTTTATTGTTTTTCGAGACAGGGTCTTACTTTGTTACCCAGGCTGGAGTGCAGTGGTGCGATCATGGCTCACTGCAGCCTTGACCTACCGGGCTCAGGTGATCTTCCCACCTCGCCTCTCAAGTAGCTGAGACTACAGGCTTGCACTACCATGCCTGGCTAAGTTTTATATTTTTTGTAGAGATGGGGTTTCACCATGTTGCCCAGGCTGGTCTTGAACTCCTGGGCTCAAGCTATCTGCCCACGTTGGCTTCCCAAAGTGTTGGGATTACAGGTGTGAGCCACCTCACCTAGCCACTGCAAGCCTTTTTTTTTTTGAGATGGCATCTTGCTCTGTTGCCCAAGCTGGAGGGCAGTGGCACCATCTAGGCTCACTGCAACCTCCGCCTCCAAGGTTCAAGCAATTCTCCTGACTCAGCATTAGATTATAGGTGCATGCCATCACACCTGACTAATTTTCGTATTTTTAGGAGACACAAGGTTTCACCACGTTGGTCAGGCTGGTCTTGAACTCCTGACCTTGTGATCTGCCCACCTCGGCCTCCCAAAGTGCTGGGATAACAGGCGTGAGCCACCGTGCCCGGCCTGCCACTTCAAGTCTTTAGAAGGTTTCCTTTCCTTAGCCAGGCATGGGGGTGTGTGCCTGTAATACCAGCTACTTGGGAAGCTAAGGCAGGAGAATTACTTGAACCCGGGAGGTGGAGGTTTCAGTGAGCCGAGATTGCACCCCTGCACTCCAGCCTGGGCGACAGAGTGAGACGTCGTCTCAAAAAAAAAAAAAAAAGAAAATCTCCTTTTCAAATTTATAGATCTATAGATCTCATGATTCTTTAGCTGACACTTTATTTCTTGTCTTTTTTCCCTTTTTCATTTGGACTTAAGGTGCACAGAATTGCATTAATCACAGTCCTTGGTTCATTTTTAAAACTTTTATTTTTATTAAAAAAATTTTCTTTCCACCATCCTTAGCCTCTAAAAGTCCTGGGATTACAGGAATGAGCCATGGCACCCAGCCTCAACTATTTTCTTTTTTTTTGAAACAGTTTTATTGATTTAATTCACATACCATATAATTTATCCAATTCGGTAGTTTTTAGCATATCCACAGACTTGGACAGCCATCACCACTGTCTAATCATAGAACATTTTCATTATCTCAGAGACAAACCCTATGTTCAGTAGCAGTCATCCCCTGTTGCACCCACATACTCCTTCCTCTAGCCCTAGGCCACCACTGATCTACTTTGCCTAGATTTGCCTATATAGATTTGTCTATTCTGGATATTTCTTACGTAAATTGATTCATGTAATATGTACTATTTTATATCTAGCTGCTTTCATTTAAGCATGATATTTTCAAAGTTTAGCCATGTTGTAGCATGTATCAGTACTTCATTGTCTTTTTATGGTCCAATAATATTCCATTACTTGGATATGTCACATATTGTTTATTCATCAGGTGATGGACCTTTGGGTTGTTTCCACTTTTTGGCTTTTATGAAAATGCTGCTGTGAACATTTGTGTAGTTTTTGGGTGGACATGTTTTCATTTCTTTTGAGCATATACCTAGGGGTGGACATGCTGCGTCATAAAGTAACTTTATATTTAATATTTTGAGGAACTGCCAACCTGTTTTCCAAAGTTGCTACATCATTTCACATTTCTACCACCAATGTTTGAGAATTCTAATTTCTTCACATCATTATCATCACTTGTCATTATGATTTTTGATTATAGCCATTCTAGTGGGTATGAAGTGGTATTTCATTGTCATTTTGATTTGCATTTTACTGATGACTAATGATGTTGAGCATCTTTTCATGTGCTTATCGGCTGTTGTGTATTTTCTTTGGAGAAATATCTCTTCAACTTCTTTGTCAATTTTTTGTTGGGTTATTTTTCTTTTTATTATTGAGTTGTAAGAATTCTTTATATAATTTGTGAAAGTCACCAATGCTGTGGTAGAGTCACTTACATCCGACCCAAACAAAGTGGAACCGGGAGGTCATGACGAAGGTCTCACGCTTGTATGTCTGAGATAAGAACTATCACAAGGATCTTCTAAAAACTCATAAGAGGCTGGGCGCAGTGGCTCATGCCTGTAATCCCAGCACTTTGGGAGGCCAAGGCGGGTGGATCATGAGGTCAGGAGTTCCAGACCAGCCTGGCCAAGATGGTGAAATCTCGTCTCTGCTAAAAATACAAAATTTAGCTGGGTGCAGTGGCGGGCGCCCATAATCTCAGCTACTCAGGAGGCTGAGGCAGGAGAATCTCTTGAACCTGGGAGGCAGGTTGCAGTGAGCCAAGTTTGCGCCACTGCACTCTAGCCTGGGTGATGGAGCAAGACTATGTCTCATTAAAAAAAAAAAAAAATCCCCAGAAAAAACTCATAAGAAATTCCTGTATGTCCTACATGTCTTAGTCATCCTGCATATTCTGCACACATCTGTAACAGGGTTTATTGCAAGAAATTCCTCATGGATTTCAGCATTCTAGATAAGCCGCTCTCACAAGACGAACATTTGCATAGCAATGGCTGTCTCCAACAATGAATTAGCACCAGCATCTACAACTGGCCCCTGTAACTAATGATTTTTGTTTCAAAATAGCTTACGTAGACCTCTCCTCTTTGCCTTTAAAAGTTTCACCTTACTTCATCCTATCTGTATATGCCTTTGATCTGTTATAGCAAACATATCCTGGATTGCAATCGCCTGTCACTCCCAAATAAAATTTTCTTTTGGAGAGTTTCGTTGTCACTATTTTAGGTTGACATAATCTAGACATAAGACCCCTATCAGACATATGACTTCCAAGTATTTTCTATTCTATGGGTCATCTTTTTACTTTCTTGATTGTAGGACAAAAGTTAAATTTTGTTGACATTCAGTTTCTCTATTTTTTTTTTTTTTTGTCTTTTGAGATTTTAATGTCATATGCAAGAAGACCTTGCCAACTGTAAGTTCATGTAGATTTACTTCTATACCTTCTTCCAATAATTTTACAAGTTTAGCTCTTACATTTAGATCTATGTTCCATTTTCAGTTAATTATTGTGTATAATGTAAGAAGGGGTCCCATCTCCATTCTTTTGCATATGGATATCCAGTTGTTCCAGTACCATTTGTTAAAAAGGCTATTTCCCCCATACCCCCAACTGAATTATCTTGATACTCTTGTTGAAAATCAATTGACCATAAATGTAAGGGTTTGTTTTTAGACTCTTAGTTCTGTTCTTTTGGTCTCTATGTCTATTTTTATACTAGTACTACACTGTCTTGACAAGTGCAGCTTTGTAGTAAGTTTAAAATTGGGGAAGTGTGAGTCCTCCAGCTTTGCTCTTTTTTTCCACAGTTGTCTGATTTTTCTGGATTTGTTCCGTTTTCATGTGAATTTAGGATAAGCCTGTCAATTTCTGTAAGAAAGTAGGAACTGGAATTTTGATAGCAATTATATTGAATATGTAGATCAATTTGGGAAGTGTTATCCCATCAATATTAAATTCTCCAATCCATGAACATGTGATGTCTTTCTATATTCAGAAATTCTTTAATGTCTTTCAATAATATTTTGTGGCTTCCAGAGTACAAGTTTGACTCCTCTTTTGTTAAATTTATTCCTAAGTATTTTATTCTTCTTGATGCTATTTGAAATTGAATTTTTTTTTCTTTTTGAGATAAGGTCTCACTTTGTCACTGTGCCTGGAGTGCAGTGGCATGATCATGGCTCACTGCAGCCTGAAACCCCTAGGCTCAAGTGATCTTCCCACCTCAGTTTCCCTAGTAGCTGAGACTACAGGCGTGCAACATCACGCCCAGCTAATTTTTATATTTTTTGTAGAGCTGGCGTCTCTCTATGTTGCCCAGGCTGGTCTTGAACTGCTGAGCTCAAGCGATCCTCCTGCCTTGACCTCCCAAAGTTCTGGTTTTACAGCATGAGCCACTGCGCCTGGCTGAAAGGGAATTGCTTTTTTTTTTTTTTTTTGAGACAGAGTCTCGCGCTGTCACCCAGGCTGAAGTGCAATGGCGCGACCTCGGCTCACTGCAACCTCTGCTTCCTAGGTTCTAGCAGTTCTCCTGCCTCAGCCTCCTGAATACCTGGTATTACAAGCACCCACCACCGTGCCTGGCTAATTTTTGTATTTTTAGTAGAGATGGGGTTTCACCATGTTGGTCAGGCTGGTCTCGAACTCTTGACCTCGTGATCCACCCGTGTCGGGCCTCCCAAAGTGCTGAGATTACAGGCGTGAGCCACTGTGCCCGGCCCTGGAATTGCTTTTTAAATTTTATTTTCAGATTGCTTATTGCTAGGTTTAGAAAATTAAGAAGTATTCTTTCATTTCTAGAGCACAAATTAGGAGTTAGGATTTCTATTTGGTTTTATTCCAAGTATATAGAGGTATATGAAAATGTTATTTTCTCATAAAAACCTCTTTTCATTGCCTTATTTAACATTTATTGAGTCTTCATTCGTAACCTCCTATGGACCATATCTTCACCCTCCAAGGCATGCAGTGTGAATGAATTTAAAAATATATCATCATAGGTTTATTGTTTGAAACATATTAATATAGAGTGAAATTTGAATAAGGTGATAAGACATTTTTTCACTAACTTACAATTATCATATAGGCTGCTGTTAACTTAAAGGGCAGTGATTTGACAAAACCAATACAGATTATTACAACTGGTTCTAATTATGTTTATGAACAAGAGTTAAGATTATGAAACCAACCTTTTTTGGAGGCACTTGGTTAGAAGAGCTTTGTAAATGATTTTGATTTTCTTTTCACTAGCTATTTTTATTTTTTATTTTTTATTTTTTTTGTGAGACAGAGTCTTGCTTTCACCCAGGCTGGAGTGCAGTGGCGTGATCTCAGCTCACTGCAACCTCCACTTCCCAGGTTCAAGTGATTCTCATGCCTCAGCCTCCCGAGTAGCTAGGATTGCAGGTGTGTGCCACCACAGCTGGCTAATTTTTTTTTGTATTTTTAGTAGAGATGAGGTTTCACCGTGTTGGCCAGGCTGGTCTTGAACTTCTGTCCTCAAGTGATCCACCCACCTTGGCATCCCAAAGTGCTGGGATTACAGGTGTGAGCTACCACGCCTGGTCTTCTCTAGCTATTAATAACACTTATTAATACTTTTGCTTCATACTAAAATTAAAAAGCTCCTGCCTTATTAATCCTCTATATAGCCTACTGCAATGGTAAATATATTTAATGTATTTATTTTAGAAAGAGAAAAATTAAGTCAGAGAATGGCTAAAATAAAATAGTTTAAAAAAGAAAATGCCAGGTTCTGATAAGGATGGGAAGCAACCAGAACTCTCATACATTGCTGGTATGAGTATGAATTTGTACAGCCCCTAAGAAAACTGTTTGGAAGTATTTACTAAATCGAACATAAGCAAATTTTACCTTGCCGAGTGTATTAGCATGATGGAATATAGAGTGTCAACTTGATTGGATTGAAGGATGCAAAGTATTGATCCTGGGTGTGTCTGTGAGGGCGTTGCCAAAGGAGATTAACATTTGAGTCAGTGGGCTGGGAAGGCAGACCCACACTTAATCTGGGTGGGCACCATCTAATCAGCTGCCATCATGGCTAGAATATAAAGCAGGCAGAAAAAAAAAAAATGTGAAAAGACTAGACTGGCCTAGCCTCCCAGCCTACATCTTTCTCTCATGCTGGATGCTTCCTGCCCTCGGACATTGTACTCCAAGTTCTTCAGTTTTGAAACTCAGACTGGCTCTCCTTGCTCCTCAGCTTTCAGACGGCCTATTGTGGGACCTTGTGATCATGTGAGTTAATACTTAATAAACTCCCCTTTATATATATATATCTATTTGTATCTATCTATACATATATATATCTTCTATTAGTTCTGTTCCTCTAGAGAACCCTGACCAATGCAATTAGGGTTCTTAGCAGAAATTGAGCCAATGGGATTTGTACATATATACAGAAAGATTTATTATAAGTGATTGGCTCCGTGATTATGGAGACTGACAAGTCCCATGGTCTGCAGTGGGCAAGCTGGAGACCCAGAACTGTTGATAGTGTAGTTTCATTCCTAGTCCAACAGTCTCAAGGCCCCGGAAGAGCTGATGTTTGAATATGAGTCCAAAGGCAGGAAAAAACTGATGTATCAGCTTGAAGGCTGTCAGACAGAAGAAATTCCCTATTACTAAGTCTTTTTGCTTTATTCAGGCCTTCCACTGATTGGATGAGGCCCAACCACATTATGTAGGGAGAGTTCTTTGTGTTTTGGATGCAAGTCTTCTATCAGATACACTTTTTACAGAAATTTCCCACTAGTCTGTGGCTTGTCCTTTCATTCCCTTAACAGTGTCTTTTGCAGAGCGAAGTTTTAAATTATAATGAAGTCCAGTTTATCACTTTTTCTTTCATGGATCATGCTTTTCATATTGTATCTAAATAGTCATTGCCAAACCCAAGTTCACTTAGTTTTTTTTTTTTTCTATGTTATTTTCTAGAGGATTTATAGTTTTATATTTTACATTTAGGTGTATGATCCACAATATCGTTTGGCTGTGTCCCCCACCAAATCTCATCTTGAATTGTAGCTCCTACAATTCTCATGTGTCGTGGGAGGGACCCACTGGGAGGTAATTGAATCATGGAGGTAGGTCTTTCCCCTGCTGTTCTTGTGATAGTGAATAAGTCTCATGAGATCTGATGGTTTTATAAAGAAGAGTTCCCCTGCACAAACTTCTCTCTTTGCCTGCTGCCATCCATGTAAGATGTGACTTGCTCCTTCTTGCTGTCCACCATGATTGTGAGGCCTCTCCAGCCATGTGGAACTGTAAGTCCATTAAAACTCTTTCTTTTGTAAATTGCCCAGTTTCTGGTATGTCTTTATCAGCAGCGTGGAAACAGGCTAATACAGTAAATTCATACCAGGAGAATGAGACACTGTTGAAGATACCCAAAAATGTGGAAGTGACTTTGGAACTGGGGAACAGAGAGTGGTTGGAACAGTTTGGAGGGCTCAGAAGAAGACAGGAAAATGTGGAAAAGTTTGGATCTCCCTAGAGACTTGTTGAGTGGCTTTGACAAAAATGCAGATAATGATATGGACAGTGGAATCCAGGCAGAGGTGGTCTCAGATGGAGAGGAGAAACTTGTTGGGAAGTGGAGCAAAGGTGACTCTTGTTATGTTTTAGAAAAGAGATTGGTGACATTTTGCCCCACCCTAAAGATTTGTTGAACTTTGAACTTGAGAGAGATGATTTAGGGTATCTGGTGGAAGAAATTTCTAAGCAGCAAAGCATTCCAGAGGTAACTTGGGTGCTGTTAAAGGCATTCAGTTGTAAAAGGAAAACAGAGCATAGAAGTTTGGAAAATTCGCAGCCTGACAATGAGATAGAAAAGAAAACCCCATTTTCTGAGGAGAAATTCAAGCTGGCTGCAGAAATTTGCATAAGTAATGAGGAGCTGAATGATAATCCCCAAGACAAGGGGGAAAATGTCTCCAAGGCATGTCAGAGACCTTTGTGGCAGCCCCTCCCATTATAGGCTGGGAGGTTTAGGATGAAAAAATGGTTTCATAGGCAGGGCCCAGGGCCCCCCTGCTCTGTGCAGCCTCAGGACTTGGTGCCTTGAGTCCCAGCTGTTCCAGCTGTGACTAAAAGGGGCCAAACAACAGCTGGGTCTGTTGCTTCAGAAGGTTCAAGCCCCAAGCCTTGGCAGCTTCAACATGGTGTTTAGCCTGCGGGTGCACAGAAGTCAAGAATTGAGGTTTAGGAATTTCCACCTAGATTTCAGAGGATGTATGTATGGAAATGCATGGATGCCCAGGCAGAAGTTTGCTTCAGGGGCTGGGCCCTCATGGAGAACCTCCGCTAGGGCAGTGCAGAAGGGAAATGTGGGGTTGGAGCCACCACACAGAGTTACTACTGGGACACCACCTAGTGGAGCTGTGAGAAGAGGGCCACCATCCTCCAGACCCCAGAATGGTACGTCCACTGACAGCTTGCACCATGCGCCTGAAAAAGCTGCAGACACTCAATGCTAGCTGGTGAAAGCAGACAGAAGGCTATCCTCCGCCACAGGGGCGGAGCTGCCCAAGGCTGTAGGAGCCCACCTTTTGCATCAGTGTGACCTGGATGTGAGACATGGTGTCAAAGGAGACCATTTTGGAGCTTTAAGATTTGACTGCCCCACTGGATTTCAGACTGCATGGGGCCTGTAGCCCCTTTGTTTTGTCCAGTTTCTCCCATTTAGAATGGCTGTGTTTACCCAATGCTTGTACCCTCATTGTGTCTAGGAAGAAACTAACTTGCTTTTGATTTTACAGGCTCATAGGCAGAAGGGACTTGCCTTGTCTCAAATGAGACTTTGGACCATGGACTTTTGAGTTAATGCTGAAATGAGTTAAGATTTTGGGGGACTGTTGGGGAGGCATGATTGGTTTTGAAATATGAGGACATTAGATTTGGGAGGGGCTGGGGTGGAATGATTTGGTTTGGCTGTGTCCCCTACCAAATCTCATCTTGAATTGTAGCTCCCACAATTCTCACGTCATGGGAGGGACCCAGTGGGAGGTAATTGAATCACGAGGCGGGTCTTTCCCGTGCTGTTCTTGTGATAGTGAATAAGTCTCATGAGATCTGATGGTTTTATAAAGAAGAGTTCCCCTGCACAAACTCTTCTCTTTGCCTGTTGCCATCCATGTAAGATGTGACTTGCTCCTCCTTGCCTTCCGCCATGATTGTGAGGCCTCCCCAGCCACGTGGAAGTGTAAGTTCATTAAACCTTTTTTGTAAATTGCCAGTTTCTGATATGTCTTTATCGGCAGTGTGAAAACAGACTAATACAATCTATTTTGAGTTAATTTTGGGAACGCCATAGGGTCTATGTCTTGATTCATTTTGTTGTACGTGGATGTCCAGTTGTTATAGCACCGTTTGTTGAATAGACTATTCTTTCTTCATTGCTTCTTTGACAAAGATCAGTTGTCCATATTGTGTGGGTTTATTTATCAACTCTCTATTCTGTTCCATTGATCTTTTTCTATTCTTTCACCAAAATCATAGTCTTGATTATTGTAGGCCTATAAGTCTCCTGAAGTCAGGTAATGTCAGTCCTCCAATTTGTTTTTCTTCAGTATTGTGTCACCTATTCTAGGTCTTTTGCCTTTCAGTATAATTTTAGAATTATTTTCTTGATATCCAGAAAATAATTTACTGGGATTTTGATTGGGGTTGTGTGAATCTGTAGAGTAGATTGGGTAGAACTGACGTGTTAACAACAGCAAATCTTCCTTCTGTGAATGTGGAATACCTCTCCATTAATTTAGATATTTTTAAAATCAGAGTTTTGTAGTTTTATATCCAAGTAATTCTTTTTTGGGGCTGCTAATGTAAATGGTGGTTTTTTTTTTTATTTCAAATTCCAGTTGTTAATTGCTGGTATATAGGAAAGCAATTTATTTTTGAACATTAACTTTTTATCCTGCATCCTTGCTTATTAGTGCCAGGAATTTTTGTTGATTCATTAGGATTTTCTACATAAACAATCATGTCATCAGAGAACAAAGAGAGTTTTATTTCTTTCTTCCAAATATGTATGCCTTTTATTTCCTTTTCTTGTCTTACTGTATTAGCTAGGACTTCCAGTATGATACGGAATAGGAGTGTTGAGAGGAGATATCTTTGCCTTGATTCCAGTCTTGGGAGAAAGATTCTAGTGTTTTTTTTTTTTTTTGAGACGGAGTTTCACTTTTGTTGCCCAGGCTGGACTGCAATGGCGCAATCTCGGCTCACTGCAACCTCCACCTCCTGGATTCAAGCAATTCTCCTGCCTTAGTGAGTAGCTGGGATTACAGGCATGCGCCACCACACCTGGCTAATTTTGTATTTTTAGTAGAGACAGAGTTTCTTTATGTTGATCAGGCTGGTCTCAAACTCCTGACCTCAGGTGATCTGCCTGCCTCGGCCTCCCAAAGTGCTGGGATTACAGGTCTGAGCCACCGTGCCCAGCCCTAGTTTTTTTAATCATTAAGTATGATGTTAGCTGTGGGGTTTTTGTAGACATTCTTTATCAAGTTGAGAATTTTTTTTTTATTCACAGGTTTCTGAGAATCTTGATCATGAATGGCTGTTGGATTTTTGTCAGATGATTTTCCTGCATCTATTGATAGGTTATGTTTCATCTTTAGCCTGTTGGTGTGATGGATTGTATTAATTGATTTTTGAATGTTGAATCAGGTTTGCATAACTAGATAATTCCCACTTGGTTGTGGTATATAATTCTTTTTATATACTGTTGGATTCAGTTTGCTGATATTTTGTTGAGGAACTTTGCATGTGTGCTCATGAGAGAGATTTGTCTGTAGTTTTCCTTTATTTCAATGCCTTTATTTCATTTTGGTATTAGGGTAATGTTGACCTCATATAGTGTGTTAGAAAGCATTCCCTCTGCTTCTGTTATCTGTAAGATATTTTGGAGAATTGTATCACATCTTCCTTAAATTTGGTAGAATTCAAAAGTGAAACTATCTGGGACTGGTGCTTGGAAGATAATTGTTGATTCGGTTTCTTTAATAGACATAGAACTAGTAATATGATTTGTTTGACTTGGAAGTTTTGGTAGATTATGTCTTTGAAGGTATTTATTCATCTAAGTTTTCAAATTTGTGGGCACGGAGTTCATAATATTCCTGTAATTTTTTTTTGGTGTCTGTGGAAACAGGAGTAATGGCCCCTTTTTCATTTTCATGTGTTAGTAATTTGTGTTCTTTTTCTACTTGGTTGGCCTGGCTAGAGGTTTATCAATTTTATTGCACTTTTTGATGAACCAGCTTTTGATTTTGTGAATTTTAAAATTGATTTCCTGTTTTCATTAATTTGTGCTTTTTTTAAACTTTTTTTTTTTTTTTTTGCTTACTTTGGAATTACTTTGCTCTTTTTTTTTCTAGTTTCCTAAGGTGTAGAAGCTTATTCAATTTAGATATTTCTTCTTCTGTAATGTAGCAATTCAGTGCTATACATTTCCCTCTAAGCGCTGCTTTTGCTGCATCTCACACATTTTCATAAGATTTATTTTCATTTTCATTTAGTTCAAAATATTTTAAAATTTGTTTTGAGACTTCTTTGATGATGTGTTATTTAGAGGCTTTTTGTTTAATCTCCAAGAAGTTTTCCAGCTATATTTCAGTTACTGATTTATAGTTTAATTCTATTGTGATCTGAGAGCATAGTTGTTAGGAATTATATTGTTTTAAATTTGTTAAGGTATTCTTTATGAACCAGAATATGATATGTCTTAGTGAGTGTTTTCACGTGAGCTTGAGAAGAATGCATATTGTGCTATTGTTGGATGAAATATTCTATAAATGTCAATTAGATCCAGTTGATAGATGATGCCGTTCAGTTCAACTATGTACCCTTACTGATTTTCTGCCTGCTGCATCTGCCAATTACTGATAGAAGGATGTTGCAGTCTCCAACTATAATAGTAGATTCATCTATTTCTGTTTACATTTTTGTCCATTTTCACCTCACGTATTTTGACATTTTGTTAGTTCTTCTTGGAAAATTGACCCCTTATTACTATGTATTGCTGTTCTTTGTCCTGATAATTTTCTTTGCTCTGAAGTCTGCCTTGCCTGAAATTAATATAGCTGCCGTTCTCTTGATTATTGTTAACATGGTTTGTCTTTCTCTGTCACTGTACTTTTAATCTGTCTTAAAATACTTTTTTATAGACAACATATAGTTAAGTATTTTTTATCCACTCTGTCTCTTTTAATTGGTATATTTAGACCATTCATATTAAAGTGATCATTGATATTATTGGTTTAATATTTACCATAGTTTTAACTATTTTCTATTGTCCTTGTTCTTGGTGGTTTTTTTGGTCTTTTTTTCTGTCTTTGGTTCTAGCTGAGCATTTTATGAGTCTGTTTTCTTTCCTCTCTTAGCATATCAATTATACTTCTTTCAAAATATTTTCAGTGGTTGCCCTTGAGTTTGCAATTTACATTTGCAAGTAATCTACCTTCACTTTCACATAACATTGTATTGCTTCATGAGTAGTGCAGGTACATTATGAGAGAATATTCCTAGTTCCCCTCTTGCTGTCATTCATTTCACTTATCTAGAGGCTGTTATCACCAAATACATTATTGTTATTATTACTTTCAATAAATTGTTGTCTGTTAGATTAAGAAAAAGAAAATAAAAGACTTTATTTTACCTTCACTTACTCCTTCTCTAATGATCTTTCTTTTCTTTTTTTTTTTGTTTGAGATGGAGTCTCACTCTGTCGCCTAGGCTGGAGTGCAGTGGTGTGACCTCTGCCTCTCAGATTCAGGCAGTTCTTGTGCCTCAAGTCTCCTGAGTAGCTGAGATTACAGGCACATGCCACCATGCCCAACCAATTTTTGTATTTTTAGTAGAGATGGGGTTTCTCGATGTTGGCCTGGCTGGTTTCAATCTCCTGGGCCCAAGTGATCCACCCACCTTGGCCTCCCACAGTGCTGGGATTACAGCCATGAGCCCAGCCACCGTTCATGACACTGGCCTAATGATCTTTCTTTACATAGATTTGAATTTCTGTCCTGTGGTCATGTTCTTTTATGAAGATCTTTTAAAATTTCTTGCTAAGCCACCTGTGCCTCCAGTAAAAACAAAAAAAGAAAAAAAATTCTTGCTAATTAAGTCTATTGGCAACAAATTCCTT
Source organism: Homo sapiens (assembly GCF_000001405.40). Classification (NCBI taxonomy): domain Eukaryota; kingdom Metazoa; phylum Chordata; class Mammalia; order Primates; family Hominidae; genus Homo; species Homo sapiens. Next base: position 156,856,269 of record NC_000007.14, on the reverse strand, counting down.
CAGTTTTCTTTTGTCTGACAAATTCTATCTATCTATCTATCTATCTACCTATCTGTCTATATTTATTTATTTATTGAGACAGAGTCTTGCTCTGTCGCCCTGGCTGGAGTGCAGTGGTGCGATCTCGGCTCACTGCAAGCTCCGCCTCCCAGGTTCACGCCATTCTCCTGCCTCAGCCTCCTGAGTTGCTGGGACTACAGGCACCCGCCACCACACCCGGCTAATTTTTTGTATTTTTAGTAGAGACAGGGTTTCACCTTGTTAGCCAGGATGGTCTTGATCTCCTGACCTCGTGATCTGCCCGCCTCGGCCTCCCAAAGTGCTCTCCTTTATTTTTGAAAGATAATTTTGCTGGATACAGAACTTTGGGTTGGTGTTTTCATTTTTCGTTTTTTCCTTTTAACATTTGAAATATTTTACAGCTTTCTTTTTGCTTGCATGGTTTCTGAAGAGAAGTCTGATGCAATTCTAATCTTTGATCCTCTATTTGTAAGGCATTTTTATTCCTGTAGCTTATTTCAAGATATTCTCTTTATCTTTGATTTTCTGCAGCTTGCAGCATATGATATGCCTAGACATAGGTTTTTTTTTTTTTTTTTTTTTGTATTTACGTTGTTTGTTGGTCTGTGAGCTTTCTGGATCTGTTAGGTGTTTGTATTAATTTTGGCAAATTATCAGCCATTATCACTTGAAATATTTTATCTGTTGCTTTCTGTCTTTTTTTCTGGTATTCCTGTTACGTATGTTATGCCTTTTGTAATTGTTCTGTACTTCTTGGCTATTCTGTTTCTTTTCAGAATTGTTATTTTTTCTGTTTGCTTTTCAGCTTGGGAAGTTTCCATTGACATATCTTCTAATTGACTAATTGCTATGGTGTTAAGAGATGGGGAGAGGGGAACATTGTGTAGTCTTGTGATTAGGTCTCAGTCTTTTATTGAGCCTATGCCTCTGGTCTGTGACCTTCACAGGTGTCTAGTCTACTGATGAGCTCATTAAAGCATTCTTCATTTCTGTTACAGTATATTTGATTTCTCCCATTTAAAAAAATTATTCTTAACATTTCCATGTCTTTGCTGACATTACACACATATTTTTGAATGTTGTTTACTTTTCCACCTTTGCATATTAATAATTAAATTCAGACTCTCATAATCCCCAAATCTCTGTCATATGTGAGTCTGGTTCTGACTCTTTGACTCTTTAGATTGTGATTTTTGCATTTGAGCATGCTTCGTATTTTGTGGGAAGCCGGATACGATGTAGATAAAAGGGATTGAGGTAATTTGGCCTTTACTGTTAGATTTTATGTTTATGTATGTGTGAGTTAGGCTGCTTACTGTTTGAAGTAGCTACAGGTTTCAGAGGGTATAATTTCCCCTAGTGTTCTTGTTTTTATCTCTTCTGTTGTCTTTGGTTTCCCCTAGAGACTACTTCTTAAATAGAATTTGAGCCTTGCAGTTCTTTTAGCTGTAATCTCCTGTTATTATACTCCAGCCTGATTGAGGGGAACATTTTGTAGTCTTGTGATTAGGTCTCAGTCTTTTATGGAGCCTATGCCCCGGTCTGTGACCTTCACAGGTGCTACTCGGCTTTTGACCTCCTTCCTTAGGTGAAGAAGGCTAGAGGGGGCTGAAGCTGGGTGTCTCTCTTCTTCCAGGTTGATTAGGCTCTGATAAAATTCAAATAGGTTAAGCTGTGGGTACAAATGGTTTCTCTTGCAGACGGGCCTTTCTTGAGGTGAACAGCATGCCCTGGGCATATTTCAGAATGTTTACGTTTTCCTTTTCCTGCTGGAAGCTTGAAGGGATTTTATTTTTTTATTATTATTTTTTAATTAACAGTTTCCCTAATCTTTACTCTGAGAATCTGGTAGGACTCCTGAAGGAAAAACTTTAAAAAAGTGTGGGAGTCCCCCCTGAGACTAGACTTCTGGAGTTTTTCTCTCTCTAGTTAGTCCACACTGATCCTCTAGTAATTCATCAATTACAGTTGAAGTGTTTTACCAGTGCTGGCTCTAGCAGCAGGCTTCTGTACAAGGGCTTTTGTCTCTCCACTTTTTAGAGCAGTAGTTTGCCCTGTAATTTAACTTCTTTTATGGATTTAAGAAGAGTTGTTGACTTTCAGTTTGTTCAGTTTTTTTCTTGTTACGAGGATGGGAAAGATGACTTCCAAGCTCCTTTCATGTTGGACTGGAAGCCAGAAGCCACTATGTTATCTTTTACCTTTATGTCTGATTTACTTGAAGATTGCTTTTAGTGTATGGCATATGATGTATATAGGTGGTTTTTTTTTTTTTTTTAATTTTATTCTATGTGGGCCAGGCACGATGGCACATGCCTGTAATCCCAGCATTTTAGGAGGCTGAGGTGGGTGGATCACCTGAGGTAGGAGTTCGGGACCAGCCTGGCCAACATGATGAAGCCCCATCTCTACCAAAAATACAAAAATTAGCCGGGTGTGGTGGCAGGTGCCTGTAATCCCAGCTACTTGGGAGGCTGAGGCGGGAGAATTCCTTGAACCCAGGAAGTGGAGGTTGCAGTGAGCTGAGATCACGCCACTGCACTCCAGTCTCAGTGACAGGATGACACTTTGTCTCAAAAAACAAAAACAAACAAAAGCTTTATTCTATGTGGTGACTTCCTTTGGGTTCATCATTTGGCAGCTGCTTGAGAATCTTCATTTGATACCCAGTTTCTGCATAGATTTAATCCAGAGAAGTTATTCTAGGACTTTTAGAAAGTGGTTCTATTTTACTTTTAATTTTAAATACAGTTTTGGATGGCATGACAAAAATTAGTGTAAATGTTTTTCTTTCTAAAGCACAGGGTGTGAGATCATAAGGGATAGTGCTTTTTTTTTTCTTTTAACATTAAGTAGTTTGGAATGATCTGTCCCTTAATCTGGCTAATATTTCTTTATGTGACCCATTTTTTTTTAAAAGAGAAAGGAATGTGCTTATTACAATATATTAGTGAAATTAGTATTAACATTTTCTACTGTGGCAACTTACAATAAAAAATGAAGCATTATTCGGCCGGGTGCGGTGGCTCACGCCTGTAATTCCAGCACTTTGGGAGGCCAAGGCGGGCAGATCATGAGGTCAGGAGATCGAGACCATCCTGGCTAACACAGTGAAATCCCGTCTCTACTAAAAATACAAAAAATTAGCCGGGTGTGGTGACGGGTGCCTGTAGTCCCAGCTACTTGGGAGGCCGAGGCGGGAAAATGGCCTGAACCTGGGAGGCAGAGCTTGCAATGAGCTGAGATCGGGCCACTGCACTCCAGCCTGGGCGACAGATTGAGACTCTGTCTCAAAAAAAAAAAAAAGCATTATTTGTAATTTACTGTTCAAGTTATGTTGTATATGTAATTACTTCTGTGCTTATCTTCTGTACTTTTTTGGCAGTTAATCTAAAACAGAGTTTCTCAACGTTGGCACTGTTGACATTCTGGACAGATTGTTCTTTATTGTTCGGGTCTGTTCTGTGCATCATGGGATTTTAACAGCATCTCTGTTCTCTGACCCCAGATGCTAGTAGCACGATTCACCTGGTTGTGACAACTAAACTGTCCCCAGACATTGCAACATGTCTCCTGGGGGGGACATTGTCACCCTCAGTTGAGAATCATAGGTCTCAACCCTGTTTAGCAAAAGGCAATAATGTAAAGATTTTATTTGGTGTTACTTTTCCAAATAACGTAAAACTCCAAGTGAGAATCATAGATAGATCTCTAAAGGATTACTTGAAAATTATTGTGTCAGGGGTGTAGAAGCCTATAATTTTTTAAATCTAATGCATGCATCAGATAGTATAGAAACATGCTATCCATCAGATAGTACAGGAAACCTTAAGAAGAATAAGGCTCCTATCCAAGTATTTTCCATAAGCAATCTCTTATTTTTTTTTAGTTTTTCTAAGTGATTTCTGTAATGCTTGGTAATATTTGTTGGCTTACCAACATTGAACACGTATATTGACTTCCCAATACAGACACTGAGGATTTAACTACTAGCTTTCTGATAGGATTTACACTACAGTAGTGAGTATTCACACTACTTTGTTTTTCCCATTTCCTCTGGTGTTTATTGTTATATTATTATTTGTTATTCTCTTGGTTACCCTTTTGAGACCTGGACCGAAATCTTTATTACTTGTTATATTACTTTGTTCCTAGAGGTGTGTTCTTAAAGTCTCAAGTGGCAGCTATTATTGTGATTCTTGTTGCTAGTAGTAGTAATGGTAACCTAATTATCTAAAAGTGGAGGAATGTTTCTTTATTGTAATATAAATTCCCAGGAATAACAGTATTGAATCAGAGTGCATACATAGGCCATCATATTGCTTTCCTGAAAGGTTATTAGAATAAATTTTATTGTGTTCATTTTGAAAATAGTACTTTCATCCTGTGTAAATAAAAGTCCTTATTGTTAAAACTTTAATTTTTTCATAGATCTAAGGAAGAAGGTAAAAGGGTAAAAATAATCTGAAATTCCACCATTCTGAAATAAGCACATTGTTTCATACCTCTATGTATATCTATACGACTTAAATAATTTTACATTAGTCACTATGTGTTTACTGTTTTTATGTGCGAGTATCTTTACTTTTTCTCTCTCCATTGTTTTTGGCTTACAATCATGACTTATTTCTACCCTCTTCTCTCCTCACTCCCCAGCCCCCCAACTTTACCATCTCCTCAAGAAACCAGTAGGAAGAGTAATCTGGTGTATAGTCGTCCATTCTTGTTACTGGGCCTAAAATATTTCACAGCATGTTGTATTAAAGTATAATATTATTGATGACATTAATGAACTTGAAATATGCTGTGATAATCTTGAAAAAGTGAATATTTACCCCTTGCTAAGGGTCTTAGTGTTTTCTGTGAGGAAGCATTGCTTTGCCTTTATTGAAGCACAAGTTGAAAGACACAGGGCAATTTATTATGACAGTTTAGCAACTATGAGAAGAGTAGGTATCAGCATGTGTATTGTATTCAAATTAATTGTTCTGAAGATAGGGCATTGGTAATTTTGTTTACTTCTCTGTTTTGAAGGGTGTGTTAGTTCATTTTGCGTTGCTGTAAAGGAATACCTGAGACTGAGTAATTTATAAGGAAAAGATAGTTATTTTGGCACACAGTTCTGCAGGCTCTTTGAGAAGCATATTGCCGGCATCTGCTTCTGTTGAAGACCTCAGAAAGCTTCCAATCATGACAGAAGGTGAAGTGGCGGGTGTCATATGGCGAGAGGGAGCAAGAGGGAATGGATAAAGAGAGAGAAAGGAGGTGCCAAAGTCCTTAAACAACCAGATCCTGTGTGAACTAATAGAACTTACTCATCACCAAGGGGAGGGCACCAAGCCATTCATGAGGGATCTGCCTCCATGATCCAAACACTTCCACCAGGGTTCACCTCCAACAGTGGGGATCACGCTTCAACATGAAATTCTGAGGGGACACACATCCAAACCATTTCAAAGGGTGATTTGTTGCAATTACAAACAATAGAAAAGTGAACATCTTTATATATACATCCTTGTGTGGGTATACAATTGTATTTGAAAGGAATGCTTTCAGCTGCAAGCAAAAATATACCCAATGTGTTTTTAATGAAACAGAGGTTTTTCTCATAAAATGTCTGGAGGAAAGAACTATTGTTACATGCTACAGCATGGATGAACCTTGAAAACATTACGCTAAGTGAAAGAAGCCAGACACAAAAAGGCACATACTGTATGATTTTATTTATATGAAATACCCAGAATAGGCAAATACATAAAAACAGAAAGTAGATTGGTGGTTACAAGAGTCTAAGCAGGGTGGGAGGAATATAGGACATTGAATTTAATAAACACATTTGTTACTAGCTGTCTTAGTCTGTTTTGTGCTACTGAAACAGAATACCACAGGCTGGATAATATATAATGAACAGAAATTTATTTGGTGTATGATTCTGGAGGCTGGGAAGCCCAAGATCAAGGGGCTGGCATCTGGCAAGGGCCTTTGTGTTGTATCATCCCATGGTGGAAGGCAGAAGGGCAAGAAGGGGGCCAGACTTGCTTTTATAACAAACCTGCTCTCACCGTAACTAACCCACTCCTGTGATAACATTAGTCAGTTTATGAGGATAGAATCCTCATGACCTGATCACTTTTGAAGCCCCACCTCAACACTGTTGCATTGGGAATTAAGTTTCAAATACATGAACTTTGGGAAACACACAAACCATAGCACTAATGCAATCGTATTACTTTTTAAAATTAGACTTTATTTTTTAGAGAAATTTTAGGTTCACAGCAAAATTGGGTGAAGGTAATGAGATTTTTCCATATATCCCTTGGCTCCACACATGCATAGCCTTGGCCATTATCAGCATCCCCCACCAGAGTGGAAAATTTGTTATGGTTGATGACCTTGGGTTGAACATCATGACTTAGATTCCATAGTTTACATTAGTGTTCACTCTGGTGGTGTACATTCCATGGGTTTGGAAAATTTTATAAGAACATGTATCTAACCTTATAGAATCATACAGAATAGTTTCACTGTCCTTAAAAGTTCTCTAAGCTCTGCCTGTTCATTCCTTCCTCCCCTCAACCCCTGGCAACAAACAACTGATGCTTTTAGTGTCTCCACAGTTTTGTTTTGCCTTTTCCGGAATATAGTTGGAATCATACAAATGTTGCCATTTCAAATTGACTTCTTTCACTTAGCAGCAAGCATTTAAGTTTCCTCCATGACTTTTCATTGCTTTGACAGCTCTTTTAATTTTTAACTTTTATTTAGGTTCAGGGGCACATGTACAGGTTTGTTACTATGTTTCACAGGGGTTTGGTGTACAGATTATTTTGTCACCCAGATAAGAAACGTAGTACCTGATTGGTAGTTTTTCCATCCTCTCCCTCCCATCCTCAAGTAGACCCTGATGTCTCTTGTTCCCTATGTCCATGTGTTCTCAGTATTTAGCCCCCTCTTATAAATGAGAACATGTGGTATTTGGTTTCCTGTTCTTGTGTTAGTTCACTTAGGATAATGGTCTCTAGCTCCAGCTCCATCCATGTCGCTGCAAAGGACATGATCTCATTCACTTTTATGGCTGCATACTATTCCATGGTATGTACATACCACATTTTCTTTATCCATTCTACTGTTGATGGTCATTTAGGTTGATTCCATGTCTTTGCTATTGTGAATAGTGCTCTGAAGAATATAATGCATGTATGTGTCTTTACGGTAGAATGATTTATATTCCTTCGGGTCTGTAGCCAATAATTGGATTGCTGGGTCAAATGGTAGTACTGTTTTTGTTTTGTTTTGTTTTGCTTTTTTTTTTTTTTTTGAGACAGAGTCTTGCTTTGTCGCCCAGGCTGCGGTGTCATGGTACGATCTCTGCTCACTGCAGCCTCCGCCTCCCAGGTTCAAGTGATTCTTGTACTTGAGCTTCCCTAGTAGCTGGGACCACAGGCTCCTGCCACCACAGCCAGCTAATCTTTGTATTTTTAGTAGAGACGGGGTTTCACCATGATCCCAGGTTGTTCTAGAACTCCTGACTTCAAGTGATCCACCCACCTTGGCCTCCCAAAGTGCTGGGATTACAGGGGTGAGTCACCATGCCCAGCCAGTATTTCTCTTTTAAATGGTTTGAGAAATTGCCACACTGCTTTCCACAGTGACTGAACTAATTGACAGTTCCACTAGCCAGTTTATAAGCATTCCCTTTTCTCTGCAACCTCACCAGCATCTGTTATTTTTTGACTTTTTAATAATAGCCACTCTGACTTGGTGTGAGATGTGATTTTGATTTGCATTTCTCTAATGATTAATAATGCTGAGCATTTTTTCATATGCTTGTTGGCTGCATGTATGTCTTCTTTTGAAAAGTGTCTTTTCTTGTCCTGTGCCCACTTTTTAGTGGGGTTGCTTTTATTAGACCTTTGTCAGATGCATAGTTTGCAAATGTTTTCTCCTATTCTGTAGGTTGTCATTTACGGTTGATATTTCTTTAGTTGTACAGAAGCTGTTTAGTTTAATTAGATTCCCATTTGTCAATTTTTGTTTTTGTTGCAGTTGCTTTTAGTGTCTTTGTCATGAAGTCTTTGTCAGGGCCTGTGTCCAGAATGGTATTTCCTAGGTTTTCTTCCAGAGTTCTATAGTTTTAGGTTTTACATTTAAGTCTTTACTCCATCTTTTGCATTTTTTTTTTTTTAGTGTTGAATGATCTTCTACATTTTAGTTATTTACCTATTGAAGGATATCTTGATTCCTTCCAAGTTTTGGCAATTATGAAAAGAGCTGCTATAAACATTCCTGTGCAAGTTCTTGTGTGGATAGTTTTCAACTTTTTTGGGTAAATACCAAATCTAACGGGATTGCTGAATCATATGGTAAGAGTGTTTTTAGTTTTGTAAGAAACTGCCAAGTTATCTTCCAAAGTGGCTGTGCCATTTTGTATTCCCACTAGCAATTAATGAGAGTTCTTGTTGCCCCACATCCTCACCAGCATTTGGTGGTGTTCGTATTCTGGATTTTAGTCATTCTAATAGGTGTGTCATCACAGGTATCTTGTTGTTTTACTTTGTGTTGATGTGGAGCATCTTTTTGTGTGCTTATTTGCTATCTGCGTATCTTCACTCATGAGGTCTTTGGCCATTTTTCAATAGGACTGTTTGTTTTCTTGTGGTTGAACTTTCAGAGCTCTTTATATGTTTTGCATAGTAGTCCTTTATCAGAGGAGTCTTTTGCAAATATTTTCTCCCAGCCTGTGATTCTCTTTTCATTCCCTTGACAGTGTCTGTTGCAGAGCACAAGTTTTAAGTTTTAGTAAAGTCTAGCTTATCAATTCTTTCTTTCATGGATCATGCCTTTGGTGCTGTATCTAAAAAGCAATCCCCAAACCCAAGGCCATCTAGATTTTCTCCTTTGTTATCTTCTAGGAGTCTCACAGTTTTGTGTTTTGCATTTAGGTTTGTAATCATCATCCATTTTGAGTTAATTGTTGTGAAGTGTATAAGGTCTATGTCTAGATTCATTTTTATGCATGTGGATGTCCAGTTGTTTCAGCACCATTTGTTGAAAAGGTGATCCTTTCTTCATTATATAGCCTTTGCTCTTTTTGTCAAAGATCAGTTGATCGTATTTATGTGGGTATATTTCTGGGCTGTCTTTTCTGTGGATCTATATTTATATTTGTCTGTGTTTTTCCATCAATGTCATGCTGTCTTAATTATTGTAGCCTTATAATGTTTTGAAACTGGGTAGTGTCAGTCCTCTTTCTTCTTTTTAAAATTAATTTTGTTTATATGCATAATTGTATGTTTATGGGGTATAGTGTGATGTTTCAGTGCATGTATGTGTACATTGTGTAATGATCAAAAAGGGGCAGTTAGCATGTCCATTACCTCAAACTCTTATCATTTCTTTGTGGTGATAACTTTCAAGATACTCGTTTCTAGCTGTCTTGAACTATACAATACATTGTTATTAGCTATAGCCACCCTACTATGTAATAGATGACTTTGTTTTTTTCCTTCAATATTGTGTTGACTATTCTGGATCTTTTGCTTCTCCATGTAAAATTTAGAATCAGTTTGTTGATATCTACAAAATAACTTGCTGGGATTGTAATTGTAATCGCACTGAATGTATAGATGAAGTTGGGAAGAACCGACATCTTGACAATATTGAGTCTTCCTATACATGAACATGCAATCTCTCTCCACTAATTAAGTTCTTTGATTTCTTTCAGAGTTTTATAGCTTTCTTATACAGATTCTGTACATATTTTGATAGATTTATAGTTAAGTATTTTGCTTTGGTGGAATGCTAATATAAATAGTGTTTTACATTTATGTATTTATTTACATTAAATTAATTAATGAGACAGGGTCTCACTCTGTTGCCAGGCTGGAGTGTAGTGGCATGATTATGGCATGATTTATCTTTGCATATTTGGCATCTTTGTTTTTGTTGTTGTTGTTTGTTTGTTTTTTTAAAAGACAGGGTTTCTATCTGTCATCCAGGCTGGAGTGCAGTGGCATGAGCAATAGCTGTGCACTGCAGCCTTGAACTCCTGAGCTTGAGTGACATCCTCCTGCCTAAGCCTCCTGAGTAGCTGGCACTACATGTTCATGCCGGCTAATTTTTAAAAAATTGTAAATTATTTTTGCAGAGATGGGGTCTCTCTAGGTTGCCCAGGGTGTCGTTAAGTGATCACTTTTGGTCTCAAGTGATCTTCCTGCCTCAGCCTCTTGAGTAGCTAGGATTATAGGTGTGAGCCACTGTTCCTGTTTTGTTTTTTTTTTTCTGAGGTATTTTGGTACTGTGCTTTTTGGTACATGAAGATTCATGACAGTTCTTTTCCCATTGTGGTTTACACCATTCTTCCTTAAGTGCCCTACTTTGTCTTACTTCACACTTTTGCCTTAAATTCAGCCTTGTCTGAGAGAAGAATAAATTGAATTGGGCACAGTCGTTCACACCTGTAATCTCAGCTACATGGCGAATGGAAGTGGGGGATCACTTGAGCCCAGGAGTTCAAGGCTGCAGTAAACTGTGATTGTGCCACTGCGCTTCAGCCTAGGTGACAGAGCAAAACCCTGTCTCTTAAAAAAAAAAATTTCAACCCATCTTTCTTTTTTGTTACCATCAGTCTGGTATGTCTCTGTTTATTTTGTGATTTTCAACCCTTCTGAGTCACTTTGTTTTAAGATATGTATCATTCTATCAGTGTTTTCTTTTAATAGTTTTTCCCGTTTACTATTATTGATTTAAATATGTCTCATCTTTATTACATTATTATCTTCATAACTATTTTTGTCTTCCTGTCTTTTACTACATAGTCTGGATTTTTCTATTTTATTTTTCTTGTTGTTAGGGTAATTTCAAAGAAGTGTATTTTTAATTTTAATTATTTTAGTGGGTAGCTTATTATTTATTTATTTGGAGACGGAATCTTGCTCCATTGCCCAGGCTGCATTATCTGTGACCTCTCTGCTATGGAATATAAGATTATTGGTTTAAAAATAGTTCACTTGCTTTCTCTCTCAGGATTTTGTTATTTTTAATTTTTTATTGATACATATTAGATGTATATATTCTTGGGGTACACATGATAATTTGATACATTCAAATAATCAGGGCAATTGGTATATCCATCATGGGTTTTGTTAGAAATGTGTTGGTGATAGCAGTCCTTGAACCCACTTTGTACTCATCACTCTTTTATGATACTTATTCTTCACTTGAAATTAGTTGAAGCCGATAGGCCTTAAATGAAAGGCTGGGTGGTACAATTTGATTATAACGCACCAGTCTGAATTTAGATTCAGGTGTGATTCCTCAAATTTAAGAATATTAGTTTTTAACAATGTATATTAAAGGTACTATTCAGTTACTTATGACTGTGTCACCTCTCAAGTGCCTAGCCATTCTTGATCAGCAGCATCAGGACTAAAGCCATGCTGCCTCCTTCTTCCAGGGCTGCGTTGCCTTCTTTCTGGGCTAGCTAGCACAGTAGGACATGCATCCCAGTGGGTATTTTGCTGTGAGCTCTGAAATAGGGCATGGCTGTTCCTTCCCTGACCAGGAGCAAAGCTCAATTTGTTCACAGTATCACAAGATGCCAGAATAGAGCCCATCTTTTTTTTTTTTTTTTTCATTCAGGTGTACTTCACTTTTAGTGATGAGAAGCTGGACTGTTTTTTTCTTTTTTTTGGTTAGGAATTTCCTTTCATCCTGGACAAAGGGAGAATAGGCATCATTATAGCTTTCTTTTATTTCACTCATCCCTCTGACTCTGTCTCTGGAAGAGACTTACAACTTTAGAGTAGAACCTACTCCTCGTCCTACTTTTGAAACTAGAAACACAGTCTAATGAGTTCTGTGATTTTTGTTTTGGTCTGTTATAGTTGTATTCTTATTTTCATAGTGTGTAGCTTTTTTTTGTGTGAGACGGAGTCTTGTTCTGTCACCCAGGCTGGAGTGCAGTGGCGTGATCTTGGGTCACTGCAACCTGCTTCTCCCGGGTTCAAGCGATTCTCCTGCCTCACCCTCCTGAGTAGCTAGTATTACAGGCGTGTACCACCATCCTGGCTAATTTTTGTATTTTTTGTAGAGACGGGGTTTCTCCATGTTGGCCAGGCTGGTCTTGAACTTTTGACCTCAGGTGATCCACCCACCTCGGCCTCCCAAAAGTACTGGGATTACCGGTGTGAGCCACCATGCCTGGCCCTAATGTATGACTTTTATTTCAATAATAATACTTACATTTGTTTTTAAATTATTAGCCTTACTTGTACTCTTAAATGTATTATTTTCCATTAGTCTTATCCAATGCATTTTGGTTACTTGTTTTCCTTTTCTCCATTTTCATGCTTTCTCATCTACCACTTGTGCACTAAATCCCTGAATCTTTTCTTTCTTTTTTTTTTTTTTTTGAGACAGGGTCTTGCTCTGTTGCCCAGGCTGGAGTGCAGTGGCCCCATCTTGGCTCATGACAACCTCCATCTCCCAGGTTCAAGCTATTCTCGTGCCTCAGCCTCCTGAGTAGCTGGGATTACAGGCGTGTGCCACCACACCTGGCTAATTTTTGTGTTTCCGGGTTTCGTCATGTTGGCCAGGCTGGTGTTGAACTCCTGACCTCAAGTGATCCAACTGCGTTAGCCTCCCAAAGTACTGGAATTACAGACGGGAGCCACTGCACCCAGCCTTCCCTGGATTTTATGAAATGATTGTGTTTCACCTTTAAACATAATTTTTAAAAAATTCAGAAACATCCTTTGATCAAAACATTCTATTCTTGCAGCTTCCTTGGTCAAGTGCTTTCGTTGCAGCTACTTCTGTACCGTGAACATTAGGTGATTGAAGTCTTTGTTTCTCCTGTCCATCAGCCTACCCTTAGTTTCAGTTTTCTCCTAATCTACTTTGGTATCATGGCCAGTCACTTCACTCACTCTTGCTAATACCCTAAACCAGTGCTTCTCACACTGTGGTCAGGGGCTTCCTTGGGATTGATGTTGAAATCCTGGGAGTATTTGATGTTACCTATGAAGAGCTTGTGGAGTAAGAATAGATGGGTGCTCATCCCAGAAATTACAGAGAAGATTGTTTAAAGGCTGGCAGGAAAAGGGAAGCTTGTGAGGGAGACTGGGAGAACAACAGAGAGGGAGGAAGACTGCTGACAGAAGTTGCTGCATAGAGCTCAGCAAAAATCATGAAGTGTAATTTTCCTGTTAGGTTTACTGACCACTTTGAGTTGGTCGATGAGTGTGAAGTTTGATGAGTGGCTGGAAGGAGTGAGTGGTGAAAGGTAGAAGTCTGCAAGCACAGGCTATTATTTTGAAGCGCTTGGCTGGAAAGGGGAGGAGAGAGCTAGGATATCTGTTAGAATCATCAAGCTTCTAGTATTTCTTGGGGACTCTACCTGCATCTGCCTCAGCATCTAGGAATCTGGCTCTCATGTTTTACAGCACCACCAGGCTGCCAGCACTGCTGAGGGTTTTAGCTTGGACTTGCCTGGAACTTTAAAGGCCATTTAATCTTACCTTGACTCTTATTTCTATTATATTTGCTCCATTTGTTCTCCCATATGATTTACATACTCCTTCTGGAATAGGAATTAAAAGAAATTAAAAACTGTGTAAGCAAAAACTCAGTTGTATGTCAAAAACCCAGTTCCCCTTGAGGAAGAGAAAGGGCTGGAGTTCTTTAAAATTAACTGCCTGTTTTTCTTTCTGAGGCTAGTGAGCCTTATCTCTCCCTTTCCCAGGCATTGTACAGACACTGTTTCTCTAGCTGCGCAGCTGCAAGGTCACTCAACAGATAATCTCAAGTCTTAAAACGTGTTATTCCTTAAAAAGTAAAAAATAATATAACGCACATCTTAATTAAATAACTGTCTTTGTTTCTCACTTCTATAATACGCTTCCCCCTGTACAAATCTCCCCCCGCCCCACAAAATGCTTAAAAGGTAGCTTGACTCTTTGTTCGGGCCTCAGTCCTTTAGATGTTAATCTGACTGGGTTGGGGCACCTAAATAATTAAATAATTACTCCTCAACCCCATCGGTCTCTCTGATTCCTTATTACCCTGCAGCACTTCTTCCCTCACTCTCCGTATGTATCTGATTTGATGAACTTGCTTCTGTTGCACTGAGGAAATAGATGCCATCAAAAAATGTAGTCATGTCTTTCTGCTTTCACCACACGTAACTACCTGCAACTGAACTGAAATATTCTGTCTCCTCCTTGTTCTCCTCCTTTTTATTTATGGATACATTTTATATCACTCCCACAACTTGAGCACATAACTTCAGCAATTGCTTCTTTTTTCTCTTGCATCAATAATTTTTCTCTCTACTGGATTATTCATATAATCATTTGTAATGCTTTTCATTTTTTAAAAAAACACGTCACAATCCCTTCACATTTTCTTTGCTCCTCTTTATAATCAAACTCCTGGAAAGTTCTGTGTACTTGCATTTCTGTTTCCAACTATTCTTCTTTCTTAATCTGCCTCAGGGTTTTACCTCCACTACTCCATCAAGATAACTCTTGTCAAGGTCACCAGTGACCTCCATGGTGCTAAATCCAGCTGTTAATTCCCAGTCCTCATCTTTCTTGGCCTGTCAGCAGTGTTTGACACTGTCGATGATTCCATTTTCCTAAATAAACTTTCTTCATGTGGCTTTCAAGACATCTAGTCTCTTGGTTTGCCTCCTCCCTTGCTGACTGCTGCTTCTCAGTCAGCTTTTGTGAATCCTTCTGCCAAGCTGATTTCTAAATATTTGAGAGCTCTAGGTCTCTATTCTCAGACTTCTCTTCTCTGGCTATACTTACTCCCTGGGATGGAAATCTCGTCTAGTCTCAGGACTTTAAATATCATCTGCAGATGATTCTAAGGTTTTAAAAAATTTATGGCCTGGCCCTTTCTTCTGAATGGTACAGATTTTTATCCAACTGCCCATCCAGCCTCTTGACCTGAGTGAATTATATGTATGTCAGATTCAACAGTGTTAAGCTATACTTATTTCTCCCTCAAAACTACTCCTCTTCTAATCTTTCCTGAGTCCTGAAATGGCAACTCTGTCTTTCCAGTTTCTCAGGCAAAGAACCTTATATTTATTCTAGCAAATCTTATCATGTCTGCTTTCAAAACGTGCCCAGAATTCCATGTCTTCTGAGCACCTCCTTGCACAGGTCCGAGTGGCTGCTCTCGGCTTCCTGCAGTTCTTTGTTGCCTGCTCTCCTTGCCTCTGTCCTGGCCCTTTTCCAGTTTCTTTTCTTTTTCTTTTTTTTTTTTTTTTTTTTGAGACCGAGTCTTGCTCAGTCGCCCAGGCTGGAGTGCAGTGGCACGATCTCGGCTCATTGCAACCTCTGCCTCCCAGGTTCACGCCATTCTCCTGCCTCAGCCCCCCGAGTAGCTAGGACTACAGACGCCCGCCACGACGCCCGGCTAATTTTTTTTTTTTGTATTTTTAGTAGAGACGGGGTTTCACCATGTTAGTCAGGATGGTCTCGATCTCCTGACCTCGTGATCCACCCGCCTCGGCCTCCCAAAGTGCTGGGATTACAGGAGTGAGCCACCGCGCCCGGCCTCCAGTTTATTTTCTGCATAGCACTTATAGTGAGCCTTTTGCACTGTGTCAGATCCTATCACCCTCTACTCAGAATCCTACAGTGGAATTCTGTCTCACTCAGGGTAAAAACCGACACACAGTACCTGAGTCTTGCGTGACCCGAATAGTGGGCTCCCATTATTTTCTGACCTTGTCTCTTACTTCTGCCCACTCATTGTTTGAGCACACCAGAGCCATTATTGCCTCCGACCCTTGGCACTACTGTTCTCTCTGCCTCAAATCCTCCCCCGTTCCTCTAGATTTCTGCATGTCTTGGCCCTTCTTGTCCCACAACTCTTTCCTCAGATGTCACCTTATTAGTGAGACATGCCCCCACCCCTGCTGGCACTTCCTGTTCCTCTAACGTTGCATAATTATCATACGACACACTTTATATTTATTTATTGTCTTTTTCTCGCAGTGTACTGTAAGCTCCATGAGGGCTATAACTTTGTTCACTGCTATGTCCCAGTTCCTAGAAGAGTGCCTGGTATATAGCAAGCCCACAGTAAAAATTGTTTTTATTTGAATGAATAAAATGTGAATGAATTTAAATCAGCCTCTGTCCTAAATATTAATTCCCTTGGTCATCGAATCTCTCTGACTTTAACCTCATGATTCACTGTGTTTCTGTCTTCTCTCCATTGCTCTTGTAGCCTTACTCAGACTTCATTCCATTGTAAACAATTTCCCCTTATTCTCAACTTCTTAGAAGACCTCTCCATTTACATTTCTTCTCCAAGAGCTGGTTTTCCTCTTTGGCCCATCTTCTACACTCCAGATAATTTTGGGAGAAGGTAGCGATGCTGTTGACATTTTCTTGTCTAGCCAGTGTTCCCAACAGGTACGTGGCTTCCAGTGGCAGGGAATCTTTGATGCCCTTTGGTCCTTTTGGTTGCTGTCAGTACTGTCTTCTGTTTCTCTCCCTTGTGTATTGGGAGAGCTTTGGCACACAGCTAGTAGTCTTCTTCATTCTCCGTTTGTCATTCCTACATGATGATGTGCAGGGAATGTCCACTATCCTGGTCCAAAGTTGTTCTCAGTCATATGGCCACCAGTACTTCTTCAGAAATACACACAAGGGATATTCTCTAGACTTCATCATCACTCAGAATGGTTTCATTTGAGAGTCTTCAATTTTTTTTTCCATGTTCCACAACAAGCTGTGGCAAACCTTTATTTCTAGCACACAGTCTTTGACTGTAACGAGATCTCCTGTTGACCCATCCTTTTTTGTCGGTCTGGCATTCCCCAGATCTGATAGAAATTCAATTGAAATTAAACAATTAACCTGATTAAAAAATGGGCGGCTGGGCACAGTGGCTCACACCTGTAATCCCAGCACTTTAGGAGGCTGACACAGGTGGATCACCTGTGGTCAGGAGTTCGAGACCAGCCTGACCAACATGGTGAAACCCCGTCTCTACTAAAAATACAAAATTAGCCAGGTGTGGTGGTGTGAGCCTGTAGTCCCAGCCACTTGGGAGGCTGAGGCAGGAGAATCACTTGAACCTGGGAGGTGGAGGTTGCAATGAGCCAAGATCGCGCCATTGCACTCCAGTCTGAACAACAAGAGTGAAACTCTGTCCAAAAAAAAAAAAAAAAAAAAGCAAAGGACTAGAATAGATATTTCTCAAAAGAAGACATACAGATGGCCAATAGGTATATGAAAATGTGTTCAACATCACTAATCATCAGGGACATATAAGTCAAAACCACCATGACCTATCACCTCACATCTGTTAGGGTGGCTGTAATCAAAAACACAAAAGATAACAAGGGTTGATGAAGATGTGGCGAGAAGGGAACCCTTGTACATTGTTGGTGGGAATGCAAATTAGTATGGCCGTTATAAAAAACAGTGTGGGGATTCCTCAAAAAATTAAAAATAGAGCTGCCATATGACCCAGCAGTACTTCTGCTGGGTATATATCCAAAAGAAATGAAATCAATGTGTTGAAGAGATACCTGCCCTCCCATGTTCATGACAGCACTGTTCACAATAGTGAAGTTGTTGAATCAACCTAAGTGTCTGCCAGCAGATGAGTGGATCAAGAAAATGTAGTGTATATACACAAGGGAATACTATTCAGCTGTAAAAAAGAAAGAATCTTGTCCTTTGCAGCAAGATGGATGAACCTGGAAGACATTAATTATGTTAAGTAAAATAAGCCAGACACAGAAAGACAAATACTTCATGATCTCACTTAGATGTGAAATTTAAAAATGTTGAACTTTTGGAAACAGTGAGTAGAATGATGGTTGCCAGGGACTAGGGGTGGGGGCTTGGAGAGATGTTGGTCAAAGGGTACAAAATTTCAGTTAGGTAGGAGGAATAAGTTCAAAATCTATTGTATAACATGAAGACTATAATAAATAACAATGTATTATATTTTGAAAATCACTAAGTAGATTTTAAGTGTTCTCATCACAAAAAATTATAAATATTTGAGGTAATGAGTATGCTAATTAGCTTGATTGAGCCATTCCACAATGTATCTTATTTTAAAACATTTTGTACACAGTAAATATGTATAACTTCTATTTGTCAATTAAAAAAGCAAAATTAGGCTGGTTGCAGTGGCCCATGCCTGTAATCCCAGCAGTTTGGGAGGCTCAAGTGGGCAGATCACTTGAGGTCAGGAGTTCGAGACCAGCCTGGCCAACATGGTAAAACCCCATCTTTGCCAAAAAATACAAGAATTAGCCAGGCATGGTGTTGCCTACCTGTATTCCCAGTTACTCGGCAGGCTGAGATGGGAGAATCGCTTGAATCTGGGAGGCGGAGGTTGCAATGAGCCAATATTGTGCCACTGTACTCCTGCCTGAGCAACAGAGTGAGATCCTGTCTCAGAAAAAAAAAAAAAAAAGCAAAATTAAAAATACAGAATTTAATGATATCTTAAAGAAGTCTTTTCTTCAACTGCCTTTTATTTTGATATGGGGTATATCTATTGAATAATTATTTCCCACCTACATTGATTTGTGATTCCATTTGTATGTTAAATTTTTATATAGTGGAAAATGTTTAATGTATCTGTCAATTTTTGGTGCTGGCACATTCTTTAAATGAATTGAAGCTTTTGATAATGTTTTAATATTTGGTTGTGTTAGTAGTTTCCAGTTGACTTTATTTTTCAGAGTTGTCAGTGGTGATGGTCTGATTCTTCACATTTCCACATGATTTTGAAAAACATTGGATCAAGTTACGGAAAGAAAAGTCTCCATTGGGCTTTTTTTTTTTTTCAAATGGTATTAAATGGGGCTAATTGACTAGTTCATATAAATTAATATTTTATTAACACTTTTTTTTTTTTTTTTGAGATGGAGTCTCACTCTTGTTGCCCAGGCTAGAGTGCGATGGTGTGATCTTGGTTCATTGCAACCTCCGCCTCCTGCGTTGAAGAGATTCTCCTGCCTCAGCATCTCGAGTAGCTGGGATTGCAGGTGCACCGCCACCATGCCCTGCTAATATTTTTTTTTTTTGTATTTTTTAGTAGAGACAGGGTTTCATCATGTTGGCCAGGCTGGTCTCAAACTCCTGACCTCAGATGATCCACCCGCCTTGGCCTCCCAAGGTGCTGGGGTTACAGGTGTGAGCCACCATGCCCAGCCTATGTTTTATTAAAACTTTAATGAGTAAAATGTCCAGCATTTTAACTTTTTAGTAGTTTAAATCCTTTTTTCCTATAAATATCACAGATATATCTTCTAGTATTTAAAAAAGATATGCAAAAAAGTAAATGATCTGTTAACTTCGTTTTGTTTCAGATATGTTTCCTTCTTTTTGCCATTCTCTACGTTGTTTCCTACTTCATCATCACAAGATACAAGAGAAAATCAGGCAAGTGGAAACATGTCAATTAAAACCTTTGTTAGAATGCCACATGGTCTAGGCATGGTATATAAGATATATTAGTACACTTCAGTGTCATAGTGTATTGAATATGCCGGTGATTGAAGTAAGCAGTTGTCTGGTACTAGGAGACCTAAAAATAACCTCCAGGGAATCTGACTACTCTTAGAGTCATCCTCTTAGACCAGAGTCCTTGTTTATCACAATTCTTATGTCCAACTAAGAATAGTGCTAGGCTATTTAGTATCTGGGAAATTCCCGAGTTTATAAGGATATTTGGTTCCTTGTGAGCGGCTCTGACTTTGAATGTTTTACTCATCCACACCTCATACCTTTTCTGGCTACTAGAGCATATAGTAGATATTTAGAGTCTCCATAATACTATTTAGTATCCAATTACTAGCATCTTGTATTATCTTTTTATTCTTTCAC
Organism: Homo sapiens; assembly: GCF_000001405.40. Taxonomy (NCBI): domain Eukaryota; kingdom Metazoa; phylum Chordata; class Mammalia; order Primates; family Hominidae; genus Homo; species Homo sapiens. The sequence goes on along the minus strand of NC_000007.14, from coordinate 156,836,368 downwards.
ATATATCCTTATCCAGCCAGAGGGACTACCATATCTTTACTCTTTTTAATGAACTTTGTGCTCATTAATTCAGATTTTTTAGGTCAGGGTTTTATAAGTACCTAAGCAATTACCTTACTATTTTTTGTTAAATCTCAGCTGTTTTCTGAAAATCACAGGATTATCTGCTTGTGATGTTGGGCTAATAGTAGGTGCTGTATGAATACTTAATGATTTCTTAATATTATGCTATCAGTTTAAACTTGCGGGACTTTTGAGAGAAATAGGTTATAGTGCCTGCTCTAGTGTATTAGTTTAGTACTGTTACTTGGCTCTGTGACTGCACTTGAAGTACTCCATGGATTCCATAACCTCTAAAAATTCTGAAGATACAGATTCAAAATAGTATCGTAGCTATTTAAAAAAATTCATTGGCATGGTTTCATGAACTGTAGACACAGAAGGAGGGAGAGAGAAAGAATGAATGTATATAAATGCATCATTCTAAGTGAAATTAGAGGTTGGTGAGTGGGAAAATTGGAGATTTATTAGATCATTTTTAGAGTAACGCAGGAGTGGTGGGAGAGTGATGAGGACCCTGGACCTAGTTGGTAGTGTGCTGGGAATAGAAGTGAAATGAATATGGAGACATTAACACATTCTCTAAGACTTGATGTTTTTTTTTTTTTTTTTTTGAGATGGAGTCTCACTCTGTCGCCCAGGCGGGAGTGCAGTGGTGCGATCTCGGCTTACTGCAGCCTCCACCTTCTGGGTGCAAGTGATTCTCCTGCCTCAGCCTCCCTAGTAGCTGGGATTACAGGCATGCACTACCATGCCCAGCTAATTTTTGTATTTTTAATAGAGACAGGGCTTCACTATGTTATCCAGGCTGGTCTCGAACTCCTGACCTCAGATAATCTGCCTGCCTTGACTTCCTAAAGTGCTGGGATTATAGGCATGAGCCACTGCGCCTGGCCAAGACTGGATAATTAATTGGATGTGAGCACAACAGTATATAAAAATTAATTGTAACTATGTTCTTTTGTGGTCCCTTTGGTTGTAAAAGTTCTTTTGGGAATCTTGGAATTAAGAATGGAGGTGGACTAACAGAATGGCCCAAATACACCCTTGACACTGAAGCAGATGGGTGCTCAGAATTCCAGAGACCTGAGCAGAGAGTCTTGGAGGACATTAGGCATTTAAGAAGGAGGGGCCAGGAGGGTTTGTGGTATTCTTTTTTTTGTTTTGTTTTGAGACAAGTCTCGCCCTGTCACCAGGCTGGAGTGCAGTGGCGTGATCTCGGCTCACTGCAACCTCTGCCTCCTGGGTTCAGGTGATTCTCCTGCTTCAGCCTCCTGAGTAGCTGGGATTACAGACGCCCGCCACCGCACCTGGCTAATTTTTGTATTTCTAGTAGAGATGGGGTTTCACCATGTTGGCCAGGATGGTCTTGATCTCTTTACCTTGTGATCCGCCTGCCTCTGCCTCCCAAAGTGTTGGAATTACAGGCATGAACCACTGCGCCCAGCCTGTGGTATTCTTATAATTGGGCAGTCTCTTTAGCTTGTAAGTTTATGTGGGAGGACAAAAGAGATTGCTGACAGGCATGAGCGAGAAGGAGAGTGTGAGTGAAGACCATCTGCTACTTAAAAAAGATTAAACAAACTTTATATATAATATAATTTTAAATATATTTCAATATATTTAATATATTTATAATTGTATATATTTTATTATATATTATATATAATTTTTATTTCTAAATATATATATACAATTTTTTTTTTGAGATAGGATCTCCTTCTGTCCCCTAGGCCGGAGAGCAGTGGGGCAATCATGGCTGACTGTAGCCTCGACCTCCTGGGCTCAAGTGATTCTCCAACCTCAGCCTCCTGAGTATCCTGCACTACAGGCATGTGCCACCATGCCTAGTTAATTTTTAAAATTTTTTTGTAAAGATGGAGTCTCCCTATGTTGCTTAAGGTGGTCTTGAATTCCTGGGCTCAAGAGATCTGCCCACCTCAGCTTCCCAAAGTGTTGGGATTACAGGTGTGAGCCATTGCGCCCAGCCAATTTCTGTTTGTAACAATAATTATGAGTTACTGAGGCAGTAGTATCCAAGTTATTTAGGATGGTCCAGGAGACTCCTTGTTACTATTATTAATGACAAATTCATATTATAGAAAATTATGAGTTCTATGTTTCTGAATTTTAATTTTATAGTAACTTTTGTTGGCTGTTATCACCCAGAAAATTTTATTTATTAGCAGTTTCACTTAACATTGTATAATAATTTACTTTGTAGTGGTCCTAAGGTTGTACTAAGTTTTATTTTCTTGAGCAAATTTTAATTTACATATGGTAGTTTTATTAATCAGGATTTTGTTAATTGAAACATCCCATTCTCTATATACCATACTACTTGATTTAATGAGATTTAAATTTGGATCTATGCTGAAACAAATACAGTGCTTTTTGAAAATTGTTTCTGTTCAATAATTGCCTTTTAAGTTTATATTGTGTTTATAGTTTTAATAAATTAATGACGCATTTTGTTAGAAGATAAAGGAATATTAATACCTTAAACATTTTTGCAGATGAACAAGAAGATGAAGATGCCATCGTCAACAGGATTTCGTATGTATTTTAAAGTTCAGTTGTTCTGTTTCTGATTCTGAAGTCATCAATTCTCAAAATCCAATTCTAATTTTTGGATAGAAGTATGGAAAATATTCACCCAGCACATTACAATAGCTTTATCATATTAATTTTAGAAAGCACATGTAAGCAAATATGTGTGGATAATCCAATCTCCTATTGGAATTTGCATATTTAAGGAGCTGACAGATTTTATCCTCAGGGGATTAAATGAGGAAATGGCCTTAATTTAATTGCTTGGTCATAAGAAAGAAGACTCTTGGCTGTTTGAACAGTCTGCTGAGAAGACTATGATGCTCTTGAACCGAGCAGCGGACATCTCCTCTGGTTAGCTGAACCTGCCTGCTGTGAGCAGGAACATGGGCCCAGACCGTCCTGTAGGTTCCTTATGTACACCGGTGAGATATGATAGGGAGGTCCTGTAATTTTATTGAAGTATCAAACTGAATGGAAAGCAGCGAATTCCTTTCTGTTAGTTTTTGCTTGTTTAAATGTGAAATTGCACAGATGCACCTATGTAGGAAAGTTCTGTATTCCAGGATTTTTTTATTGATACATTAAAATTCTTTTGAAATTTCAAGTTTATAGAAAAGGTGGAAGTAGAACACAAAGTTTTTTTTACTCCAACTGTTTAGAAGTCGCTCATCTGATGCTTCATTTCCTCAGGATACTTTTATGTATAATTCCAATAAACAGTGCATTCTACCTATGTATCAAAATAGTGAAATTAGCATAGACAGCGGTACCACTCACACTCCATTCAAACTTACTAGTTATCCCAATAATGTCCTTTCTGTAGTGAAAGGATCCAGTTCAGAATCACACATTGCATTTGGGTGTCATGTCCTTTAGTCTCCTTCAGACTGAAACACTTCTTCATTATTTCCTTGACTTTCCTGACCTTGATAATTTTGAAGATTATTGAGTAGTTATTTGGTTTTGTCTGATCTTTCTTCATAATTAGTATCAGATTATGCATCCTTTGCTGAGGAGGATGAGGAAGTAAGAAAAGGGGAAGAGGAAGAGAAAGATTCTGTGTGCTTTCACATACTTGTACACACATACAAATAAATGCTTCTACATACAATGGAATAGTATTCAGCTGTAAAAGAAATGAAGTACTGATACATGCTGCATTGTGGATGGACCATAGTAAGTGAGCGAAGCCAGACACAAAAGGCCACATAGTGTGCAATTCCATCTATAAGAAATGTCCAGAATAGATAAAAGCAGATTGATGATTGCAAGGAGCTGAGGGAGAGGAGAATGGGGAGCAGCTGCTTCATGGGTTTGGCATTTTATTTTGGGGCAATGAACATGAAAGAAAGAGGTGATTGTGCAACATTGTGAATGAACTACACACCCCTGAATTGTTCACCTTAAAATGGTAAATTTTATGTAATGTGAATTTCACCTCAATAAAGAAATTAATAACTCCCAGCTAATAAATGACTTGACTCTGCCTGATTTGATTCATAACTGAAAAATGAATATAAATGGATTGTGATTTACTAGATTTGGTAATTTATTTTAAATGACATAGGGAAGCTAGATAAGAAACAAAAATAGCTGTAACTTTATGCTGGAAATTCTTACTCTCACTTTAAAACCTAGGCCCAAAACTTGATGTTTTAAATTTACAGAATTACGGGTTTTAGTTTTATTCTTAGCCCTGTGACATTTGTGAAAATTAAGTGAATCATTTTTTTCCTCTGTATAAATTAGAGCTCCTTTAAAAATTCACTTCACTCACCTCACAAAAGCTACAACGAATAAGAGACTGAATAAAAGGTAGATATTCTCTCCATGTGAAACCCTCTAGGTGTGAAGGGCAAGTGAGATACATACCTTTCTCCTCTCCATTCAGTCTGTGTGCCACCTGTGGTGGTAAATCGACTTCAGTGTACTCGTAGATCCGTAATTTATAAACAGAAAAGAACACATCACTTTGTCTTTTACCCCTAAAAGTACATTGAATGACAATAGGGTGATGTGCTGTTTCCTTATGGTAGATGCCCAGGAGCATCTTACCTGCTTTTGGGGCAGCTGGCACAGCACGTGCGAGGGGTTTGGGTTTTCCGAGTCACGGGTGGTTTCTGTATCCTGGGGATGCATACAGAAATCCTCTTCCTGAAGGTCAGTGGGTTCGTATAAAGTGGTGATACAGTTAAGGGAGGGGCATGGGGAAGAGGGTCACCTGAGGAGGAGTCTGACTAGTCTCCCTCATCTTTCTTCCCTGCCCTTATTGATCTCTTTGTCTTTTGCTGTGGTAGAATGA